>NC_000007.14:59056517-59356517 GCF_000001405.40 Homo sapiens | reverse complement strand
ACAGTGTGTTTCCAAACTCCTCTATGAAAAGAAAGGTTAAACTCTGTGAGTTGAACGCACACATCACAAAGCACTTTCTGAGAATGATTCTGTCTGGTTGTTATACGAAGATATTTCCTTTTCTGCAATTGTCCTCAAATCGCTTGAAATCTCCACCTGAAAATGCCACAGCAAGAGTGTTTCAAATCTGCTCTCTCTAAAGCAAGGTTCAGCTCTGTGAGTTGAATACACACAACACAAAAAAGTTACTGAGAACTCTTCTTAGTCTAGCATGAAAGGAAGAAACCCCGTTTGCAACGAAGGCCTCAAAGAGGTCCAAATATCCACTTGCAGACATAACAAGCAGAGTGTTTCTAAACTGCTCTAAGAAAAGAAAGGTTAAACTCTGTGAGTTGAAGGCACACATCACAAAGTAGTTTCTGAGAATGATTCTGTCTAGTTTTTATTTGAAGATATTTCCTTTTCTACTGTTGGCATCAAATCGCTTGAAATCTCCACTTGCAAATTCCACAAAAAGAGTGTTTCTAATCTGCTCTGTGCAAAGGGACGTTCCACTCTGTGAGTTGAATACACACAGCACAAAGAAGTTACTGAGAATTCTTCTGTCTAGCATGAAATGAAGAAATCCCGTTTCCAACGAAGGCCTCAATGCGGTCCATATATCCACTTGCAGACTTTACAAACAGAGTGTTTCCAAACTGCTCTATGAAAAGAAAGGTTAAACTATGTGAGTTGAACGCACACATCACAAAGAATTTTCTGAGAATGATTCTGTCTGGTTTTTATTTGAAGATGTTTCCCTTTCTACTGTTGGCATCAAATGGCTAGAAATCTCCACTTGCAAATTCCGCAAAAAGAGTGTTTCAAATCTGCTCTGTCTAAAGGGACGTTCCACTCTGTCAGTTGAATGCACACAACACAAAGAATTTACTGAGAATTCTTCCGTCTAGCATTCAATGAAGAAATCCCGTTTCCAACGAAGGCCTCAAACAGGTCCATATATCCACTTGCAGACTTTACAAACAGTGTGTTTCCAAACTCCTCTATGGAAAGAAAAGTTAAACTCTGTGAGTTGAACGCACACATCACAAAGCACTTTCTGAGAATGATTCTGTCTGGTTATTATACGAAGATATTTCCTTTTCTGCAATTGTCCTCAAATCGCTTGAAATCTCCACCTGAAAATGCCACAGCAAGAGTGTTTCAAATCTGCTCTCTCTAAAGCCAGGTTCAACTCTGTGAGTTGAATACACACAACACAAAAAAGTTACTGAGAACTCTTCTTAGTCTAGCATGAAAGGAAGAAACCCCGTTTGCAACGAAGGCCTCAAAGAGGTCCAAATATCCACTTGCAGACATAACAAGCAGAGTGTTTCTAAACTGCTCTAAGAAAAGAAAGGTTAAACTCTGTGAGTTGAAGGCACACATCACAAAGTAGTTTCTGAGAATGATTCTGTCTAGTTTTTATTTGAAGATATTTCCTTTTCTACTGTTGGCATCAAATCGCTTGAAATCTCCACTTGCAAACTCCACAAAAAGAGTGTTTCAAATCTGCTCTGTGCAAAGGGACGTTCCACTCTGTGAGTTGAATACACACAGCACAAAGAAGTTACTGAGAATTCTTCTGTCTAGCATGAAATGAAGAAATCCCGTTTCCAACGAAGGCCTCAATGCGGTCCATATATCCACTTGCAGACTTTACAAACAGAGTGTTTCCAAACTGCTCTATGAAAAGAAAGGTTAAACTATGTGAGTTGAAAGTACACATCACAAAGAATTTTCTGAGAATGATTCTGTCTGGTTTTTATTTGAAGATATTTCCCTTTCTACTGTTGGCATCAAATGGCTAGAAATCTCCACTTGCAAATTCCGCAAAAAGAGTGTTTCAAATCTGCTCTGTCTAAAGGGACGTTCCACTCTGTGAGTTGAATGCACACAACACAAAGAATTTACTGAGAATTCTTCCGTCTAGCATTCAATGAAGAAATCCCGTTTCCAACGAAGGCCTCAAACAGGTCCATATATCCAATTGCAGACTTTACAAACAGTGTGTTTCCAAACTCCTCTATGAAAAGAAAGGTTAAACTCTGTGAGTTGAACGCACACATCACAAAGCACTTTCTGAGAATGATTCTGTCTGGTTATTATACGAAGATATTTCCTTTTCTGCAATTGTCCTCAAATCGCTTGAAATCTCCACCTGAAAATGCCACAGCAAGAGTGTTTCAAATCTGCTCTCTCTAAAGCAAGGTTCAACTCTGTGAGTTGAATACACACAACACAAAAAAGTTACTGAGAACTCTTCTTAGTCTAGCATGAAAGGAAGAAACCCCGTTTGCAACGAAGGCCTCAAAGAGGTCCAAATATCCACTTGCAGACATAACAAGCAGAGTGTTTCTAAACTGCTCTAAGAAAAGAAAGGTTAAACTCTGTGAGTTGAAGGCACACATCACAAAGTAGTTTCTGAGAATGATTCTGTCTAGTTTTTATTTGAAGATATTTCCTTTTCTACTGTTGGCATCAAATCGCTTGAAATCTCCACTTGCAAATTCCACAAAAAGAGTGTTTCAAATCTGCTCTGTGTAAAGGAACGTTCCACTCTGTGAGTTGAATACACACAGCACAAAGAAGTTACTGAGAATTCTTCTGTCTAGCATGAAATGAAAAATCCCGTTTCCAACGAAGGCCTCAATGCGGTCTATATATCCACTTGCAGACTTTACAAACAGAGTGTTTCCAAACTGCTCTATGAAAAGAAAGGTTAAACTATGTGAGTTGAACGCACACATCACAAAGAATTTTCTGAGAATGATTCTGTCTGGTTTTTATTTGAAGATGTTTCCCTTTCTACTGTTGGCATCAAATGGCTAGAAATCTCCACTTGCAAATTCCGCAAAAAGAGTGTTTCAAATCTGCTCTGTCTAAAGGGACGTTCCACTCTGTCAGTTGAATGCACACAACACAAAGAATTTACTGAGAATTCTTCCGTCTAGCATTCAATGAAGAAATCCCGTTTCCAACGAAGGCCTCAAACAGGTCCATATATCCAATTGCAGACTTTACAAACAGTGTGTTTCCAAACTCCTCTATGAAAAGAAAGGTTAAACTCTGTGAGTTGAACGCACACATCACAAAGCACTTTCTGAGAATGATTCTGTCTGGTTATTATACGAAGATATTTCCTTTTCTGCAATTGTCCTCAAAACGCTTGAAATCTCCACCTGAAAATGCCACAGCAAGAGTGTTTCAAATCTGCTCTCTCTAAAGCAAGGTTCAACTCTGTGAGTTGAATACACACAACACAAAAAAGTTACTGAGAACTCTTCTTAGTCTAGCATGAAAGGAAGAAACCCCGTTTGCAACGAAGGCCTCAAAGAGGTCCAAATATCCACTTGCAGACATAACAAGCAGAGTGTTTCTAAACTGCTCTATGAAAAGAAAGGTTAAACTCTGTGAGTTGAAGGCACACATCACAAAGTAGTTTCTGAGAATGATTCTGTCTAGTTTTTATTTGAAGATATTTCCTTTTCTACTGTTGGCATCAAATCGCTTGAAATCTCCACTTTCAAATTCCACAAAAAGAGTGTTTCAAATCTGCTCTGTGCAAAGGGACGTTCCACTCTGTGAGTTGAATACACACAGCACAAAGAAGTTACTGAGAATTCTTCTGTCTAGCATGAAATGAAGAAATCCCGTTTCCAACGAAGGCCTCAATGCGGTCCATATATCCACTTGCAGACTTTACAAACAGAGTGTTTCCAAACTGCTCTATGAAAAGAAAGGTTAAACTATGTGAGTTGAACGCACACATCACAAAGAATTTTCTGAGAATGATTCTGTCTGGTTTTTATTTGAAGATATTTCCCTTTCTACTGTTGGCATCAAATGGCTAGAAATCTCCACTTGCAAATTCCGCAAAAAGAGTGTTTCAAATCTGCTCTGTCTAAAGGGACGTTCCACTCTGTGAGTTGAATGCACACAACACAAAGAATTTACTGAGAATTCTTCCGTCTAGCATTCAATGAAGAAATCCCGTTTCCAACGAAGGCCTCAAACAGGTCCATATATCCACTTGCAGACTTTACAAACAGTGTGTTTCCAAACTCCTCTATGAAAAGAAAGGTTAAACTCTGTGAGTTGAACGCACACATCACAAAGCACTTCCTGAGAATGATTCTGTCTGGTTATTATACGAAGATATTTCCTTTTCTGCAATTGTCCTCAAATCGCTTGAAATCTCCACCTGAAAATGCCACAGCAAGAGTGTTTCAAATCTGCTCTCTCTAAAGCAAGGTTCAACTCTGTGAGTTGAATACACACAACACAAAAAAGTTACTGAGAACTCTTCTTAGTCTAGCATGAAAGGAAGAAACCCCGTTTGCAACGAAGGCCTCAAAGAGGTCCAAATATCCACTTGCAGACATAACAAGCAGAGTGTTTCTAAACTGCTCTAAGATAAGAAAGGTTAAACTCTGTGAGTTGAAGGCACACATCACAAAGTAGTTTCTTAGAATGATTCTGTCTAGTTTTTATTTGAAGATATTTCCTTTTCTACTGTTGGCATCAAATCGCTTGAAATCTCCACTTGCAAACTCCACAAAAAGAGTGTTTCAAATCTGCTCTGTGTAAAGGGACGTTCCACTCTGTGAGTTGAATACACACAGCACAAAGAAGTTACTGAGAATTCTTCTGTCTAGCATGAAATGAAGAAATCCCGTTTCCAACGAAGGCCTCAATGCGGTCCATATATCCACTTGCAGACTTTACAAACAGAGTGTTTCCAAACTGCTCTATGAAAAGAAAGGTTAAACTATGTGAGTTGAACGCACACATCACAAAGAATTTTCTGAGAATGATTCTGTCTGGTTTTTATTTGAAGATATTTCCCTTTCTACTGTTGGCATCAAATGGCTAGAAATCTCCACTTGCAAATTCCGCAAAAAGAGTGTTTCAAATCTGCTCTGTCTAAAGGGACGTTCCACTCTGTGAGTTGAATGCACACAACACAAAGAATTTACTGAGAATTCTTCCGTCTAGCATTCAATGAAGAAATCCCGTTTCCAACGAAGGCCTCAAACAGGTCCATATATCCACTTGCAGAGTTTACAAACAGTGTGTTTCCAAACTCCTCTATGAAAAGAAAGGTTAAACTCTGTGAGTGGAACGCACACATCACAAAGCACTTTCTGAGAATGATTCTGTCTGGTTGTTATACGAAGATATTTCCTTTTCTGTAATTGTCCTCAAATCGCTTGAAATCTCCACCTGAAAATGCCACAGCAAGAGTGTTTCAAATCTGCTCTCTCTAAAGCAAGGTTCAACTCTGTGAGTTGAATACACACAACACAAAAAAGTTACTGAGAACTCTTCTTAGTCTAGCATGAAAGGAAGAAACCCCGTTTGCAACGAAGGCCTCAAAGAGGTCCAAATATCCACTTGCAGACATAACAAGCAGAGTGTTTCTAAACTGCTCTAAGAAAAGAAAGGTTAAACTCTGTGAGTTGAAGGCACACATCACAAAGTAGTTTCTGAGAATGATTCTGTCTAGTTTTTATTTGAAGATATTTCCTTTTCTACTGTTGGCATCAAATCGCTTGAAATCTCCACTTGCAAATTCCACAAAAAGAGTGTTTCAAATCTGCTCTGTGCAAAGGGACGTTCCACTCTGTGAGTTGAATACACACAGCACAAAGAAGTTACTGAGAATTCTTCTGTCTAGCATGAAATGAAGAAATCCCGTTTCCAACGAAGGCCTCAATGCGGTCCATATATCCACTTGCAGACTTTACAAACAGAGTGTTTCCAAACTGCTCTATGAAAAGAAAGGTTAAACTATGTGAGTTGAACGCACACATCACAAAGAATTTTCTGAGAATGATTCTGTCTGGTTTTTATTTGAAGATATTTCCCTTTCTACTGTTGGCATCAAATGGCTAGAAATCTCCACTTGCAAATTCCGCAAAAAGAGTGTTTCAAATCTGCTCTGCCTAAAGGGACGTTCTACTCTGTGAGTTGAATGCACACAACACAAAGAATTTACTGAGAATTCTTCCGTCTAGCATTCAATGAAGAAATCCCGTTTCCAACGAAGGCCTCAAACAGGTCCATATATCCACTTGCAGAGTTTACAAACAGTTTGTTTCCAAACTCCTCTATGAAAAGAAAGGTTAAACTCTGTGAGTGGAACGCACACATCACAAAGCACTTTCTGAGAATGATTCTGTCTGGTTATTATACGAAGATATTTCCTTTTCTGCAATTGTCCTCAAATCGCTTGAAATCTCCACCTGAAAATGCCACAGCAAGAGTGTTTCAAATCTGCTCTCTCTAAAGCAAGGTTCAACTCTGTGAGTTGAATACACACAACACAAAAAAGTTACTGAGAACTCTTCTTAGTCTAGCATGAAAGGAAGAAACCCCGTTTGCAACGAAGGCCTCAAAGAGGTCCAAATATCCACTTGCAGACATAACAAGCAGAGTGTTTCTAAACTGCTCTAAGAAAAGAAAGGTTAAACTCTGTGAGTTGAAGGCACACATCACAAAGTAGTTTCTGAGAATGATTCTGTCTAGTTTTTATTTGAAGATATTTCCTTTTCTACTGTTGGCATCAATTCGCTTGAAATCTCCACTTGCAAACTCCACAAAAAGAGTGTTTCAAATCTGCTCTGTGTAAAGGGACGTTCCACTCTGTGAGTTGAATACACACAGCACAAAGAAGTTACTGAGAATTCTTCTGTCTAGCATGAAATGAAGAAATCCCGTTTCCAACGAAGGCCTCAATGCGGTCCATATATCCACTTGCAGACTTTACAAACAGAGTGTTTCCAAACTGCTCTATGAAAAGAAAGGTTAAACTATGTGAGTTGAACGCACACATCACAAAGAATTTTCTGAGAATGATTCTGTCTGGTTTTTATTTGAAGATGTTTCCCTTTCTACTGTTGGCATCAAATGGCTAGAAATCTCCACTTGCAAATTCCGCAAAAAGAGTGTTTCAAATCTGCTCTGTCTAAAGGGACGTTCCACTCTGTCAGTTGAATGCACACAACACAAAGAATTTACTGAGAATTCTTCCGTCTAGCATTCAATGAAGAAATCCCGTTTCCAACGAAGGCCTCAAACAGGTCCATATATCCAATTGCAGACTTTACAAACAGTGTGTTTCCAAACTCCTCTATGAAAAGAAAGGTTAAACTCTGTGAGTTGAACGCACACATCACAAAGCACTTTCTGAGAATGATTCTGTCTGGTTGTTATACGAAGATATTTCCTTTTCTGCAATTGTCCTCAAATCGCTTGAAATCTCCACCTGAAAATGCCACAGCAAGAGTGTTTCAAATCTGCTCTCTCTAAAGCAAGGTTCAACTCTGTGAGTTGAATACACACAACACAAAATGTTACTGAGAACTCTTCTTAGTCTAGCATGAAAGGAAGAAACCCCGTTTGCAACGAAGGCCTCAAAGAGGTCCAAATATCCACTTGCAGACATAACAAGCAGAGTGTTTCTAAACTGCTCTAAGAAAAGAAAGGTTAAACTCTGTGAGTTGAAGGCACACATCACAAAGTAGTTTCTGAGAATGATTCTGTCTAGTTTTTATTTGAAGATATTTCCTTTTCTACTGTTGGCATCAAATCGCTTGAAATCTCCACTTGCAAATTCCACAAAAAGAGTGTTTCAAATCTGCTCTGTGCAAAGGGACGTTCCACTCTGTGAGTTGAATACACACAGCACAAAGAAGTTACTGAGAATTCTTCTGTCTAACATGAAATGAAGAAATCCCGTTTCCAACGAAGGCCTCAATGCGGTCCATATATCCACTTGCAGACTTTACAAACAGAGTGTTTCCAAACTGCTCTATGAAAAGAAAGGTTAAACTATGTGAGTTGAACGCACACATCACAAAGAATTTTCTGAGAATGATTCTGTCTGGTTTTTATTTGAAGATATTTCCCTTTCTACTGTTGGCATCAAATGGCTAGAAATCTCCACTTGCAAATTCCGCAAAAAGAGTGTTTCAAATCTGCTCTGTCTAAAGGGACGTTCCACTCTGTGAGTTGAATGCACACAACACAAAGAATTTACTGAGAATTCTTCCGTCTAGCATTCAATGAAGAAATCCCGTTTCCAACGAAGGCCTCAAACAGGTCCATATATCCACTTGCAGACTTTACAAACAGTGTGTTTCCAAACTCCTCTATGAAAAGAAAGGTTAAACTCTGTGAGTGGAACGCACACATCACAAAGCACTTTCTGAGAATGATTCTGTCTGGTTATTATACGAAGATATTTCCTTTTCTGCAATTGTCCTCAAATCGCTTGAAATCTCCACCTGAAAATGCCACAGCAAGAGTGTTTCAAATCTGCTCTCTCTAAAGCAAGGTTCAACTCTGTGAGTTGAATACACACAACACAAAAAAGTTACTGAGAACTCTTCTTAGTCTAGCATGAAAGGAAGAAACCCCGTTTGCAACGAAGGCCTCAAAGAGGTCCAAATATCCACTTGCAGACATAACAAGCAGAGTGTTTCTAAACTGCTCTAAGAAAAGAAAGGTTAAACTCTGTGAGTTGAAGGCACACATCACAAAGTAGTTTCTGAGAATGATTCTGTCTAGTTTTTATTTGAAGATATTTCCTTTTCTACTGTTGGCATCAAATCGCTTGAAATCTCCACTTGCAAACTCCACAAAAAGAGTGTTTCAAATCTGCTCTGTGCAAAGGGACGTTCCACTCTGTGAGTTGAATACACACAGCACAAAGAAGTTACTGAGAATTCTTCTGTCTAGCATGAAATGAAGAAATCCCGTTTCCAACGAAGGCCTCAATGCGGTCCATATATCCACTTGCAGACTTTACAAACAGAGTGTTTCCAAACTGCTCTATGAAAAGAAAGGTTAAACTATGTGAGTTGAACGCACACATCACAAAGAATTTTCTGAGAATGATTCTGTCTGGTTTTTATTTGAAGATATTTCCCTTTCTACTGTTGGCATCAAATGGCTAGAAATCTCCACTTGCAAATTCCGCAAAAAGAGTGTTTCAAATCTGCTCTGTCTAAAGGGACGTTCCACTCTGTGAGTTGAATGCACACAACACAAAGAATTTACTGAGAATTCTTCCGTCTAGCATTCAATGAAGAAATCCCGTTTCCAACGAAGGCCTCAAACAGGTCCATATATCCACTTGCAGACTTTACAAACAGTGTGTTTCCAAACTCCTCTATGAAAAGAAAGGTTAAACTCTGTGAGTTGAACGCACACATCACAAAGCACTTTCTGAGAATGATTCTGTCTGGTTGTTATACGAAGATATTTCCTTTTCTGCAATTGTCCTCAAATCGCTTGAAATCTCCACCTGAAAATGCCACAGCAAGAGTGTTTCAAATCTGCTCTCTCTAAAGCAAGGTTCAACTCTGTGAGTTGAATACACACAACACAAAAAAGTTACTGAGAACTCTTCTTAGTCTAGCATGAAAGGAAGAAACCCCGTTTGCAACGAAGGCCTCAAAGAGGTCCAAATATCCACTTGCAGACATAACAAGCAGAGTGTTTCTAAACTGCTCTAAGAAAAGAAAGGTTAAACTCTGTGAGTTGAAGGCACACATCACAAGGTAGTTTCTGAGAATGATTCTGTCTAATTTTTATTTGAAGATATTTCCTTTTCTACTGTTGGCATCAAATCGCTTGAAATCTCCACTTGCAAACTCCACAAAAAGAGTGTTTCAAATCTGCTCTGTGCAAAGGGACGTTCCACTCTGTGAGTTGAATACACACAGCACAAAGAAGTTACTGAGAATTCTTCTGTCTAGCATGAAATGAAGAAATCCCGTTTCCAACGAAGGCCTCAATGCGGTCTATATATCCACTTGCAGACTTCACAAACAGAGTGTTTCCAAACTGCTCTATGAAAAGAAAGGTTAAACTATGTGAGTTGAACGCACACATCACAAAGAATTTTCTGAGAATGATTCTGTCTGGTTTTTATTTGAAGATATTTCCCTTTCTACTGTTGGCATCAAATGGCTAGAAATCTCCACTTGCAAATTCCGCAAAAAGAGTGTTTCAAATCTGCTCTGTCTAAAGGGACGTTCCACTCTGTGAGTTGAATGCACACAACACAAAGAATTTACTGAGAATTCTTCCGTCTAGCATTCAATGAAGAAATCCCGTTTCCAACGAAGGCCTCAAACAGGTCCATATATCCACTTGCAGACTTTACGAACAGTGTGTTTCCAAACTCCTCTATGAAAAGAAAGGTTAAACTCTGTGAGTTGAACGCACACATCACAAAGCACTTTCTGAGAATGATTCTGTCTGGTTATTATACGAAGATATTTCCTTTTCTGCAATTCTCCTCAAATCGCTTGAAATCTCCACCTGAAAATGCCACAGCAAGAGTGTTTCAAATCTGCTCTCTCTAAAGCAAGGTTCAACTCTGTGAGTTGAATACACACAACACAAAAAAGTTACTGAGAACTCTTTCTTAGTCTAGCATTAAAGGAAGAAACCCCGTTTGCAACGAAGGTCTCAAAGAGGTCCAAATATCCACTTGCAGACATAACAAGCAGAGTGTTTCTAAACTGCTCTAAGAAAAGAAAGGTTAAACTCTGTGAGTTGAAGGCACACATCACAAAGTAGTTTCTGAGAATGATTCTGTCTAGTTTTTATTTGAAGATATTTCCTTTTCTACTGTTGGCATCAAATCGCTTGAAATCTCCACTTGCAAATTCCACAAAAAGAGTGTTTCAAATCTGCTCTGTGCAAAGGGACGTTCCACTCTGTGAGTTGAATACACACAGCACAAAGAAGTTACTGAGAATTCTTCTGTCTAGCATGAAATGAAGAAATCCCGTTTCCAACGAAGGCCTCAATGCGGTCCATATATCCACTTGCAGACTTTACAAACAGAGTGTTTCCAAACTGCTCTATGAAAAGAAAGGTTAAACTATGTGAGTTGAACGCACACATCACAAAGAATTTTCTGAGAATGATTCTGTCTGGTTTTTATTTGAAGATATTTCCCTTTCTACTGTTGGCATCAAATGGCTAGAAATCTCCACTTGCAAATTCCGCAAAAAGAGTGTTTCAAATCTGCTCTGTCTAAAGGGACGTTCCACTCTGTCAGTTGAATGCACACAACACAAAGAATTTACTGAGAATTCTTCCGTCTAGCATTCAATGAAGAAATCCCGTTTCCAACGAAGGCCTCAAACAGGTCCATATATCCAATTGCAGACTTTACAAACAGTGTGTTTCCAAACTCCTCTATGAAAAGAAAGGTTAAACTCTGTGAGTTGAACGCACACATCACAAAGCACTTTCTGAGAATGATTCTGTCTGGTTATTATACGAAGATATTTCCTTTTCTGCAATTGTCCTCAAATCGCTTGAAATCTCCACCTGAAAATGCCACAGCAAGAGTGTTTCAAATCTGCTCTCTCTAAAGCAAGGTTCAACTCTGTGAGTTGAATACACACAACACAAAAAAGTTACTGAGAACTCTTCTTAGTCTAGCATTAAAGGAAGAAACCCCGTTTGCAACGAAGGCCTCAAAGAGGTCCAAATATCCACTTGCAGACATAACAAGCAGAGTGTTTCTAAACTGCTCTAAGAAAAGAAAGGTTAAACTCTGTGAGTTGAAGGCACACATCACAAAGTAGTTTCTGAGAATGATTCTGTCTAGTTTTTATTTGAAGATATTTCCTTTTCTACTGTTGGCATCAAATCGCTTGAAATCTCCACTTGCAAACTCCACAAAAAGAGTGTTTCAAATCTGCTCTGTGTAAAGGGACGTTCCACTCTGTGAGTTGAATACACACAGCACAAAGAAGTTACTGAGAATTCTTCTGTCTAGCATGAAATGAAGAAATCCCGTTTCCAACGAAGGCCTCAATGCGGTCCATATATCCACTTGCAGACTTTACAAACAGAGTGTTTCCAAACTGCTCTATGAAAAGAAAGGTTAAACTATGTGAGTTGAACGCACACATCACAAAGAATTTTCTGAGAATGATTCTGTCTGGTTTTTATTTGAAGATATTTCCCTTTCTACTGTTGGCATCAAATGGCTAGAAATCTCCACTTGCAAATTCCGCAAAAAGAGTGTTTCAAATCTGCTCTGTCTAAAGGGACGTTCCACTCTGTGAGTTGAATGCACACAACACAAAGAATTTACTGAGAATTCTTCCGTCTAGCAGTCAATGAAGAAATCCCGTTTCCAACGAAGGCCTCAAACAGGTCCATATATCCAATTGCAGACTTTACAAACAGTGTGTTTCCAAACTCCTCTATGAAAAGAAAGGTTAAACTCTCTGAGTTGAACGCACACATCACAAAGCACTTTCTGAGAATGATTCTGTCTGGTTGTTATACGAAGATATTTCCTTTTCTGCAATTGTCCTCAAATCGCTTGAAATCTCCACCTGAAAATGCCACAGCAAGAGTGTTTCAAATCTGCTCTCTCTAAAGCAAGGTTCAACTCTGTGAGTTGAATACACACAACACAAAAAAGTTACTGAGAACTCTTCTTAGTCTAGCATGAACGGAAGAAACCCCGTTTGCAACGAAGGCCTCAAAGAGGTCCAAATATCCACTTGCAGACATAACAAGCAGAGTGTTTCTAAACTGCTCTAAGAAAAGAAAGGTTAAACTCTGTGAGTTGAAGGCACACATCACAAAGTAGTTTCTGAGAATGATTCTGTCTAGTTTTTATTTGAAGATATTTCCTTTTCTACTGTTGGCATCAAATCGCTTGAAATCTCCACTTGCAAACTCCACAAAAAGAGTGTTTCAAATCTGCTCTGTGCAAAGGGACGTTCCACTCTGTGAGTTGAATACACACAGCACAAAGAAGTTACTGAGAATTCTTCTGTCTAGCATGAAATGAAGAAATCCCGTTTCCAACGAAGGCCTCAATGCGGTCCATATATCCACTTGCAGACTTTACAAACAGAGTGTTTCCAAACTGCTCTATGAAAAGAAAGGTTAAACTATGTGAGTTGAACGCACACATCACAAAGAATTTTCTGAGAATGATTCTGTCTGGTTTTTATTTGAAGATATTTCCCTTTCTACTGTTGGCATCAAATGGCTAGAAATCTCCACTTGCAAATTCCGCAAAAAGAGTGTTTCAAATCTGCTCTGTCTAAAGGGACGTTCCACTCTGTGAGTTGAATGCACACAACACAAAGAATTTACTGAGAATTCTTCCGTCTAGCATTCAATGAAGAAATCCCGTTTCCAACGAAGGCCTCAAACAGGTCCATATATCCACTTGCAGACTTTACAAACAGTGTGTTTCCAAACTCCTCTATGAAAAGAAAGGTTAAACTCTGTGAGTGGAAAGCACACATCACAAAGCACTTTCTGAGAATGATTCTGTCTGGTTATTATACGAAGATATTTCCTTTTCTGCAATTGTCCTCAAATCGCTTGAAATCTCCACCTGAAAATGCCACAGCAAGAGTGTTTCAAATCTGCTCTCTCTAAAGCAAGGTTCAACTCTGTGAGTTGAATACACACAACACAAAAAAGTTACTGAGAACTCTTCTTAGTCTAGCATGAAAGGAAGAAACCCCGTTTGCAACGAAGGACTCAAAGAGGTCCAAATATCCACTTGCAGACATAACAAGCAGAGTGTTTCTAAACTGCTCTAAGAAAAGAAAGGTTAAACTCTGTGAGTTGAAGGCACACATCACAAAGTAGTTTCTGAGAATGATTCTGTCTAGTTTTTATTTGAAGATATTTCCTTTTCTACTGTTGGCATCAAATCGCTTGAAATCTCCACTTGCAAATTCCACAAAAAGAGTGTTTCAAATCTGCTCTGTGCAAAGGGACGTTCCACTCTGTGAGTTGAATACACACAGCACAAAGAAGTTACTGAGAATTCTTCTGTCTAGCATGAAATGAAGAAATCCCGTTTCCAACGAAGGCCTCAATGCGGTCCATATATCCACTTGCAGACTTTACAAACAGAGTGTTTCCAAACTGCTCTATGAAAAGAAAGGTTAAACTATGTGAGTTGAACGCACACATCACAAAGAATTTTCTGAGAATGATTCTGTCTGGTTTTTATTTGAAGATATTTCCCTTTCTACTGTTGGCATCAAATGGCTAGAAATCTCCACTTGCAAATTCCGCAAAAAGAGTGTTTCAAATCTGCTCTGTCTAAAGGGACGTTCCACTCTGTGAGTTGAATGCACACAACACAAAGAATTTACTGAGAATTCTTCCGTCTAGCATTCAATGAAGAAATCCCGTTTCCAACGAAGGCCTCAAACAGGTCCATATATCCACTTGCAGACTTTACAAACAGTGTGTTTCCAAACTCCTCTATGAAAAGAAAGGTTAAACTCTGTGAGTTGAACGGCACACATCACAAAGCACTTTCTGAGAATGATTCTGTCTGGTTATTATACGAAGATATTTCTTTTTCTGCAATTGTCCTCAAATCGCTTGAAATCTCCACCTGAAAATGCCACAGCAAGAGTGTTTCAAATCTGCTCTCTCTAAAGCAAGGTTCAACTCTGTGAGTTGAATACACACAACACAAAAAAGTTACTGAGAACTCTTCTTAGTCTAGCATGAAAGGAAGAAACCCCGTTTGCAACGAAGGCCTCAAAGAGGTCCAAATATCCACTTGCAGACATAACAAGCAGAGTGTTTCTAAACTGCTCTAAGAAAAGAAAGGTTAAACTCTGTGAGTTTGAAGGCACACATCACAAAGTAGTTTCTGAGAATGATTCTGTCTAGTTTTTATTTGAAGATATTTCCTTTTCTACTGTTGGCATCAAATCGCTTGAAATCTCCACTTGCAAACTCCACAAAAAGAGTGTTTCAAATCTGCTCTGTGTAAAGGGACGTTCCACTCTGTGAGTTGAATACACACAGCACAAAGAAGTTACTGAGAATTCTTCTGTCTAGCATGAAATGAAGAAATCCCGTTTCCAACGAAGGCCTCAATGCGGTCCATATATCCACTTGCAGACTTTACAAACAGAGTGTTTCCAAACTGCTCTATGAAAAGAAAGGTTAAACTATGTGAGTTGAACGCACACATCACAAAGAATTTTCTGAGAATGATTCTGTCTGGTTTTTATTTGAAGATATTTCCCTTTCTACTGTTGGCATCAAATGGCTAAAAATCTCCACTTGCAAATTCCGCCAAAAAGTGTTTCAAATCTGCTCTGTCTAAAGGGACGTTCCACTCTGTGAGTTGAATGCACACAACACAAAGAATTTACTGAGAATTCTTCCGTCTAGCATTCAATGAAGAAATCCCGTTTCCAACGAAGGCCTCAAACAGGTCCATATATCCAATTGCAGACTTTACAAACAGTGTGTTTCCAAACTCCTCTATGGAAAGAAAGGTTAAACTGTGTGAGTTGAACGCACACATCACAAAGCACTTTCTGAGAAAGATTCTGTCTGGTTATTATACGAAGATATTTCCTTTTCTGCAATTGTCCTCAAATCGCTTGAAATCTCCACCTGAAAATGCCACAGCAAGAGTGTTTCAAATCTGCTCTCTCTAAAGCAAGGTTCAACTCTGTGAGTTGAATACACACAACACAAAAAAGTTACTGAGAACTCTTCTTAGTCTAGCATGAAAGGAAGAAACCCCGTTTGCAACGAAGGCCTCAAAGAGGTCCAAATATCCACTTGCAGACATAACAAGCAGAGTGTTTCTAAACTGCTCTAAGAAAAGAAAGGTTAAACTCTGTGAGTTGAAGGCACACATCACAAAGTAGTTTCTGAGAATGATTCTGTCTAGTTTTTATTTGAAGATATTTCCTTTTCTACTGTTGGCATCAAATCGCTTGAAATCTCCACTTGCAAACTCCACAAAAAGAGTGTTTCAAATCTGCTCTGTGCAAAGGGACGTTCCACTCTGTGAGTTGAATACACACAGCACAAAGAAGTTACTGAGAATTCTTCTGTCTAGCATGAAATGAAGAAATCCCGTTTCCAACGAAGGCCTCAATGCGGTCCATATATCCACTTGCAGACTTTACAGAGTGTTTCCAAACTGCTCTATGAAAAGAAAGGTTAAACTATGTGAGTTGAACGCACACATCACAAAGAATTTTCTGAGAATGATTCTGTCTGGTTTTTATTTGAAGATATTTCCCTTTCTACTGTTGGCATGAAATGGCTAGAAATCTCCACTTGCAAATTCCGCAAAAAGAGTGTTTCAAATCTGCTCTGTCTAAAGGGACGTTCCACTCTGTCAGTTGAATGCACACAACACAAAGAATTTACTGAGAATTCTTCCGTCTAGCATTCAATGAAGAAATCCCGTTTCCAACGAAGGCCTCAAACAGGTCCATATATCCAATTGCAGACTTTACAAACAGTGTGTTTCCAAACTCCTCTATGAAAAGAAAGGTTAAACTCTGTGAGTTGAACGCACACAACACAAAGCACTTTCTGAGAATGATTCTGTCTGGTTATTATACGAAGATATTTCCTTTTCTGCAATTGTCCTCAAATCGCTTGAAATCTCCACCTGAAAATGCCACAGCAAGAGTGTTTCAAATCTGCTCTCTCTAAAGCAAGGTTCAACTCTGTGAGTTGAATACACACAACACAAAAAAGTTACTGAGAACTCTTCTTAGTCTAGCATGAAAGGAAGAAACCCCGTTTGCAACGAAGGCCTCAAAGAGGTCCAAATATCCACTTGCAGACATAACAAGCAGAGTGTTTCTAAACTGCTCTAAGAAAAGAAAGGTTAAACTCTGAGTTGAAGGCACACATCACAAAGTAGTTTCTGAGAATGATTCTGTCTAGTTTTTATTTGAAGATATTTCCTTTTCTACTGTTGGCATCAAATCGCTTGAAATCTCCACTTGCAAACTCCACAAAAAGAGTGTTTCAAATCTGCTCTGTGTAAAGGGACGTTCCACTCTGTGAGTTGAATACACACAGCACAAAGAAGTTACTGAGAATTCTTCTGTCTAGCATGAAATGAAGAAATCCCGTTTCCAACGAAGGCCTCAATGCGGTCCATATATCCACTTGCAGACTTTACAAACAGAGTGTTTCCAAACTGCTCTATGAAAAGAAAGGTAAAACTATGTGAGTTGAACGCACACATCACAAAGAATTTTCTGAGAATGATTCTGTCTGGTTTTTATTTGAAGATATTTCCCTTTCTACTGTTGGCATCAAATGGCTAGAAATCTCCACTTGCAAATTCCGCAAAAAGAGTGTTTCAAATCTGCTCTGTCTAAAGGGACGTTCCACTCTGTGAGTTGAATGCACACAACACAAAGAATTTACTGAGAATTCTTCCGTCTAGCATTCAATGAAGAAATCCCGTTTCCAAAGAAGGCCTCAAACAGGTCCATATATCCAATTGCAGACTTTACAAACAGTGTGTTTCCAAACTCCTCTATGAAAAGAAAGGTTAAACTCTGTGAGTTGAACGCACACATCACAAAGCACTTTCTGAGAATGATTCTGTCTGGTTATTATACGAAGATATTTCCTTTTCTGCAATTGTCCTCAAATCGCTTGAAATCTCCACCTGAAAATGCCACAGCAAGAGTGTTTCAAATCTGCTCTCTCTAAAGCAAGGTTCAACTCTGTGAGTTGAATACACACAACACAAAAAAGTTACTGAGAACTCTTCTTAGTCTAGCATGAAAGGAAGAAACCCCGTTTGCAACGAAGGCCTCAAAGAGGTCCAAATATCCACTTGCAGACATAACAAGCAGAGTGTTTCTAAACTGCTCTAAGAAAAGAAAGGTTAAACTCTGTGAGTTGAAGGCACACATCACAAAGTAGTTTCTGAGAATGATTCTGTCTAGTTTTTATTTGAAGATATTTCCTTTTCTACTGTTGGCATCAAATCGCTTGAAATCTCCACTTGCAAATTGCACAAAAAGAGTGTTTCAAATCTGCTCTGTGCAAAGGGACGTTCCACTCTGTGAGTTGAATACACACAGCACAAAGAAGTTACTGAGAATTCTTCTGTCTAGCATGAAATGAAGAAATCCCGTTTCCAACGAAGGCCTCAATGCGGTCCATATATCCACTTGCAGACTTTACAAACAGAGTGTTTCCAAACTGCTCTATGAAAAGAAAGGTTAAATTATGTGAGTTGAACGCACACATCACAAAGAATTTTCTGAGAATGATTCTGTCTGGTTTTTATTTGAAGATATTTCCCTTTCTACTGTTGGCATCAAATGGCTAGAAATCTCCACTTGCAAATTCCGTAAAAAGAGTGTTTCAAATCTGCTCTGTCTAAAGGGACGTTCCACTCTGTGAGTTGAATGCACACAACACAAAGAATTTACTGAGAATTCTTCCGTCTAGCATTCAATGAAGAAATCCCGTTTCCAACGAAGGCCTCAAAGAGGTCCATATATCCACTTGCAGACTTTACAAACAGTGTGTTTCCAAACTCCTCTATGAAAAGAAAGGTTAAACTCTGTGAGTGGAACGCACACATCACAAAGCACTTTCTGAGAATGATTCTGTCTGGTTATTATACGAAGATATTTCCTTTTCTGCAATTGTCCTCAAATCGCTTGAAATCTCCACCTGAAAATGCCACAGCAAGAGTGTTTCAAATCTGCTCTCTCTAAAGCAAGGTTCAACTCTGTGAGTTGAATACACACAACACAAAAAAGTTACTGAGAACTCTTCTTAGTCTAGCATGAAAGGAAGAAACCCCGTTTGCAACGAAGGCCTCAAAGAGGTCCAAATATCCACTTGCAGACATAACAAGCAGAGTGTTTCTAAACTGCTCTAAGAAAAGAAAGGTTAAACTCTGTGAGTTAAAGGCACACATCACAAAGTAGTTTCTGAGAATGATTCTGTCTAGTTTTTATTTGAAGATATTTCCTTTTCTACTGTTGGCATCAAATCGCTTGAAATCTCCACTTGCAAACTCCACAAAAAGAGTGTTTCAAATCTGCTCTGTGCAAAGGGACGTTCCACTCTGTGAGTTGAATACACACAGCACAAAGAAGTTACTGAGAATTCTTCTGTCTAGCATGAAATGAAGAAATCCCGTTTCCAACGAAGGCCTCAATGCGGTCCATATATCCACTTGCAGACTTTACAAACAGAGTGTTTCCAAACTGCTCTATGAAAAGAAAGGTTAAACTATGTGAGTTGAACGCACACATCACAAAGAATTTTCTGAGAATGATTCTGTCTGGTTTTTATTTGAAGATATTTCCCTTTCTACTGTTGGCATCAAATGGCTAGAAATCTCCACTTGCAAATTCCGCAAAAAGAGTGTTTCAAATCTGCTCTGTCTAAAGGGACGTTCCACTCTGTGAGTTGAATGCACACAACACAAAGAATTTACTGAGAATTCTTCCGTCTAGCATTCAATGAAGAAATCCCGTTTCCAACGAAGGCCTCAAACAGGTCCATATATCCACTTGCAGACTTTACAAACAGTGTGTTTCCAAACTCCTCTATGAAAAGAAAGGTTAAACTCTGTGAGTGGAACGCACACATCACAAAGCACTTTCTGAGAATGATTCTGTCTGGTTATTATACGAAGATATTTCCTTTTCTGCAATTGTCCTCAAATCGCTTGAAATCTCCACCTGAAAATGCCACAGCAAGAGTGTTTCAAATCTGCTCTCTCTAAAGCAAGGTTCAACTCTGTGAGTTGAATACACACAACACAAAAAAGTTACTGAGAACTCTTCTTAGTCTAGCATGAAAGGAAGAAACCCCGTTTGCAACGAAGGCCTCAAAGAGGTCCAAATATCCACTTGCAGACATAACAAGCAGAGTGTTTCTAAACTGCTCTAAGAATAGAAAGGTTAAACTCTGTGAGTTGAAGGCACACATCACAAAGTAGTTTCTGAGAATGATTCTGTCTAGTTTTTATTTGAAGATATTTCCTTTTCTACTGTTGGCATCAAATCGCTTGAAATCTCCACTTGCAAACTCCACAAAAAGAGTGTTTCAAATCTGCTCTGTGCAAAGGGAAGTTCCACTCTGTGAGTTGAATACACACAGCACAAAGAAGTTACTGAGAATTCTTCTGTCTAGCATGAAATGAAGAAATCCCGTTTCCAACGAAGGCCTCAATGCGGTCCATATATCCACTTGCAGACTTTACAAACAGAGTGTTTCCAAACTGCTCTATGAAAAGAAAGGTTAAACTATGTGAGTTGAACGCACACATCACAAAGAATTTTCTGAGAATGATTCTGTCTGGTTTTTATTTGAAGATATTTCCCTTTCTACTGTTGGCATCAAATGGCTAGAAATCTCCACTTGCAAATTCCGCAAAAAGAGTGTTTCAAATCTGCTCTGTCTTAAGGGACGTTCCACTCTGTCAGTTGAATGCACACAACACAAAGAATTTACTGAGAATTCTTCCGTCTAGCATTCAATGAAGAAATCCCGTTTCCAACGAAGGCCTCAAACAGGTCCATATATCCAATTGCAGACTTTACAAACAGTGTGTTTCCAAACTCCTCAATGAAAAGAAAGGTTAAACTCTGTGAGTTGAATGCACACATCACAAAGCACTTTCTGAGAATGATTCTGTCTGGTTGTTATACGAAGATATTTCCTTTTCTGCAATTGTCCTCAAATCGCTTGAAATCTCCACCTGAAAATGCCACAGCAAGAGTGTTTCAAATCTGCTCTCTCTAAAGCAAGGTTCAGCTCTGTGAGTTGAATACACACAACACAAAAAAGTTACTGAGAACTCTTCTTAGTCTAGCATGAAAGGAAGAAACCCCGTTTGCAACGAAGGCCTCAAAGAGGTCCAAATATCCACTTGCAGACATAACAAGCAGAGTGTTTCTAAACTGCTCTAAGAAAAGAAAGGTTAAACTCTGTGAGTTGAAGGCACACATCACAAAGTAGTTTCTGAGAATGATTCTGTCTAGTTTTTATTTGAAGATATTTCCTTTTCTACTGTTGGCATCAAATCGCTTGAAATCTCCACTTGCAAACTCCACAAATAGAGTGTTTCAAATCTGCTCTGTGTAAAGGGACGTTCCACTCTGTGAGTTGAATACACACAGCACAAAGAAGTTACTGAGAATTCTTCTGTCTAGCATGAAATGAAGAAATCCCGTTTCCAACGAAGGCCTCAATGCGGTCCATATATCCACTTGCAGACTTTACAAACAGAGTGTTTCCAAACTGCTCTATGAAAAGAAAGGTTAAACTATGTGAGTTGAACGCACACATCACAAAGAATTTTCTGAGAATGATTCTGTCTGGTTTTTATTTGAAGATATTTCCCTTTCTACTGTTGGCATCAAATGGCTAGAAATCTCCACTTGCAAATTCCGCAAAAAGAGTGTTTCAAATCTGCTCTGTCTAAAGGGACGTTCCACTCTGTGAGTTGAATGCACACAACACAAAGAATTTACTGAGAATTCTTCCGTCTAGCATTCAATGAAGAAATCCCGTTTCCAACGGAGGCCTCAAACAGGTCCATATATCCAATTGCAGACTTTACAAACAGTGTGTTTCCAAACTCCTCTATGAAAAGAAAGGTTAAACTCTGTGAGTTGAACGCACACATCACAAAGCACTTTCTGAGAATGATTCTGTCTGGTTATTATACGAAGATATTTCCTTTTCTGCAATTGTCCTCAAATCGCTTGAAATCTCCACCTGAAAATGCCACAGCAAGAGTGTTTCAAATCTGCTCTCTCTAAAGCAAGGTTCAACTCTGTGAGTTGAATACACACAACACAAAAAAGTTACTGAGAACTCTTCTTAGTCTAGCATGAAAGGAACAAACCCCGTTTGCAACGAAGGCCTCAAAGAGGTAAAAATATCCACTTGCAGACATAACAAGCAGAGTGTTTCTAAACTGCTCTATGAAAAGAAAGGTTAAACTCTGTGAGTTGAAGGCACACATCACAAAGTAGTTTCTGAGAATGATTCTGTCTAGTTTTTATTTGAAGATATTTCCTTTTCTACTGTTGGCATCAAATCGCTTGAAATCTTCACTTGCAAACTCCACAAAAAGAGTGTTTCAAATCCGCTCTGTGCAAAGGGACGTTCCACTCTGTGAGTTGAATACACACAGCACAAAGAAGTTACTGAGAATTCTTCTGTCTAGCATGAAATGAAGAAATCCCGTTTCCAACGAAGGCCTCAATGCGGTCCATATATCCACTTGCAGACTTTACAAACAGAGTGTTTCCAAACTGCTCCATGAAAGGAAAGGTTAAACTATGTGAGTTGAACGCACACATCACAAAGAATTTTCTGAGAATGATTCTGTCTGGTTTTTATTTGAAGATATTTCCCTTTCAACTGTTGGCATCAAATGGCTAGAAATCTCCACTTGCAAATTCCGCAAAAAGAGTGTTTCAAATCTGCTCTGTCTAAAGGGACGTTCCACTCTGTGAGTTGAATGCACACAACACAAAGAATTTACTGAGAATTCTTCCGTCTAGCATTCAATGAAGAAATCCCGTTTCCAACGAAGGCCTCAAACAGGTCCATATATCCAATTGCAGACTTTACAAACAGTGTGTTTCCAAACTCCTCTATGAAAAGAAAGGTTAAACTCTGTGAGTGGAACGCACACATCACAAAGCACTTTCTGAGAATGATTCTGTCTGGTTGTTATACGAAGATATTTCCTTTTCTGCAATTGTCCTCAAATCGCTTGAAATCTCCACCTGAAAATGTCACAGCAAGAGTGTTTCAAATCTGCTCTCTCTAAAGCAAGGTTAAACTCTGTGAGTTGAATACACACAACACAAAAAAGTTACTGAGAACTCTTCTTAGTCTAGCATGAAAGGAAGAAACCCCGTTTGCAACGAAGGCCTCAAAGAGGTCCAAATATCCACTTGCAGACATAACAAGCAGAGTGTTTCTAAACTGCTCTAAGAAAAGAAAGGTTAAACTCTGTGAGTTGAAGGCACACATCACAAAGTAGTTTCTGAGAATGATTCTGTCTAGTTTTTATTTGAAGATATTTCCTTTTCTACTGTTGGCATCAAATCGCTTGAAATCTCCACTTGCAAACTCCACAAAAAGAGTGTTTCAAATCTGCTCTGTGTAAAGGGACGTTCCACTCTGTGAGTTGAATACACACAGCACAAAGAAGTTACTGAGAATTCTTCTGTCTAGCATGAAATGAAGAAATCCCGTTTCCAACGAAGGCCTCAATGCGGTCCATATATCCACTTGCAGACTTTACAAACAGAGTGTTTCCAAACTGCTCTATGAAAAGAAAGGTTAAACTATGTGAGTTGAACGCACACATCACAAAGAATTTTCTGAGAATGATTCTGTCTGGTTTTTATTTGAAGATATTTCCCTTTCTACTGTTGGCATCAAATGGCTAGAAATCTCCACTTGCAAATTCCGCAAAAAGAGTGTTTCAAATCTGCTCTGTCTAAAGGGACGTTCCACTCTGTGAGTTGAATGCACACAACACAAAGAATTTACTGAGAATCCTCCGTCTAGCATTCAATGAAGAAATCCCGTTTCCAAAGAAGGCCTCAAACAGGTCCATATATCCAATTGCAGACTTTACAAACAGTGTGTTTCCAAACTCCTCTATGAAAAGAAAGGTTAAACTCTGTGAGTTGAACGCACACATCACAAAGCACTTTCTGAGAATGATTCTGTCTGGTTATTATACGAAGATATTTCCTTTTCTGCAATTGTCCTCAAATCGCTTGAAATCTCCACCTGAAAATGCCACAGCAAGAGTGTTTCAAATCTGCTCTCTCTAAAGCAAGGTTCAACTCTGTGAGTTGAATACACACAACACAAAAAAGTTGCTGAGAATCTGTCTAGCATGAAATGAAGAAATCCCGTTTCCAACGAAGGCCTCAATGCGGTCCATATATCCACTTGCAGACTTTACAAACAGAGTGTTTCCAAACTGCTCTATGAAAAGAAAGGTTAAACTATGTGAGTTGAAAGCACACATCACAAAGAATTTTCTGAGAATGATTCTGTCTGGTTTTTATTTGAAGATATTTCCCTTTCTACTGTTGGCATCAAATGGCTAGAAATCTCCACTTGCAAATTCCGCAAAAAGAGTGTTTCAAATCTGCTCTGTCTAAAGGGACGTTCCACTCTGTGAGTTGAATGCACACAACACAAAGAATTTACTGAGAATTCTTCCGTCTAGCATTCAATGAAGAAATCCCATTTCCAATGAAGGCCTCAAACAGGTCCATATATCCAATTGCAAACTTTACAAACAGTGTGTTTCCAAACTCCTCTATGAAAAGAAAGGTTAAACTCTGTGAGTTGAACGCACACATCACAAAGCACTTTCTGAGAATGATTCTGTCTAGTTTTTATTTGAAGATATTTCCCTTTGTACTGTTGGCAACAAATGGCTAGAAATCTCCACCTGCAACTTCCGCAAAAAGAGTGTTTCAAATCTGCTCTGTCTAAAGGGACGTTCCACTCTGTGAGTTGAATGCACACAACACAAAAAAGTTACTGAGAACTCTTCTTAGTCTAGCATGAAAGGAAGAAACCCCGTTTGCAACGAAGGCCTCAAAGAGGTCCAAATATCCACTTGCAGACATAACAAGCAGAGTGTTTCTAAACTGCTCTAAGAAAAGAAAGGTTAAACTCTGTGAGTTGAAGGCACACATCACAAAGTAGTTTCTGAGAATGATTCTGTCTAGTTTTTATTTGAAGATATTTCCTTTTCTACTGTTGGCATCAAATCGCTTGAAATCTCCACTTGCAAACTCCACAAAAAGAGTGTTTCAAATCTGCTCTGTGTAAAGGGACGTTCCACTCTGTGAGTTGAATACACACAGCACAAAGAAGTTACTGAGAATTCTTTTGTCTAGCATGAAATGAAGAAATCCCGTTTCCAACGAAGGCCTCAATGCGGTCCATATATCCACTTGCAGACTTTACAAACAGAGTGTTTCCAAACTGCTCTATGAAAAGAAAGGTTAAACTATGTGAGTTGAACGCACACATCACAAAGAATTTTCTGAGAATGATTCTGTCTGGTTTTTATTTGAAGATATTTCCCTTTCTACTGTTGGCATCAAATGGCTAGAAATCTCCACTTGCAAATTCCGCAAAAAGAGTGTTTCAAATCTGCTCTGTCTAAAGGGACGTTCCACTCTGTCAGTTGAATGCACACCACACAAAGAATTTACTGAGAATTCTTCCGTCTAGCATTCAATGAAGAAATCCCGTTTCCAACGAAGGCCTCAAACAGGTCCATATATCCAATTGCAGACTTTACAAACAGTGTGTTTCCAAACTCCTCTATGAAAAGAAAGGTTAAACTCTGTGAGTTGAACGCACACATCACAAAGCACTTTCTGAGAATGATTCTGTCTGGTTATTATACGAAGATATTTCCTTTTCTGCAATTGTCCTCAAATCGCTTGAAATCTCCACCTGAAAATGCCACAGCAAGAGTGTTTCAAATCTGCTCTCTCTAAAGCAAGGTTCAACTCTGTGAGTTGAATACACACAACACAAAAAAGTTACTGAGAACTCTTCTTAGTCTAGCATTAAAGGAAGAAACCCCGTTTGCAACGAAGGCCTCAAAGAGGTCCAAATATCCACTTGCAGACATAACAAGCAGAGTGTTTCTAAACTGCTCTAAGAAAAGAAAGGTTAAACTCTGTGAGTTGAAGGCACACATCACAAAGTAGTTTCTGAGAATGATTCTGTCTAGTTTTTATTTGAAGATATTTCCTTTTCTACTGTTGGCATCAAATCGCTTGAAATCTCCACTTGCAAATTCCACAAAAAGAGTGTTTCAAATCTGCTCTGTGCAAAGGGACGTTCCACTCTGTGAGTTGAATACACACAGCACAAAGAAGTTACTGAGAATTCTTCTGTCTAGCATGAAATGAAGAAATCCCGTTTCCAACGAAGGCCTCAATGCGGTCCATAGATCCACTTGCAGACTTTACAAACAGAGTGTTTCCAAACTGCTCTATGAAAAGAAAGGTTAAACTATGTGAGTTGAACGCACACATCACAAAGAATTTTCTGAGAATGATTCTGTCTGGTTTTTATTTGAAGATATTTCCCTTTCTACTGTTGGCAACAAATGGCTAGAAATCTCCACTTGCAAATTCCGCAAAAAGAGTGTTTCAAATCTGCTCTGTCTAAAGGGACGTTCCACTCTGTGAGTTGAATGCACACAACACAAAGAATTTACTGAGAATTCTTCCGTCTAGCATTCAATGAAGAAATCCCGTTTCCAAAGAAGGCCTCAAACAGGTCCATATATCCAATTGCAGACTTTACAAACAGTGTGTTTCCAAACTCCTCTATGAAAAGAAAGGTTAAACTCTGTGAGTTGAACGCACACATCACAAAGCACTTTCTGAGAATGATTTTGTCTGGTTATTATACGAAGATATTTCCTTTTCTGCAATTGTCCTCAAATCGCTTGAAATCTCCACCTGAAAATGCCACATCAAGAGTGTTTCAAATCTGCTCTCTCTAAAGCAAGGTTCAACTCTGTGAGTTGAATACACACAACACAAAAAAGTTACTGAGAACTCTTCTTAGTCTAGCATGAAAGGAAGAAACCCCGTTTGCAACGAAGGCCTCAAAGAGGTCCAAATATCCACTTGCAGACATAACAAGCAGAGTGTTTCTAAACTGCTCTAAGAAAAGAAAGGTTAAACTCTGTGAGTTGAAGGCACACATCACAAAGTAGTTTCTGAGAATGATTCTGTCTAGTTTTTATTTGAAGATATTTCCTTTTCTACTGTTGGCATCAAATCGCTTGAAATCTCCACTTGCAAACTCCACAAAAAGAGTGTTTCAAATCTGCTCTGTGCAAAGGGACGTTCCACTCTGTGAGTTGAATACACACAGCACAAAGAAGTTACTGAGAATTCTTCTGTCTAGCATGAAATGAAGAAATCCCGTTTCCAACGAAGGCCTCAATGCGGTCCATATATCCACTTGCAGACTTTACAAACAGAGTGTTTCCAAACTGCTCTATAAAAAGAAAGGTTAAACTATGTGAGTTGAACGCACACATCACAAAGAATTTTCTGAGAATGATTCTGTCTGGTTTTTATTTGAAGATATTTCCCTTTCTACTGTTGGCATCAAATGGCTAGAAATCTCCACTTGCAAATTCCGCAAAAAGAGTGTTTCAAATCTGCTCTGTCTAAAGGGACGTTCCACTCTGTGAGTTGAATGCACACAACACAAAGAATTTACTGAGAATTCTTCCGTCTAGCATTCAATGAAGAAATCCCGTTTCCAACGAAGGCCTCAAACAGGTCCATATATCCACTTGCAGACTTTACAAACAGTGTGTTTCCAAACTCCTCTATGAAAAGAAAGGTTAAACTCTGTGAGTTGAACGCACACATCACAAAGCACTTTCTGAGAATGATTCTGTCTGGTTATTATACGAAGATATTTCCTTTTCTGCAATTGTCCTCAAATCGCTTGAAATCTCCACCTGAAAATGCCACAGCAAGAGTGTTTCAAATCTGCTCTCTCTAAAGCAAGGTTCAACTCTGTGAGTTGAATACACACAACACAAAAAAGTTACTGAGAACTCTTCTTAGTCTAGCATTAAAGGAAGAAACCCCGTTTGCAACGAAGGCCTCAAAGAGGTCCAAATATCCACTTGCAGACATAACAAGCAGAGTGTTTCTAAGCTGCTCTAAGAAAAGAAAGGTTAAACTCTGTGAGTTGAAGGCACACATCACAAAGTAGTTTCTGAGAATGATTCTGTCTAGTTTTTATTTGAAGATACTTCCTTTTCTACTGTTGGCATCAAATCGCTTGAAATCTCCACTTGCAAACTCCACAAAAAGAGTGTTTCAAATCTGCTCTGTGCAAAGGGACGTTCCACTCTGTGAGTTGAATACACACAGCACAAAGAAGTTACTGAGAATTCTTCTGTCTAGCATGAAATGAAGAAATCCCGTTTCCAACGAAGGCCTCAATGCGGTCCATATATCCACTTGCAGACTTTACAAACAGAGTGTTTCCAAACTGCTCTATGAAAAGAAAGGTTAAACTATGTGAGTTGAACGCACACATCACAAAGAATTTTCTGAGAATGATTCTGTCTGGTTTTTATTTGAAGATATTTCCCTTTCTACTGTTGGCATCAAATGGCTAGAAATCTCCACTTGCAAATTCCGCAAAAAGAGTGTTTCAAATCTGCTCTGTCTAAAGGGACGTTCCACTCTGTGAGTTGAATGCACACAACACAAAGAATTTACTGAGAATTCTTCCGTCTAGCATTCAATGAAGAAATCCCGTTTCCAACGAAGGCCTCAAACAGGTCCATATATCCAATTGCAGACTTTACAAACAGTGTGTTTCCAAACTCCTCTATGAAAAGAAAGGTTAAACTCTGTGAGTTGAACGCACACATCACAAAGCACTCTCTGAGAATGATTCTGTCTGGTTGTTATACGAAGATATTTCCTTTTCTGCAATTGTCCTCAAATCGCTTGAAATCTCCACCTGAAAATGCCACAGCAAGAGTGTTTCAAATCTGCTCTCTCTAAAGCAAGGTTCAACTCTGTGAGTTGAATGCACACAACACAAAAAGAGTTACTGAGAACTCTTCTTAGTCTAGCATTAAAGGAAGAAACCCCGTTTGCAACGAAGGCCTCAAAGAGGTCCAAATATCCACTTGCAGACATAACAAGCAGAGTGTTTCTAAACTGCTCTAAGAAAAGAAAGGTTAAACTCTGTGAGTTGAAGGCACACATCACAAAGTAGTTTCTGAGAATGATTCTGTCTAGTTTTTATTTGAAGATATTTCATTTTCTACTGTTGGCATCAAATCGCTTGAAATCTCCACTTGCAAACTCCACAAAAAGAGTGTTTCAAATCTGCTCTGTGTAAAGAGACGTTCCACTCTGTGAGTTGAATACACACAGCACAAAGAAGTTACTGAGAATTCTTCTGTCTAGCATGAAATGAAGAAATCCCGTTTCCAACGAAGGCCTCAATGCGGTCCATAGATCCACTTGCAGACTTTACAAACAGAGTGTTTCCAAACTGCTCTATGAAAAGAAAGGTTAAACTATGTGAGTTGAACGCACACATCACAAAGAATTTTCTGAGAATGATTCTGTCTGGTTTTTATTTGAAGATATTTCCCTTTCTACTGTTGGCATCAAATGGCTAGAAATCTCCACTTGCAAATTCCGCAAAAAGAGTGTTTCAAATCTGCTCTGTCTAAAGGGACGTTCCACTCTGTGAGTTGAATGCACACAACACAAAGAATTTACTGAGAATTCTTCCGTCTAGCATTCAATGAAGAAATCCCGTTTCCAACGAAGGCCTCAAACAGGTCCATATATCCAATTGCAGACTTTACAAACAGTGTGTTTCCAAACTCCTCTATGAAAAGAAAGGTTAAACTCTGTGAGTTGAACGCACACATCACAAAGCACTTTCTGAGAATGATTCTGTCTGGTTGTTATACGAAGATATTTCCTTTTCTGCAATTGTCCTCAAATCGCTTGAAATCTCCACCTGAAAATGCCACAGCAAGAGTGTTTCAAATCTGCTCTCTCTAAAGCAAGGTTCAACTCTGTGAGTTGAATACACACAGCACAAAAAAGTTACTGAGAACTCTTCTTAGTCTAGCATGAAAGGAAGAAACCCCGTTTGCAACGAAGGCCTCAAAGAGGTCCAAATATCCACTTGCAGACATAACAAGCAGAGTGTTTCTAAACTGCTCTAAGAAAAGAAAGGTTAAACTCTGTGAGTTGAAGGCACACATCACAAAGTAGTTTCTGAGAATGGTTCTGTCTAGTTTTTATTTGAAGATATTTCCTTTTCTACTGTTGGCATCAAATCGCTTGAAATCTCCACTTGCAAATTCCACAAAGAGAGTGTTTCAAATCTGCTCTGTGCAAACGGACGTTCCAGTCTGTGAGTTGAATACACACAGCACAGAGAAGTTACTGAGAATTCTCTGTCTAGCATGAAATGAAGAAATCCCGTTTCCAACGAAGGCCTCAATGCGGTCCATATATCCACTTGCAGACTTTACAAACAGAGTGTTTCCAAACTGCTCTATGAAAAGAAAGGTTAAACTATGTGAGTTGAACGCACACATCACAAAGAATTTTCTGAGAATGATTCTGTCTGGTTTTTATTTGAAGATATTTCCCTTTCTACTGTTGGCATCAAATGGCTAGAAATCTCCACTTGCAAATTCCGCAAAAAGAGTGTTTCAAATCTGCTCTGTCTAAAGGGACGTTCCACTCTGTGAGTTGAATGCACACAACACAAAGAATTTACTGAGAATTCTTCCGTCTAGCATTCAATGAAGAAATCCCGTTTCCAACGAAGGCCTCAAACAGGTCCATATATCCAATTGCAGACTTTACAAACAGTGTGTTTCCAAACTCCTCTATGAAAAGAAAGGTTAAACTCTGTGAGTTGAACGCACACATCACAAAGCACTTTCTGAGAATGATTCTGTCTGGTTGTTATACGAAGATATTTCCTTTTCTGCAATTGTCCTCAAATCGCTTGAAATCTCCACCTGAAAATGCCACAGCAAGAGTGTTTCAAATCTGCTCTCTCTAAAGCAAGGTTCAACTCTGTGAGTTGAATACACACAACACAAAAAAGTTACTGAGAACTCTTCTTAGTCTAGCATGAAAGGAAGAAACCCCGTTTGCAACGAAGGCCTCAAAGAGGTCCAAATATCCACTTGCAGACATAACAAGCAGAGTGTTTCTAAACTGCTCTAAGAAAAGAAAGGTTAAACTCTGTGAGTTGAAGGCACACATCACAAAGTAGTTTCTGAGAATGATTCTGTCTAATTTTTATTTGAAGATATTTCCTTTTCTACTGCTGGCATCAAATCGCTTGAAATCTCCACTTGCAAACTCCACAAAAAGAGTGTTTCAAATCTGCTCTGTGTAAAGGGACGTTCCACTCTGTGAGTTGAATACACACAGCACAAAGAAGTTACTGAGAATTCTTCTGTCTAGCATGAAATGAAGAAATCCCGTTTCCAACGAAGGCCTCAATGCGGTCTATATATCCACTTGCAGACTTTACAAACAGAGTGTTTCCAAACTGCTCTATGAAAAGAAAGGTTAAACTATGTGAGTTGAACGCACACATCACAAAGAATTTTCTGAGAATGATTCTGTCTGGTTTTTATTTGAAGATATTTCCCTTTCTACTGTTGGCATCAAATGGCTAGAAATCTCCACTTGCAAATTCCGCAAAAAGAGTGTTTCAAATCTGCTCTGTCTAAAGGGACGTTCCACTCTGTGAGTTGAATGCACACAACACAAAGAATTTACTGAGAATTCTTCCGTCTAGCATTCAATGAAGAAATCCCGTTTCCAAAGAAGGCCTCAAACAGGTCCATATATCCAATTGCAGACTTTACAAACAGTGTGTTTCCAAACTCCTCTATGAAAAGAAAGGTTAAACTCTGTGAGTTGAACGCACACATCACAAAGCACTTTTCTGAGAATGATTCTGTCTGGTTATTATACGAAGATATTTCCTTTTCTGCAATTGTCCTCAAATCGCTTGAAATCTCCACCTGAAAATGCCACAGCAAGAGTGTTTCAAAGCTGCTCTCTCTAAAGCAAGGTTCAACTCTGTGAGTTGAATACACACAACACAAAAAAGTTACTGAGAACTCTTCTTAGTCTAGCATTAAAGGAAGAAACCCCGTTTGCAACGAAGGCCTCAAAGAGGTCCAAATATCCACTTGCAGACATAACAAGCAGAGTGTTTCTAAACTGCTCTAAGAAAAGAAAGGTTAAACTCTGTGAGTTGAAGGCACACATCACAAAGTAGTTTCTGAGAATGATTCTGTCTAGTTTTTATTTGAAGATATTTCCTTTTCTACTGTTGGCATCAAATCGCTTGAAATCTCCACTTGCAAATTCCACAAAAAGAGTGTTTCAAATCTGCTCTTTGTAAAGGGACGTTCCACTCTGTGAGTTGAATACACACAGCACAAAGAAGTTACTGAGAATTCTTCTGTCTAGCATGAAATGAAGAAATCCCGTTTCCAACGAAGGCCTCAATGCGGTCCATATATCCACTTGCAGAATTTACAAACAGAGTGTTTCCAAACTGCTCTATGAAAAGAAAGGTTAAACTATGTGAGTTGAACGCACACATCACAAAGAATTTTCTGAGAATGATTCTGTCTGGTTTTTATTTGAAGATATTTCCCTTTCTACTGTTGGCATCAAATGGCTAGAAATCTCCACTTGCAAATTCCGCAAAAAGAGTGTTTCAAATCTGCTCTGTCTAAAGGGACGTTCCACTCTGTGAGTTGAATGCACACAACACAAAGAATTTACTGAGAATTCTTCCGTCTAGCATTCAATGAAGAAATCCCGTTTCCAACGAAGGCCTCAAACAGGTCCATATATCCACTTGCAGACTTTACAAACAGTGTGTTTCCAAACTCCTCTATGAAAAGAAAGGTTAAACTCTGTGAGTTGAACGCACACATCACAAAGCACTTTCTGAGAATGATTCTGTCTGGTTATTATACGAAGATATTTCCTTTTCTGCAATTGTCCTCAAATCGCTTGAAATCTCCACCTGAAAATGCCACAGCAAGAGTGTTTCAAATCTGCTCTCTCTAAAGCAAGGTTCAACTCTGTGAGTTGAATACACACAACACAAAAAAGTTACTGAGAACTCTTTCTTAGTCTAGCATGAAAGGAAGAAACCCCGTTTGCAACGAAGGCCTCAAAGAGGTCCAAATATCCACTTGCAGACATAACAAGCAGAGTGTTTCTAAACTGCTCTAAGAAAAGAAAGGTTAAACTCTGTGAGTTGAAGGCACACATCACAAAGTAGTTTCTGAGAATGATTCTGTCTAGTTTTTATTTGAAGATATTTCCATTTCTACTGTTGGCATCAAATCGCTTGAAATCTCCACTTGCAAACTCCACAAAAAGAGTGTTTCAAATCTGCTCTGTGTAAAGGGACGTTCCACTCTGTGAGTTGAATACACACAGCACAAAGAAGTTACTGAGAATTCTTCTATCCAGCATGAAATGAAGAAATCCCGTTTCCAACGAAGGCCTCAATGGGGTCCATATATCCACTTGCAGACTTTACAAACAGAGTGTTTCCAAACTGCTCTATGAAAAGAAAGGTTAAACTATGTGAGTTGAACGCACACATCACAAAGAATTTTCTGAGAATGATTCTGTCTGGTTTTTATTTGAAGATATTTCCCTTTCTACTGTTGGCATCAAATGGCTAGAAATCTCCACTTGCAAATTCCGCAAAAAGAGTGTTTCAAATCTGCTCTGTCTAAAGGGACGTTCCACTCTGTGAGTTGAATGCACACAACACAAAGAATTTACTGAGAATTCTTCCGTCTAGCATTCAATGAAGAAATCCCGTTTCCAACGAAGGCCTCAAACAGGTCCATATATCCACTTGCAGACTTTACAAACAGTGTGTTTCCAAACTCCTCTATGAAAAGAAAGGTTAAACTCTGTGAGTTGAACGCACACATCACAAAGCACTTTCTGAGAATGATTCTGTCTGGTTATTATACGAAGATATTTCCTTTTCTGCAATTGTCCTCAAATCGCTTGAAATCTCCACCTGAAAATGCCACAGCGAGAGTGTTTCAAATCTGCTCTCTCTAAAGCAAGGTTCAACTCTGTGAGTTGAATACACACAACACAAAAAAGTTACTGAGAACTCTTCTTAGTCTAGCATGAAAGGAAGAAACCCCGTTTGCAACGAAGGCCTCAAAGAGGTCCAAATATCCACTTGCAGACATAACAAGCAGAGTGTTTCTAAACTGCTCTAAGAAAAGAAAGGTTAAACTCTGTGAGTTGAAGGCACACATCACAAAGTAGTTTCTGAGAATGATTCTGTCTAGTTTTTATTTGAAGATATTTCCTTTTCTACTGTTGGCATCAAATCGCTTGAAATCTCCACTTGCAAACTCCACAAAAAGAGTGTTTCAAATCTGCTCTGTGCAAAGGGACGTTCCACTCTGTGAGTTGAATACACACAGCACAAAGAAGTTACTGAGAATTCTTCTGTCTAGCATGAAATGAAGAAATCCCGTTTCCAACGAAGGCCTCAATGCGGTCCATATATCCACTTGCAGACTTTACAAACAGAGTGTTTCCAAACTGCTCTATGAAAAGAAAGGTTAAACTATGTGAGTTGAACGCACACATCACAAAGAATTTTCTGAGAATGATTCTGTCTGGTTTTTATTTGAAGATATTTCCCTTTCTACTGTTGGCATCAAATGGCTAGAAATCTCCACTTGCAAATTCCGCCAAAAAGTGTTTCAAATCTGCTCTGTCTAAAGGGACGTTCCACTCTGTGAGTTGAATGCACACAACACAAAGAATTTACTGAGAATTCTTCCGTCTAGCATTCAATGAAGAAATCCCGTTTCCAACGAAGGCCTCAAACAGGTCCATATATCCAATTGCAGAAATTACAAACAGTGTGTTTCCAAACTCCTCTATGAAAAGAAAGGTTAAACTCTGTGAGTTGAACGCACACATCACAAAGCACTTTCTGAGAATGATTCTGTCTGGTTATTATACGAAGATATTTCCTTTTCTGCAATTGTCCTCAAATCGCTTGAAATCTCCACCTGAAAATGCCACAGCAAGAGTGTTTCAAATCTGCTCTCTCTAAAGCAAGGTTCAACTCTGTGAGTTGAATACACACAACACAAAAAAGTTACTGAGAACTCTTCTTAGTCTAGCATTAAAGGAAGAAACCCCGTTTGCAACGAAGGCCTCAAAGAGGTCCAAATATCAACTTGCAGACATAACAAGCAGAGTGTTTCTAAACTGCTCTCAGAAAAGAAAGGTTAAACTCGGTGAGTTGAAGGCACACATCACAAAGTAGTTTCTGAGAATGATTCTGTCTAGTTTTTATTTGAAGATATTTCCTTTTCTACTGTTGGCATCAAATCGCTTGAAATCTCCACTTGCAAACTCCACAAAAAGAGTGTTTCAAATCTGCTCTGTGCAAAGGGACGTTCCACTCTGTGAGTTGAATACACACAGCACAAAGAAGTTACTGAGAATTCTTCTGTCTAGCATGAAATGAAGAAATCCCGTTTCCAACGAAGGCCTCAATGCGGTCCATATATCCACTTGCAGACTTTACAAACAGAGTGTTTCCAAACTGCTCTATGAAAAGAAAGGTTAAACTATGTGAGTTGAACGCACACATCACAAAGAATTTTCTGAGAATGATTCTGTCTGGTTTTTATTTGAAGATATTTCCCTTTCTACTGTTGGCATCAAATGGCTAGAAATCTCCACTTGCAAATTCCGCAAAAAGAGTGTTTCAAATCTGCTCTGTCTAAAGGGACGTTCCACTCTGTGAGTTGAATGCACACAACACAAAGAATTTACTGAGAATTCTTCCGTCTAGCATTCAATGAAGAAATCCCGTTTCCAACGAAGGCCTCAAACAGGTCCATATATCCAATTGCAGACTTTACAAACAGTGTGTTTCCAACCTCCTCTATGAAAAGAAAGGTTAAACTCTGTGAGTTGAACGCACACATCACAAAGCACTTTCTGAGAATGATTCTGTCTGGTTATTATACGAAGATATTTCCTTTTCTGCAATTGTCCTCAAATCGCTTGAAATCTCCACCTGAAAATGCCACAGCAAGAGTGTTTCAAATCTGCTCTCTCTAAAGCAAGGTTCAACTCTGTGAGTTGAATACACACAACACAAAAATGTTACTGAGAACTCTTCTTAGTCTAGCATGAAAGGAAGAAACCCCGTTTGCAACGAAGGCCTCAAAGAGGTCCAAATATCCACTTGCAGACATAACAAGCAGAGTGTTTCTAAACTGCTCTAAGAAAAGAAAGGTTAAACTCTGTGAGTTGAAGGCACACATCACAAAGTAGTTTCTGAGAATGATTCTGTCTAGTTTTTATTTGAAGATATTTCCTTTTCTACTGTTGGCATCAAATCGCTTGAAATCTCCACTTGCAAACTCCACAAAAAGAGTGTTTCAAATCTGCTCTGTGTAAAGGGACGTTCCACTCTGTGAGTTGAATACACACAGCACAAAGAAGTTACTGAGAATTCTTCTGTCTAGCATGAAATGAAGAAATCCCGTTTCCAACGAAGGCCTCAATGCGGTCCATATATCCACTTGCAGACTTTACAAACAGAGTGTTTCCAAACTGCTCTATGAAAAGAAAGGTTAAACTATGTGAGTTGAACGCACACATCACAAAGAATTTTCTGAGAATGATTCTGTCTGGTTTTTATTTGAAGATATTTCCCTTTCTACTGTTGGCATCAAATGGCTAGAAATCTCCACTTGCAAATTCCGCAAAAAGAGTGTTTCAAATCTGCTCTGTCTAAAGGGACGTTCCACTCTGTGAGTTGAATGCACACAACACAAAGAATTTACTGAGAATTCTTCCGTCTAGCATGCAATGAAGAAATCCCGTTTCCAACGAAGGCCTCAAACAGGTCCATATATCCAATTGCAGACTTTACAAACAGTGTGTTTCCAAACTCCTCTATGAAAAGAAAGGTTAAACTCTGTGAGTTGAACGCACACATCACAAAGCACTTTCTGAGAATGATTCTGTCTGGTTATTATACGAAGATATTTCCTTTTCTGCAATTGTCCTCAAATCGCTTGAAATCTCCACCTGAAAATGCCACAGCAAGAGTGTTTCAAATCTGCTCTCTCTAAAGCAAGGTTCAACTCTGTGAGTTGAATACACACAACACAAAAAAGTTACTGAGAACTCTTCTTAGTCTAGCATGAAAGGAAGAAACCCCGTTTGCAACGAAGGCCTCAAAGAGGTCCAAATATCCAGTTGCAGACATAACAAGCAGAGTGTTTCTAAACTGCTCTAAGAAAAGAAAGGTTAAACTCTGTGAGTTGAAGGCACACATCACAAAGTAGTTTCTGAGAATGGTTCTGTCTAGTTTTTATTTGAAGATATTTCCTTTTCTACTGTTGGCATCAAATCGCTTGAAATCTCCACTTGCAAATTCCACAAAAAGAGTGTTTCAAATCTGCTCTGTGCAAACGGACGTTCCAGTCTGTGAGTTGAATACACACAGCACAGAGAAGTTACTGAGAATTCTTCTGTCTAGCATGAAATGAAGAAATCCCGTTTCCAACGAAGGCCTCAATGCGGTCCATATATCCACTTGCAGACTTTACAAACAGAGTGTTTCCAAACTGCTCTATGAAAAGAAAGGTTAAACTATGTGAGTTGAACGCACACATCACAAAGAATTTTCTGAGAATGATTCTGTCTGGTTTTTATTTGAAGATATTTCCCTTTCTACTGTTGGCATCAAATGGCTAGAAATCTCCACTTGCAAATTCCGCAAAAAGAGTGTTTCAAATCTGCTCTGTCTAAAGGGACGTTCCACTCTGTGAGTTGAATGCACACAACACAAAGAATTTACTGAGAATTCTTCCGTCTAGCATTCAATGAAGAAATCCCGTTTCCAACGAAGGCCTCAAACAGGTCCATATATCCACTTGCAGACTTTACAAACAGTGTGTTTCCAAACTCCTCTATGAAAAGAAAGGTTAAACTCTGTGAGTGGAACGCACACATCACAAAGCACTTTCTGAGAATGATTCTGTCTGGTTATTATACGAAGATATTTCCTTTTCTGCAATTGTCCTCAAATCGCTTGAAATCTCCACCTGAAAATGCCACAGCAAGAGTGTTTCAAATCTGCTCTCTCTAAAGCAAGGTTCAACTCTGTGAGTTGAATACACACAACACAAAAAAGTTACTGAGAACTCTTCTTAGTCTAGCATGAAAGGAAGAAACCCCGTATGCAACGAAGGCCTCAAAGAGGTCCAAATATCCACTTGCAGACATAACAAGCAGAGTGTTTCTAAACTGCTCTAAGAAAAGAAAGGTTAAACTCTGTGAGTTAAAGGCACACATCACAAAGTAGTTTCTGAGAATGATTCTGTCTAGTTTTTATTTGAAGATATTTCCTTTTCTACTGTTGGCATCAAATCGCTTGAAATCTCCACTTGCAAACTCCACAAAAAGAGTGTTTCAAATCTGCTCTGTGTAAAGGGACGTTCCACTCTGTGAGTTGAATACACACAGCACAAAGAAGTTACTGAGAATTCTTCTGTCTAGCATGAAATGAAGAAATCCCGTTTCCAACGAAGGCCTCAATGCGGTCCATATATCCACTTGCAGACTTTACAAACAGAGTGTTTCCAAACTGCTCTATGAAAAGAAAGGTTAAACTATGTGAGTTGAACGCACACATCACAAAGAATTTTCTGAGAATGATTCTGTCTGGTTTTTATTTGAAGATATTTCCCTTTCTACTGTTGGCATCAAATGGCTAGAAATCTCCACTTGCAAATTCCGCAAAAAGAGTGTTTCAAATCTGCTCTGTCTAAAGGGACGTTCCACTCTGTGAGTTGAATGCACACAACACAAAGAATTTACTGAGAATTCTTCCGTCTAGCATTCAATGAAGAAATCCCGTTTCCAACGAAGGCCTCAAACAGGTCCATATATCCACTTGCAGACTTTACAAACAGTGTGTTTCCAAACTCCTCTATGAAAAGAAAGGTTAAACTCTGTGAGTTGAACGCACACATCACAAAGCACTTTCTGAGAATGATTCTGTCTGGTTATTATACGAAGATATTTCCTTTTCTGCAATTGTCCTCAAATCGCTTGAAATCTCCACCTGAAAATGCCACAGCAAGAGTGTTTCAAATCTGCTCTCTCTAAAGCAAGGTTCAACTCTGTGAGTTGAATAAACACAACACAAAAAAGTTACTGAGAACTCTTCTTAGTCTAGCATGAAAGGAAGAAACCCCGTTTGCAACGAAGGCCTCAAAGAGGTCCAAATATCCACTTGCAGACATAACAAGCAGAGTGTTTCTAAACTGCTCTAAGAAAAGAAAGGTTAAACTCTGTGAGTTGAAGGCACACATCACAAAGTAGTTTCTGAGAATGATTCTGTCTAGTTTTTATTTGAAGATATTTCCTTTTCTACTGTTGGCATCAAATCGCTTGAAATCTCCACTTGCAAACTCCACAAAAAGAGTGTTTCAAATCTGCTCTGTGTAAACGGACGTTCCACTCTGTGAGTTGAATACACACAGCACAAAGAAGTTACTGAGAATTCTTCTGTCTAGCATGAAATGAAGAAATCCCGTTTCCAACGAAGGCCTCAATGCGGTCCATATATCCACTTGCAGACTTTACAAACAGAGTGTTTCCAAACTGCTCTATGAAAAGAAAGGTTAAACTATGTGAGTTGAACGCACACATCACAAAGAATTTTCTGAGAATGATTCTGTCTGGTTTTTATTTGAAGATGTTTCCCTTTCTACTGTTGGCATCAAATGGCTAGAAATCTCCACTTGCAAATTCCGCAAAAAGAGTGTTTCAAATCTGCTCTGTCTAAACGGACGTTTCACTCTGTGAGTTGAATGCACACAACACAAAGAATTTACTGAGAATTCTTCCGTCTAGCATTCAATGAAGAAAACCCGTTTCCAACGAAGGCCTCAAACAGGTCCATATATCCAATTGCAGACTTTACAAACAGTGTGTTTCCAAACTCCTCTATGAAAAGAAAGGTTAAACTTCTGTGAGTTGAACGCACACATCACAAAGCACTTTCTGAGAATGATTCTGTCTGGTTGTTATACGAAGATATTTCCTTTTCTGCAATTGTCCTCAAATCGCTTGAAATCTCCACCTGAAAATGCCACAGCAAGAGTGTTTCAAATCTGCTCTCTCTAAAGCAAGGTTCAACTCTGTGAGTTGAATACACACAACACAAAAAAGTTACTGAGAACTCTTCTTAGTCTAGCATGAAAGGAAGAAACCCCGTTTGCAACGAAGGCCTCAAAGAGGTCCAAATATCCACTTGCAGACATAACAAGCAGAGTGTTTCTAAACTGCTCTAAGAAAAGAAAGGTTAAACTCTGTGAGTTGAAGGCACACATCACAAAGTAGTTTCTGAGAATGATTCTGTCTAGTTTTTATTTGAAGATATTTCCTTTTCTACTGTTGGCATCAAATCGCTTGAAATCTCCACTTGCAAACTCCACAAAAAGAGTGTTTCAAATCTGCTCTGTGTAAAGGGACGTTCCACTCTGTGAGTTGAATACACACAGCACAAAGAAGTTACTGAGAATTCTTCTGTCTAGCATGAAATGAAGAAATCCCGTTTCCAACGAAGGCCTCAATGCGGTCCATATATCCACTTGCAGACTTTACAAACAGAGTGTTTCCAAACTGCTCTATGAAAAGAAAGGTTAAACTATGTGAGTTGAACGCACACATCACAAAGAATTTTCTGAGAATGATTCTGTCTGGTTTTTATTTGAAGATATTTCCCTTTCTACTGTTGGCATCAAATGGCTAGAAATCTCCACTTGCAAATTCCGCAAAAAGAGTGTTTCAAATCTGCTCTGTCTAAAGGGACGTTCCACTCTGTCAGTTGAATGCACACAACACAAAGAATTTACTGAGAATTCTTCCGTCTAGCATTCAATGAAGAAATCCCGTTTCCAACGAAGGCCTCCAACACGTCCATATATCCAATTGCAGACTTTACAAACAGTGTGTTTCCAAACTCCTCTATGAAAAGAAAGGTTAAACTCTGTGAGTTGAACGCACACATCACAAAGCACTTTCTGAGAATGATTCTGTCTGGTTATTATACGAAGATATTTCCTTTTCTGCAATTGTCCTCAAATCGCTTGAAATCTCCACCTGAAAATGCCACAGCAAGAGTGTTTCAAATCTGCTCTCTCTAAAGCAAGGTTCAACTCTGTGAGTTGAATACACACAACACAAAAAAGTTACTGAGAACTCTTCTTAGTCTAGCATGAAAGGAAGAAACCCCGTTTGCAACGAAGGCCTCAAAGAGGTCCAAATATCCACTTGCAGACATAACAAGCAGAGTGTTTCTAAACTGCTCTAAGAAAAGAAAGGTTAAACTCTGTGAGTTGAAGGCACACATCACAAAGTAGTTTCTGAGAATGATTCTGTCTAGTTTTTATTTGAAGATATTTCCTTTTCTACTGTTGGCATCAAATCGCTTGAAATCTCCACTTGCAAACTCCACAAAAAGAGTGTTTCAAATCTGCTCTGTGTAAAGGGACGTTCCACTCTGTGAGTTGAATACACACAGCACAAAGAAGTTACTGAGAATTCTTCTGTCTAGCATGAAATGAAGAAATCCCGTTTCCAACGAAGGCCTCAATGCGGTCCATATATCCACTTGCAGACTTTACAAACAGAGTGTTTCCAAACTGCTCTATGAAAAGAAAGGTTAAACTATGTGAGTTGAACGCACACATCACAAAGAATTTTCTGAGAATGATTCTGTCTGGTTTTTATTTGAAGATATTTCCCTTTCTACTGTTGGCATCAAATGGCTAGAAATCTCCACTTGCAAATTCCGCAAAAAGAGTGTTTCAAATCTGCTCTGTCTAAAGAGACGTTCCACTCTGTCAGTTGAATGCACACAACACAAAGTATTTACTGAGAATTCTTCCGTCTAGTCATTCAATGAAGAAATCCCGTTTCCAACGAAGGCCTCAAAGAGGTCCATATATCCACTTGCAGACTTTACAAACAGTGTGTTTCCAAACTCCTCTATGAAAAGAAAGGTTAAACTCTGTCAGTTGAACGCACACATCACAAAGCACTTTCTGAGAATGATTCTGTCTGGTTATTATACGAAGATATTTCCTTTTCTGCAATTGTCCTCAAATCGCTTGAAATCTCCACCAGAAAATGCCACAGCAAGAGTGTTTCAAATCTGCTCTCTCTAAAGCAAGGTTCAACTCTGTGAGTTGAATACACACAACACAAAAAAGTTACTGAGAACTCTTCTTAGTCTAGCATGAAAGGAAGAAACCCCGTTTGCAACGAAGGCCTCAAAGAGGTCCAAATATCCACTTGCAGACATAACAAGCAGAGTGTTTCTAAACTGCTCTAAGAAAAGAAAGGTTAAACTCTGTGAGTTGAAGGCACACATCACAAAGTAGTTTCTGAGAATGATTCTGTCTAGTTTTTGTTTGCAGATATTTCCTTTTCTACTGTTGGCATCAAATCGCTTGAAATCTCCACTTGCAAATTCCACAAAAAGAGTGTTTCAAATCTGCTCTGTGCAAAGGGACGTTCCACTCTGTGAGTTGAATACACACAGCACAAAGAAGTTACTGAGAATTCTTCTGTCTAGCATGAAATGAAGAAATCCCGTTTCCAACGAAGGCCTCAATGCGGTCCATATATCCACTTGCAGACTTTACAAACAGAGTGTTTCCAAACTGCTCTATGAAAAGAAAGGTTAAACTATGTGAGTTGAACGCACACATCACAAAGAATTTTCTGAGAATGATTCTGTCTGGTTTTTATTTGAAGATATTTCCCTTTCTACTGTTGGCATCAAATGGCTAGAAATCTCCACTTGCAAATTCCGCAAAAAGAGTGTTTCAAATCTGCTCTGTCTAAAGGGACGTTCCACTCTGTGAGTTGAATGCACACAACACAAAGAATTTACTGAGAATTCTTCCGTCTAGCATTCAATGAAGAAATCCCGTTTCCAACGAAGGCCTCAAACAGGTCCATATATCCACTTGCAGACTTTACAAACAGTGTGTTTCCAAACTCCTCTATGAAAAGAAAGGTTAAACTCTGTGAGTTGAACGCACACATCACAAAGCACTTTCTGAGAATGATTCTGTCTGGTTATTATACGAAGATATTTCCTTTTCTGCAGTTGTCCTCAAATCGCTTGAAATCTCCACCTGAAAATGCCACAGCAAGAGTGTTTCAAATCTGCTCTCTCTAAAGCAAGGTTCAACTCTGTGAGTTGAATACACACAACACAAAAAAGTTACTGAGAACTCTTCTTAGTCTAGCATGAAAGGAAGAAACCCCGTTTGCAACGAAGGCCTCAAAGAGGTCCAAATATCCACTTGCAGACATAACAAGCAGAGTGTTTCTAAACTGCTCTAAGAAAAGAAAGGTTAAACTCTGTGAGTTGAAGGCACACATCACAAAGTATTTTCTGAGAATGATTCTGTCTAGTTTTTATTTGAAGATATTTCCTTTTCTACTGTTGGCATCAAATCGCTTGAAATCTCCACTTGCAAATTCCACAAAAAGAGTGTTTCAAATCTGCTCTGTGCAAAGGGACGTTCCACTCTGTGAGTTGAATACACACAGCACAAAGAAGTTACTGAGAATTCTTCTGTCTAGCATGAAATGAAGAAATCCCGTTTCCAACGAAGGCCTCAATGCGGTCCATATATCCACTTGCAGACTTTACAAACAGAGTGTTTCCAAACTGCTCTATGAAAAGAAAGGTTAAACTATGTGATTTGAACGCACACATCACAAAGAATTTTCTGAGAATGATTCTGTCTGGTTTTTATTTGAAGATATTTCCCTTTCTACTGTTGGCATCAAATGGCTAGAAATCTCCACTTGCAAATTCCGCAAAAAGAGTGTTTCAAATCTGCTCTGTCTAAAGGGACGTTCCACTCTGTGAGTTGAATGCACACAACACAAAGAATTTACTGAGAATTCTTCCGTCTAGCATTCAATGAAGAAATCCCGTTTCCAACGAAGGCCTCAAACAGGTCCATATATCCACTTGCAGACTTTACAAACAGTGTGTTTCCAAACTCCTCTATGAAAAGAAAGGTTAAACTCTGTGAGTTGAACGCACACATCACAAAGCACTTTCTGAGAATGATTCTGTCTGGTTATTATACGAAGATATTTCCTTTTCTGCAATTGTCCTCAAATCGCTTGAAATCTCCACCTGAAAATGCCACAGCAAGAGTGTTTCAAATCTGCTCTCTCTAAAGCAAGGTTCAACTCTGTGAGTTGAATACACACAACACAAAAAAGTTACTGAGAACTCTTCTTAGTCTAGCATGAAAGGAAGAAACCCCGTTTGCAACGAAGGCCTCAAAGAGGTCCAAATATCCACTTGCAGACATAACAAGCAGAGTGTTTCTAAACTGCTCTAAGAAAAGAAAGGTTAAACTCTGTGAGTTGAAGGCACACATCACAAAGTAGTTTCTGAGAATGATTCTGTCTAGTTTTTATTTGAAGATATTTCCTTTTCTACTGTTGGCATCAAATCGCTTGAAATCTCCACTTGCAAACTCCACAAAAAGAGTGTTTCAAATCTGCTCTGTGCAAAGGGACGTTCCACTCTGTGAGTTGAATACACACAGCACAAAGAAGTTACTGAGAATTCTTGTCTAGCATGAAATGAAGAAATCCCGTTTCCAACGAAGGCCTCAATGCGGTCTATATATCCACTTGCAGACATCACAAACAGAGTGTTTCCAAACTGCTCTATGAAAAGAAAGGTTAAACTATGTGAGTTGAACGCACACATCACAAAGAATTTTCTGAGAATGATTCTGTCTGGTTTTTATTTGAAGATATTTCCCTTTCTACTGTTGGCATCAAATGGCTAGAAATCTCCACTTGCAAATTCCGCAAAAAGAGTGTTTCAAATCTGCTCTGTCTAAAGGGACGTTCCACTCTGTGAGTTGAATGCACACCACACAAAGAATTTACTGAGAATTCTTCCGTCTAGCATTCAATGAAGAAATCCCGTTTCCAACGAAGGCCTCAAACAGGTCCATATATCCACTTGCAGACTTTACAAACAGTGTGTTTCCAAACTCCTCTATGAAAAGAAAGGTTAAACTCTGTGAGTGGAACGCACACATCACAAAGCACTTTCTGAGAATGATTCTGTCTGGTTATTATACGAAGATATTTCCTTTTCTGCAATTGTCCTCAAATCGCTTGAAATCTCCACCTGAAAATGCCACAGCAAGAGTGTTTCAAATCTGCTCTCTCTAAAGCAAGGTTCAACTCTGTGAGTTGAATACACACAACACAAAAAAGTTACTGAGAACTCTTCTTAGTCTAGCATGAAAGGAAGAAACCCCGTTTGCAACGAAGGCCTCAAAGAGGTCCAAATATCCACTTGCAGACATAACAAGCAGAGTGTTTCTAAACTGCTCTAAGAAAAGAAAGGTTAAACTCTGTGAGTTGAAGGCACACATCACAAAGTAGTTTCTGAGAATGATTCTGTCTAGTTTTTATTTGAAGATATTTCCTTTTCTACTGTTGGCATCAGATCGCTTGAAATCTCCACTTGCAAATTCCACAAAAAGAGTGTTTCAAATCTGCTCTGTGCAAAGGGACGTTCCACTCTGTGAGTTCAATACACACAGCACAAAGAAGTTACTGAGAATTCTTCTGTCAAGCACGAAATGAAGAAATCCCGTTTCCAACGAAGGCCTCAATGCGGTCTATATATCCACTTGCAGACTTTACAAACAGAGTGTTTCCAAACTGCTCTATGAAAAGAAAGGTTAAACTATGTGAGTTGAACGCACACATCACAAAGAATTTTCTGAGAATGATTCTGTCTGGTTTTTATTTGAAGATATTTCCCTTTCTACTGTTGGCATCAAATGGCTAGAAATCTCCACTTGCAAATTCCGCAAAAAGAGTGTTTCAAATCTGCTCTGTCTAAAGGGACGTTCCACTCTGTGAGTTGAATGCACACAACACAAAGAATTTACTGAGAATTCTTCCGTCTAGCATTCAATGAAGAAATCCCGTTTCCAACGAAGGCCTCAAACAGGTCCATATATCCAATTGCAGACTTTACAAACAGTGTGTTTCCAAACTCGTCTATGAAAAGAAAGGTTAAACTCTGTGAGTTGAACGCACACATCACAAAGCACTTTCTGAGAATGATTCTGTCTGGTTGTTATACGAAGATATTTCCTTTTCTGCAATTGTCCTCAAATCGCTTGAAATCTCCACCTGAAAATGCCACAGCAAGAGTGTTTCAAATCTGCTCTCTCTAAAGCAAGGTTCAACTCTGTGAGTTGAATACACACAACACAAAAAAGTTACTGAGAACTCTTCTTAGTCTAGCATGAAAGGAAGAAACCCCGTTTGCAACGAAGGCCTCAAAGAGGTCCAAATATCCACTTGCAGACATAACAAGCAGAGTGTTTCTAAACTGCTCTAAGAAAAGAAAGGTTAAACTCTGTGAGTTGAAGGCACACATCACAAAGTAGTTTCTGAGAATGATTCTGTCTAGTTTTTATTTGAAGATATTTCCTTTTCTACTGTTGGCATCAAATCGCTTGAAATCTCCACTTGCAAACTCCACAAAAAGAGTGTTTCAAATCTGCTCTGTGTAAAGGGACGTTCCACTCTGTGAGTTGAATACACACAGCACAAAGAAGTTACTGAGAATTCTTCTGTCTAGCATGAAATGAAGAAATCCCGTTTCCAACGAAGGCCTCAATGCGGTCCATATATCCACTTGCAGACTTTACAAACAGAGTGTTTCCAAACTGCTCTATGAAAAGAAAGGTTAAACTATGTGAGTTGAATGCACACATCACAAAGAATTTTCTGAGAATGATTCTGTCTGGTTTTTATTTGAAGATATTTCCCTTTCTACTGTTGGCATCAAATGGCTAGAAATCTCCACTTGCAAATTCCGCAAAAAGAGTGTTTCAAATCTGCTCTGTCTAAAGGGACGTTCCACTCTGTGAGTTGAATGCACACAACACAAAGAATTTACTGAGAATTCTTCCGTCTAGCATTCAATGAAGAAATCCCGTTTCCAACGAAGGCCTCAAACAGGTCCATATATCCACTTGCAGACTTTACAAACAGTGTGTTTCCAAACTCCTCTATGAAAAGAAAGGTTAAACTCTGTGAGTGGAACGCACACATCACAAAGCACTTTCTGAGAATGATTCTGTCTGGTTATTATACGAAGATATTTCCTTTTCTGCAATTGTCCTCAAATCGCTTGAAATCTCCACCTGAAAATGCCACAGCAAGAGTGTTTCAAATCTGCTCTCTCTAAAGCAAGGTTCAACTCTGTGAGTTGAATACACACAACACAAAAAAGTTACTGAGAACTCTTCTTAGTCTAGCATGAAAGGAAGAAACCCCGTTTGCAACGAAGGCCTCAAAGAGGTCCAAATATCCACTTGCAGACATAACAAGCAGAGTGTTTCTAAACTGCTCTAAGAAAAGAAAGGTTAAACTCTGTGAGTTGAAGGCACACATCACAAAGTAGTTTCTGAGAATGATTCTGTCTAGTTTTTATTTGAAGATATTTCCTTTTCTACTGTTGGCATCAAATCGCTTGAAATCTCCACTTGCAAACTCCACAAAAAGAGTGTTTCAAATCTGCTCTGTGTAAAGGGACGTTCCACTCTGTGAGTTGAATACACACAGCACAAAGAAGTTACTGAGAATTCTTCTGTCTAGCATGAAATGAAGAAATCCCGTTTCCAACGAAGGCCTCAATGCGGTCCATATATCCACTTGCAGACTTTACAAACAGAGTGTTTCCAAACTGCTCTATGAAAAGAAAGGTTAAACTATGTGAGTTGAACGCACACATCACAAAGAATTTTCTGAGAATGATTCTGTCTGGTTTTTATTTGAAGATATTTCCCTTTCTACTGTTGGCATCAAATGGCTAGAAATCTCCACTTGCAAATTCCGCAAAAAGAGTGTTTCAAATCTGCTCTGTCTAAAGGGACGTTCCACTCTGTGAGTTGAATGCACACAACACAAAGAATTTACTGAGAATTCTTCCGTCTAGCATTCAATGAAGAAATCCCGTTTCCAACGAAGGCCTCAAACAGGTCCATATATCCACTTGCAGACTTTACAAACAGTGTGTTTCCAAACTCCTCTATGAAAAGAAAGGTTAAACTCTGTGAGTGGAACGCACACATCACAAAGCACTTTCTGAGAATGATTTCTGTCTGGTTATTATACGAAGATATTTCCTTTTCTGCAATTGTCCTCAAATCGCTTGAAATCTCCACCTGAAAATGCCACAGCAAGAGTGTTTCAAATCTGCTCTCTCTAAAGCAAGGTTCAACTCTGTGAGTTGAATACACACAACACAAAAAAGTTACTGAGATCTCTTCTTAGTCTAGCATGAAAGGAAGAAACCCCGTTTGCAACGAAGGCCTCAAAGAGGTCCAAATATCCACTTGCAGACATAACAAGCAGAGTGTTTCTAACCTGCTCTAAGAAAAGAAAGGTTAAACTCTGTGAGTTGAAGGCACACATCACAAAGTAGTTTCTGAGAATGATTCTGTCTAGTTTTTATTTGAAGATATTTCCTTTTCTACTGTTGGCATCAAATCGCTTGAAATCTCCACTTGCAAACTCCACAAAAAGAGTGTTTCAAATCTGCTCTGTGCAAAGGGACGTTCCACTCTGTGAGTTGAATACACACAGCACAAAGAAGTTACTGAGAATTCTTCTGTCTAGCATGAAATCAAGAAATCCCGTTTCCAACGAAGGCCTCAATGCGGTCCATATATCCACTTGCAGACTTTACAAACAGAGTGTTTCCAAACTGCTCTATGAAAAGAAAGGTTAAACTATGTGAGTTGAACGCACACATCACAAAGAATTTTCTGAGAATGATTCTGTCTGGTTTTTATTTGAAGATATTTCCCTTTCTACTGTTGGCATCAAATGGCTAGAAATCTCCACTTGCAAATTCCGCAAAAATAGTGTTTCAAATCTGCTCTGTCTAAAGGGACGTTCCACTCTGTGAGTTGAATGCACACCACACAAAGAATTTACTGAGAATTCTTCCGTCTAGCATTCAATGAAGAAATCCCGTTTCCAACGAAGGCCTCAAACAGGTCCATATATCCAATTGCAGACTTTACAAACAGTGTGTTTCCAAACTCCTCTATGAAAAGAAAGGTTAAACTCTGTGAGTTGAACGCACACATCACAAAGCACTTTCTGAGAATGATTCTGTCTGGTTATTATACGAAGATATTTCCTTTTCTGCAATTGTCCTCAAATCGTTTGAAATCTCCACCTGAAAATGCCACAGCAAGAGTGTTTCAAATCTGCTCTCTCTAAAGCAAGGTTCAACTCTGTGAGTTGAATACACACAACACAAAAAAGTTACTGAGAACTCTTCTTAGTCTAGCATTAAAGGAAGAAACGCCGTTTGCAACGAAGGCCTCAAAGAGGTCCAAATATCCACTTGCAGACATAACAACCAGAGTGTTTCTAAACTGCTCTAAGAAAAGAAAGGTTAAACTCTGTGAGTTGAAGGCACACATCACAAAGTAGTTTCTGAGAATGATTCTGTCTAGTTTTTATTTGAAGATATTTCCTTTTCAACAGTTGGCATCAAATCGCTTGAATTCTCCACTTTTAAATTCCACAAAAAGAGTGTTTCAAAACTGCTCTATGTAATGGGACATTCCAATCTGTCAGTTGAATACACACAACACAAAAAAGTTACTGAGAATTCTTCTGTCTAGCATGAAATTAAGAAATCCCGTTTCCAACGAAGGCCTCAAAGCGGTCCATATATCCACTTGCAGACATTACCAACAGAGTGTTTCCAGACTGGTCTATGAAAAGAAAGGTTAAACTATGTGAGTTGAACGCACACATCACAAAGAATTTTCTGAGGATGATTCTGTCTAGTTTTTATTTGAAGATATTTCCCTTTCTACCGTTGGCATCAAATGGCTAGAAATCTCCACTTGCAAATTCCGCAAAAAGAGTGTTTCAAATCTGCTCTGTCTAAAGGGACGTTCCACTCTGTGAGTTGAATGCACACAACACAAAGAATTTACTGAGAATTCTTCCGTCTAGCATTCAATGAAGAAATCCCGTTTCCAACGAAGGCCTCAAACAGGTCCATATATCCACTTGCAGACTTTACAAACAGTGTGTTTCCAAACTCCTCTATGAAAAGAAAGGTTAAACTCTGTGAGTTGAACGCACACATCACAAAGCACTTTCTGAGAATGATTCTGTCTGCTTATTATACGAAGATATTTCCTTTTCTGCAATTGTCCTCAAATCGCTTGAGATCTCCACCTGAAAATGCCACAGCAAGAGTGTTTCAAATCTGCTCTCTCTAAAGCAAGGTTCAACTCTGTGAGTTGAATACACACAACACAAAAAAGTTACTGAGAACTGTTCTTAGTCTAGCATGAAAGGAAGAAACCCCGTTTGCAACGAAGGCCTCAAAGAGGTCCAAATATCCACTTGCAGACATAACAAGCAGAGTGTTTCTAAACTGCTCTAAGAAAAGAAAGGTTAAATTCTGTGAGTTGAAGGCACACATCACAAAGTAGTTTCTGAGAATGATTCTGTCTAGTTTTTATTTGAAGATATTTCCTTTTCTACTGTTGGCATCAAATCGCTTGAAATCTCCACTTGCAAACTCCACAAAAAGAGTGTTTCAAATCTGCTCTGTGCAAAGGGACGTTCCACTCTGTGAGTTGAATACACACAGCACAAAGAACTTACTGAGAATTCTTCTGTCTAGCATGAAATGAAGAAATCCCGTTTCCAACGAAGGCCTCAAAGCGGTCCATATATCCACTTGCAGACATTACCAACAGAGTGTTCCCAAACTGCTCTATGAAAAGGAAGGTTAAACTATGTGAGTTGAACGCACACATCACAAAGAATTTTCTGAGAATGATTCTGTCTGGTTTTTATTTGAAGATATTTCCCTTTCTACTGTTGGCATCAAATGGCTAGAAATCTCCACTTGCAAATTCCGCAAAAAGAGTGTTTCAAATCTGCTCTGTCTAAAGGGACGTTCCACTCTGTGAGTTGAATGCACACAACACAAAGAATTTACTGAGAATTCTTCCGTCTAGCATTCAATGAAGAAATCCCGTTTCCAACGAAGGCCTCAAACAGGTCCATATATCCAATTGCAGACTTTACAAACAGTGTGTTTCCAAACTCCTCTATGAAAAGAAAGGTTAAACTCTGTGAGTTGAACGCACACATCACAAAGCACTTTCTGAGAATGATTCTGTCTAGTTTTTATTTGAAGATATTTCCCTTTCTACTGTTGGCATCAAATGGCTAGAAATCTCCACTTGCAACTTCCGCAAAAAGAGTGTTTCAAATCTGCTCTGTCTAAAGGGACGTTCCACTCTGTGAGTTGAATGCACACAACACAAAGAATTTACTGAGAATTCTTCCGCCTAGCATTCAATGAAGAAATCCCGTTTCCAACGAAGGCCTCAAACAGGTCCATATATCCAATTGCAGACTTTACAAACAGTGTGTTTCCAAACTCCTCTATGAAAAGAAAGGTTAAACTCTGTGAGTTGAACGCACACATCACAAAGCACTTTCTGAGAATGATTCTGTCTGGTTATTATACGAAGATATTTCCTTTTCTGCAATTGTCCTCAAATCGCTTGAAATCTCCACCTGAAAATGCCACAGCAAGAGTGTTTCAAATCTGCTCTCTCTAAAGCAAGGTTCAACTCTGTGAGTTGAATACACACAACACAAAAAAGTTACTGAGAACTCTTCTTAGTCTAGCATTAAATGAAGAAGTCCCGTTTGCAACGAAGGCCTCAAAGAGGTCCAAATATCCACTTGCAGACATTACAAGCAGAGTGTTTCTAAACTGCTCTAAGAAAAGAAAGGTTAAACTCGATGAGTTGATGGCACACATCACAAAGTAGTTTCTGAGAATAATTCTGTCTAGTTTTTATTTGAAGATATTTCCTTTTCTACTGCTGGCATCAAATCGCTTGAAATCTCCACTTGCAAACTCCACAAAAAGAGTGTTTCAAGTCTGCTCTGTGTAAAGGGACGTTCCACTCTGTGAGTTGAATACACACAGCACAAAGAAGTTACTGAGAATTCTTCTGTCTAGCACGAAATGAAGAAATCCCGTTTCCAACGAAGGCCTCAATGCGGTCTATATATCCACTTGCAGACTTTACAAACAGAGTGTTTCCAAACTGCTCTATGAAAAGAAAGGTTAAACTATGTGAGTTGAACGCACACATCACAAAGAATTTTCTGAGAATGATTCTGTCTGGTTTTTATTTGAAGATATTTCCCTTTCTACTGTTGGCATCAAATGGCTAGAAATCTCCACTTGCAAATTCCGCAAAAAGAGTGTTTCAAATCTGCTCTGTCTAAAGGGACGTTCCACTCTGTGAGTTGAATGCACACAACACAAAGAATTTACTGAGAATTCTTCCGTCTAGCATTCAATGAAGAAATCCCGTTTCCAACGAAGGCCTCAAACAGGTCCATATATCCAATTGCAGACTTTACAAACAGTGTGTTTCCAAACTCCTCTATGAAAAGAAAGGTTAAACTCTGTGAGTTGAACGCACACATCACAAAGCACTTTCTGAGAATGATTCTGTCTGGTTGTTATACGAAGATATTTCCTTTTCTGCAATTGTCCTCAAATCGCTTGAAATCTCCACCTGAAAATGCCACAGCAAGAGTGTTTCAAATCTGCTCTCTCTAAAGCAAGGTTCAACTCTGTGAGTTGAATACACACAACACAAAAAAGTTACTGAGAACTCTTCTTAGTCTAGCATGAAAGGAAGAAACCCCGTTTGCAACGAAGTCCTCAAAGAGGTCCAAATATCCACTTGCAGACATAACAAGCAGAGTGTTTCTAAACTGCTCTAAGAAAAGAAAGGTTAAACTCTGTGAGTTGAAGGCACACATCACAAAGTAGTTTCTGAGAATGATTCTGTCTAGTTTTTATTTGAAGATATTTCCTTTTCTACTGTTGGCATCAAATCGCTTGAAATCTCCACTTGCAAATTCCACAAAAAGAGTGTTTCAAATCTGCTCTGTGTAAAGGGACGTTCCACTCTGTGAGTTGAATACACACAGCACAAAGAAGTTACTGAGTATTCTTCTGTCTAGCATGAAATGAAGAAATCCCGTTTCCAACGAAGGCCTCAATGCGGTCCATATATCCACTTGCAGACTTTACAAACAGAGTGTTTCCAAACTGCTCTATGAAAAGAAAGGTTAAACTATGTGAGTTGAACGCACACATCACAAAGAATTTTCTGAGAATGATTCTGTCTGGTTTTTATTTGAAGATATTTCCCTTTCTACTGTTGGCATCAAATGGCTAGAAATCTCCACTTGCAAATTCCGCAAAAAGAGTGTTTCAAATCTGCTCTGTCTAAAGGGACGTTCCACTCTGTGAGTTGAATGCACACAACACAAAGAATTTACTGAGAATTCTTCCGTCTAGCATTCAATGAAGAAATCCCGTTTCCAACGAAGGCCTCAAACAGGTCCATATATCCACTTGCAGACTTTACAAACAGTGTGTTTCCAAACTCCTCTATGAAAAGAAAGGTTAAACTCTGTGAGTGGAACGCACACATCACAAAGCACTTTCTGAGAATGATTCTGTCTGGTTATTATACGAAGATATTTCCTTTTCTGCAATTGTCCTCAAATCGCTTGAAATCTCCACCTGAAAATGCCACAGCAAGAGTGTTTCAAATCTGCTCTCTCTAAAGCAAGGTTCAACTCTGTGAGTTGAATACACACAACACAAAAAAGTTACTGAGAACTCTTCTTAGTCTAGCATGAAAGGAAGAAACCCCGTTTGCAACGAAGGCCTCAAAGAGGTCCAAATATCCACTTGCAGACATAACAAGCAGAGTGTTTCTAAACTGCTCTAAGAAAAGAAAGGTTAAACTCTGTGAGTTGAAGGCACACATCACAAAGTAGTTTCTGAGAATGATTCTGTCTAGTTTTTATTTGAAGATATTTCCTTTTCTACTGTTGGCATCAAATCGCTTGAAATCTCCACTTGCAAACTCCACAAAAAGAGTGTTTCAAATCTGCTCTGTGCAAAGGGACGTTCCACTCTGTGAGTTGAGTACACACAGCACAAAGAAGTTACTGAGAATTCTTCTGTCTAGCATGAAATGAAGAAATCCCGTTTCCAACGAAGGCCTCAATGCGGTCCATATATCCACTTGCAGACTTCACAAACAGAGTGTTTCCAAACTGCTCTATGAAAAGAAAGGTTTAACTATGTGAGTTGAACGCACACATCACAAAGAATTTTCTGAGAATGATTCTGTCTGGTTTTTATTTGAAGATATTTCCCTTTCTACTGTTGGCATCAAATGGCTAGAAATCTCCACTTGCAAATTCCGCAAAAAGAGTGTTTCAAATCTGCTCTGTCTAAAGAGACGTTCCACTCTGTCAGTTGAATGCACACAACACAAAGAATTTACTGAGAATTCTTCCGTCTAGCATTCAATGAAGAAATCCCGTTTCCAACGAAGGCCTCAAACAGGTCCATATATCCAATTGCAGACTTTACAAACAGTGTGTTTCCAAACTCCTCTATGAAAAGAAAGGTTAAACTCTGTGAGTTGAACGCACACATCACAAAGCACTTTCTGAGAATGATTCTGTCTGGTTATTATACGAAGATATTTCCTTTTCTGCAATTGTCCTCAAATCGCTTGAAATCTCCACCTGAAAATTCCACAGCGAGAGTGTTTCAAATCTCCTCTCTCTAAAGCAAGGTTCAACTCTGTGAGTTGAATACACACAACACAGAAAAGTTACTGAGAACTCTTCTTAGTCTAGCATTAAAGGAAGAAACCCCGTTTGCAACGAAGGCCTCAAAGAGGTCCAAATATCCACTTGCAGACATAACAAGCAGAGTGTTTCTAAACTGCTCTAAGAAAAGAAAGGTTAAACTCTGTGAGTTGAAGGCACACATCACAAAGTAGTTTCTGAGAATGATTCTGTCTAGTTTTTATTTGAAGATATTTCCTTTTCTACTGTTGGCATCAAATCGCTTGAAATCTCCACTTGCAAATTCCACAAAAAGAGTGTTTCAAATCTGCTCTGTGTAAAGGGACGTTCCACTCTGTGAGTTGAATACACACAGCACAAAGAAGTTACTGAGAATTCTTCTGTCTAGCATGAAATGAAGAAATCCCGTTTCCAACGAAGGCCTCAATGCGGTCCATATATCCACTTGCAGACTTTACAAACAGAGTGTTTCCAAACTGCTCTATGAAAAGAAAGGTTAAACTATGTGAGTTGAACGCACACATCACAAAGAATTTTCTGAGAATGATTCTGTCTGGTTTTTATTTGAAGATATTTCCCTTTCTACTGTTGGCATCAAATGGCTAGAAATCTCCACTTGCAAATTCCGCAAAAAGAGTGTTTCAAATCTGCTCTGTCTAAAGGGACGTTCCACTCTGTGAGTTGAATGCACACAACACAAAGAATTTACTGAGAATTCTTCCGTCTAGCATTCAATGAAGAAATCCCGTTTCCAACGAAGGCCTCAAACAGGTCCATATATCCAATTGCAGACTTTACAAACAGTGTGTTTCCAAACTCCTCTATGAAAAGAAAGGTTAAACTCTGTGAGTTGAACGCACACATCACAAAGCACTTTCTGAGAATGATTCTGTCTGGTTGTTATACGAAGATATTTCCTTTTCTGCAATTGTCCTCAAATCGCTTGAAATCTCCACCTGAAAATGCCACAGCAAGAGTGTTTCAAATCTGCTCTCTCTAAAGCAAGGTTCAACTCTGTGAGTTGAATACACACAACACAAAAAAGTTACTGAGAACTCTTCTTAGTCTAGCATTAAAGGAAGAAACCCCGTTTGCAACGAAGGCCTCAAAGAGGTCCAAATATCCACTTGCAGACATAACAAGCAGAGTGTTTCTAAACTGCTCTAAGAAAAGAAAGGTTAAACTCTGTGAGTTGAAGGCACACATCACAAAGTAGTTTCTGAGAATGATTCTGTCTAGTTTTATTTGAAGATATTCCTTTTCTACTGTTGGCATCAAATCGCTTGAAATCTCCACTTGCAAACTCCACAAAAAGAGTGTTTCAAATCTGCTCTGTGCAAAGGGACGTTCCACTCTGTGAGTTGAATACACACAGCACAAAGAAGTTACTGAGAATTCTTCTGTCTAGCATGAAATGAAGAAATCCCGTTTCCAACGAAGGCCTCAATGCGGTCCATATATCCACTTGCAGACTTTACAAACAGAGTGTTTCCAAACTGCTCTATGAAAAGAAAGGTTAAACTATGTGAGTTGAACGCACACATCACAAAGAATTTTCTGAGAATGATTCTGTCTGGTTTTTATTTGAAGATATTTCCCTTTCTACTGTTGGCATCAAATGGCTAGAAATCTCCACTTGCAAATTCCGCAAAAAGAGTGTTTCAAATCTGCTCTGTCTAAAGGGACGTTCCACTCTGTGAGTTGAATGCACACAACACAAAGAATTTACTGAGAATTCTTCCGTCTAGCATTCAATGAAGAAATCCCGTTTCCAACGAAGGCCTCAAACAGGTCCATATATCCACTTGCAGACTTTACAAACAGTGTGTTTCCAAACTCCTCTATGAAAAGAAAGGTTAAACTCTGTGAGTGGAACGCACACATCACAAAGCACTTTCTGAGAATGATTCTGTCTGGTTGTTATACGAAGATATTTCCTTTTCTGCAATTGTCCTCAAATCGCTTGAAATCTCCACCTGAAAATGTCACAGCAAGAGTGTTTCAAATCTGCTCTCTCTAAAGCAAGGTTCAACTCTGTGAGTTGAATACACACAACACAAAAAAGTTACTGAGAACTCTTCTTAGTCTAGCATGAAAGGAAGAAACCCCGTTTGCAACGAAGGCCTCAAAGAGGTCCAAATATCCACTTGCAGACATAACAAGCAGAGTGTTTCTAAACTGCTCTAAGAAAAGAAAGGTTAAACTCTGTGAGTTGAAGGCACACATCACAAAGTAGTTTCTGAGAATGATTCTGTCTAGTTTTTATTTGAAGATATTTCCTTTTCTACTGTTGGCATCAAATCGCTTGAAATCTCCACTTGCAAACTCCACAAAAAGAGTGTTTCAAATCTTCTCTGTGTAAAGGGACGTTCCACTCTGTGAGTTGAATACACACAGCACAAAGAAGTTACTGAGAATTCTTCTGTCTAGCATGAAATGAAGAAATCCCGTTTCCAACGAAGGCCTCAATGCGGTCCATATATCCACTTGCAGACTTTACAAACAGAGTGTTTCCAAACTGCTCTATGAAAAGAAAGGTTAAACTATGTGAGTTGAACGCACACATCACAAAGAATTTTCTGAGAATGATTCTGTCTGGTTTTTATTTGAAGATATTTCCCTTTCTACTGTTGGCATCAAATGGCTCGAAATCTCCACTTGCAAATTCCGCAAAAAGAGTGTTTCAAATCTGCTCTGTCTAAAGGGACGTTCCACTCTGTGAGTTGAATGCACACAACACAAAGAATTTACTGAGAATTCTTCCGTCTAGCATTCAATGAAGAAATCCCGTTTCCAACGAAGGCCTCAAACAGGTCCATATATCCAATTGCAGACTTTACAAACAGTGTGTTTCCAAACTCCTCTATGAAAAGAAAGGTTAAACTCTGTGAGTTGAACGCACACATCACAAAGCACTTTCTGAGAATGATTCTGTCTGGTTATTATACGAAGATATTTCCTTTTCTGCAATTGTCCTCAAAACGCTTGAAATCTCCACCTGAAAATGCCACAGCAAGAGTGTTTCAAATCTGCTCTCTCTAAAGCAAGGTTCAACTCTGTGAGTTGAATACACACAACACAAAAAAGTTACTGAGAACTCTTCTTAGTCTAGCATGAAAGGAAGAAACCCCGTTTGCAACGAAGGCCTCAAAGAGGTCCAAATATCCACTTGCAGACATAACAAGCAGAGTGTTTCTAAACTGCTCTAAGAAAAGAAAGGTTAAACTCTGTGAGTTGAAGGCACACATCACAAAGTAGTTTCTGAGAATGATTCTGTCTAGTTTTTATTTGAAGATATTTCCTTTTCTACTGTTGGCATCAAATCGCTTGAAATCTCCACTTGCAAATTCCACAAAAAGAGTGTTTCAAATCTGCTCTGTGCAAAGGGACGTTCCACTCTGTGAGTTGAATACACACAGCACAAAGAAGTTACTGAGAATTCTTCTGTCTAGCATGAAATGAAGAAATCCCGTTTCCAACGAAGGCCTCAATGCGGTCCATAGATCCACTTGCAGACTTTACAAACAGAGTGTTTCCAAACTGCTCTATGAAAAGAAAGGTTAAACTATGTGAGTTGAACGCACACATCACAAAGAATTTTCTGAGAATGATTCTGTCTGGTTTTTATTTGAAGATATTTCCCTTTCTACTGTTGGCATCAAATGGCTAGAAATCTCCACTTGCAAATTCCGCAAAAAGAGTGTTTCAAATCTGCTCTGTCTAAAGGGACGTTCCACTCTGTGAGTTGAATGCACACAACACAAAGAATTTACTGAGAATTCTTCCGTCTAGCATTCAATGAAGAAATCCCGTTTCCAACGGAGGCCTCAAACAGGTCCATATATCCAATTGCAGACTTTACAAACAGTGTGTTTCCAAACTCCTCTATGAAAAGAAAGGTTAAACTCTGTGAGTTGAACGCACACATCACAAAGCACTTTCTGAGAATGATTCTGTCTGGTTATTATACGAAGATATTTCCTTTTCTGCAATTGTCCTCAAATCGCTTGAAATCTCCACCTGAAAATTCCACAGCGAGAGTGTTTCAAATCTGCTCTCTCTAAAGCAAGGTTCAACTCTGTGAGTTGAATACACACAACACAAAAAAGTTACTGAGAACTCTTCTTAGTCTAGCATTAAAGGAAGAAACCCCGTTTGCAACGAAGGCCTCAAAGAGGTCCAAATATCCACTTGCAGACATAACAAGCAGAGTGTTTCTAAACTGCTCTAAGAAAAGAAAGGTTAAACTCTGTGAGTTGAAGGCACACATCACAAAGTAGTTTCTGAGAATGATTCTGTCTAGTTTTTATTTGAAGATATTTCCTTTTCTACTGTTGGCATCAAATCGCTTGAAATCTCCACTTTCAAACTCCACAAAAAGAGTGTTTCAAATCTGCTCTGTGCAAAGGGACGTTCCACTCTGTGAGTTGAATACACACAGCACAAAGAAGTTACTGAGAATTCTTCTGTCTAGCATGAAATGAAGAAATCCCGTTTCCAACGAAGGCCTCAATGCGGTCCATATATCCACTTGCAGAGTTTACAAACAGAGTGTTTCCAAACTGCTCTATGAAAAGAAAGGTTAAACTATGTGAGTTGAACGCACACATCACAAAGAATTTTCTGAGAATGATTCTGTCTGGTTTTTATTTGAAGATATTTCCCTTTCTACTGTTGGCATCAAATGGCTAGAAATCTCCACTTGCAAATTCCGCAAAAAGAGTGTTTCAAATCTGCTCTGTCTAAAGGGACGTTCCACTCTGTGAGTTGAATGCACACAACACAAAGAATTTACTGAGAATTCTTCCGTCTAGCATTCAATGAAGAAATCCCGTTTCCAACGAAGGCCTCAAACAGGTCCATATATCCAATTGCAGACTTTACAAACAGTGTGTTTCCAAACTCCTCTATGAAAAGAAAGGTTAAACTCTGTGAGTTGAACGCACACATCACAAAGCACTTTCTGAGAATGATTCTGTCTGGTTATTATACGAAGATATTTCCTTTTCTGCAATTGTCCTCAAATCGCTTGAAATCTCCACCTGAAAATGCCACAGCAAGAGTGTTTCAAATCTGCTCTCTCTAAAGCAAGGTTCAACTCTGTGAGTTGAATACACACAACACAAAAAAGTTACTGAGAACTCTTCTTAGTCTAGCATGAAAGGAAGAAACCCCGTTTGCAACGAAGGCCTCAAAGAGGTCCAAATATCCACTTGCAGACATAACAAGCAGAGTGTTTCTAAACTGCTCTAAGAAAAGAAAGGTTAAACTCTGTGAGTTGAAGGCACACATCACAAAGTAGTTTTTGAGAATGATTCTGTCTAGTTTTTATTTGAAGATATTTCCTTTTCTACTGTTGGCATCAAATCGCTTGAAATCTCCACTTGCAAACTCCACAAAAAGAGTGTTTCAAATCCGCTCTGTGCAAAGGGACGTTCCACTCTGTGAGTTGAATACACACAGCACAAAGAAGTTACTGAGAATTCTTCTGTCTAGCATGAAATGAAGAAATCCCGTTTCCAACGAAGGCCTCAATGCGGTCCATATATCCACTTGCAGACTTTACAAACAGTGTTTCCAAACTGCTCTATGAAAAGAAAGGTTAAACTATGTGAGTTGAACGCACACATCACAAAGAATTTTCTGAGAATGATTCTGTCTGGTTTTTATTTGAAGATATTTCCCTTTCTACTGTTGGCATCAAATGGCTAGAAATCTCCACTTGCAAATTCCGCAAAAAGAGTGTTTCAAATCTGCTCTGTCTAAAGGGACGTTCCACTCTGTGAGTGGAATGCACACAACACGAAGAATTTACTGAGAATTCTTCCGTCTAGCATTCAATGAAGAAATCCCGTTTCCAACGAAGGCCTCAAACAGGTCCATATATCCACTTGCAGACTTTACAAACAGTGTGTTTCCAAACTCCTCTATGAAAAGAAAGGTTAAACTCTGTGAGTTGAACGCACACATCACAAAGCACTTTCTGAGAATGATTCTGTCTGGTTATTATACGAAGATATTTCCTTTTCTGCAATTGTCCTCAAATCGCTTGAAATCTCCACCTGAAAATGCCACAGCAAGAGTGTTTCAAATCTGCTCTCTCTAAAGCAAGGTTCAACTCTGTGAGTTGAATACACACAACACAAAAAAGTTACTGAGAACTCTTCTTAGTCTAGCATGAAAGGAAGAAACCCCGTTTGCAACGAAGGCCTCAAAGAGGTCCAAATATCCACTTGCAGACATAACAAGCAGAGTGTTTCTAAACTGCTCTAAGAAAAGAAAGGTTAAACTCTGTGAGTTGAAGGCACACATCACAAAGTAGTTTCTGAGAATGATTCTGTCTAGTTTTTATTTGAAGATATTTCCTTTTCTACTGTTGGCATCAAATCGCTTGAAATCTCCACTTGCAAACTCCACAAAAAGAGTGTTTCAAATGTGCTCTGTGTAAAGGGACGTTCCACTCTGTGAGTTGAATACACACAGCACAAAGAAGTTACTGAGAATTCTTCTGTCTAGCATGAAATGAAGAAATCCCGTTTCCAACGAAGGCCTCAATGCGGTCCATATATCCACTTGCAGACTTTACAAACAGAGTGTTTCCAAACTGCTCTATGAAAAGAAAGGTTAAACTATGTGAGTTGAACGCACACATCACAAAGAATTTTCTGAGAATGATTCTGTCTGGTTTTTATTTGAAGATATTTCCCTTTCTACTGTTGGCATCAAATGGCTAGAAATCTCCACTTGCAAATTCCGCAAAAAGAGTGTTTCAAATCTGCTCTGTCTAAAGGGACGTTCCACTCTGTGAGTTGAATGCACACAACACAAAGAATTTACTGAGAATTCTTCCGTCTAGCATTCAATGAAGAAATCCCGTTTCCAACGAAGGCCTCAAACAGGTCCATATATCCAATTGCAGACTTTACAAACAGTGTGTTTCCAAACTCCTCTATGGAAAGAAAGGTTAATCTCTGTGAGTTGAACGCACACATCACAAAGCACTTTCTGAGAATGATTCTGTCTGGTTATTATACGAAGATATTTCCTTTTCTGCAATTGTCCTCAAATCGCTTGAAATCTCCACCTGAAAATGCCACAGCAAGAGTGTTTCAAATCTGCTCTCTCTAAAGCAAGGTTCAACTCTGTGAGTTGAATACACACAACACAAAAAAGTTACTGAGAACTCTTCTTAGTCTAGCATGAAAGGAAGAAACCCCGTTTGCAACGAAGGCCTCAAAGAGGTCCAAATATCCACTTGCAGACATAACAAGCAGAGTGTTTCTAAACTGCTCTAAGAAAAGAAAGGTTAAACTCTGTGAGTTGAAGGCACACATCACAAAGTAGTTTCTGAGAATGATTCTGTCTAGTTTTTATTTGAAGATATTTCCTTTTCTACTGTTGGCATCAAATCGCTTGAAATCTCCACTTGCAAACTCCACAAAAAGAGTGTTTCAAATCTGCTCTGTGCAAAGGGACGTTCCACTCTGTGAGTTGAATACACACAGCACAAAGAAGTTACTGAGAATTCTTCTGTCTAGCATGAAATGAAGAAATCCCGTTTCCAACGAAGGCCTCAATGCGGTCCATATATCCACTTGCAGACTTTACAAACAGAGTGTTTCCAAACTGCTCTATGAAAAGAAAGGTTAAACTATGTGAGTTGAACGCACACATCACAAAGAATTTTCTGAGAATGATTCTGTCTGGTTTTTATTTGAAGATATTTCCCTTTCTACTGTTGGCATCAAATGGCTAGAAATCTCCACTTGCAAATTCCGCAAAAAGAGTGTTTCAAATCTGCTCTGTCTAAAGGGACGTTCCACTCTGTGAGTTGAATGCACACAACACAAAGAATTTACTGAGAATTCTTCCGTCTAGCATTCAATGAAGAAATCCCGTTTCCAACGAAGGCCTCAAACAGGTCCATATATCCAATTGCAGACTTTACAAACAGTGTGTTTCCAAACTCCTCTATGAAAAGAAAGGTTAAACTCTGTGAGTTGAACGCACTCATCACAAAGCGCTTTCTGAGAATGATTCTGTCTGGTTATTATACGAAGATATTTCCTTTTCTGCAATTGTCCTCAAATCGCTTGAAATCTCCACCTGAAAATGCCACAGCAAGAGTGTTTCAAATCTGCTCTCTCTAAAGCAAGGTTCAACTCTGTGAGTTGAATACACACAACACAAAAAAGTTACTGAGAACTCTTCTTAGTCTAGCATGAAAGGAAGAAACCCCGTTTGCAACGAAGGCCTCAAAGAGGTCCAAATATCCACTTGCAGACATAACAAGCAGAGTGTTTCTAAACTGCTCTAAGAAAAGAAAGGTTAAACTCTGTGAGTTGAAGGCACACATCACAAAGTAGTTTCTGAGAATGATTCTGTCTAGTTTTTATTTGAAGATATTTCCTTTTCTACTGTTGGCATCAAATCGCTTGAAATCTCCACTTGCAAACTCCACAAAAAGAGTGTTTCAAATCTGCTCTGTGCAAAGGGACGTTCCACTCTGTGAGTTGAATACACACAGCACAAAGAAGTTACTGAGAATTCTTCTGTCTAGCATGAAATGAAGAAATCCCGTTTCCAACGAAGGCCTCAATGCGGTCCATATATCCACTTGCAGACTTTACAAACAGAGTGTTTCCAAACTGCTCTATGAAAAGAAAGGTTAAACTATGTGAGTTGAACGCACACATCACAAAGAATTTTCTGAGAATGATTCTGTCTGGTTTTTATTTGAAGATATTTCCCTTTCTACTGTTGGCATCAAATGGCTAGAAATCTCCACTTGCAAATTCCGCAAAAAGAGTGTTTCAAATCTGCTCTGTCTAAAGGGACGTTCCACTCTGTGAGTTGAATGCACACAACACAAAGAATTTACTGAGAATTCTTCCGTCTAGCATTCAATGAAGAAATCCCGTTTCCAACGAAGGCCTCAAACAGGTCCATATATCCACTTGCAGACTTTACAAACAGTGTGTTTCCAAACTCCTCTATGAAAAGAAAGGTTAAACTCTGTGAGTGGAACGCACACATCACAAAGCACTTTCTGAGAATGATTCTGTCTGGTTATTATACGAAGATATTCCCTTTTCTGCAATTTTCCTCAAATCGCTTGAAATCTCCACCTGAAAATGCCACAGCAAGAGTGTTTCAAATCTGCTCTCTCTAAAGCAAGGTTCAACTCTGTGAGTTGAATACACACAGCACAAAGAAGTTACTGAGAATTCTTCTGTCTAGCATGAAATGAAGAAATCCCGTTTCCAACGAAGGCCTCAATGCGGTCCATATATCCACTTGCAGACTTTACAAACAGAGTGTTTCCAAACTGCTCTATGAAAAGAAAGGTTAAACTATGTGAGTTGAACGCACACATCACAAAGAATTTTCTGAGAATGATTCTGTCTGGTTTTTATTTGAAGATATTTCCCTTTCTACTGTTGGCATCAAATGGCTAGAAATCTCCACTTGCAAATTCCGCAAAAAGAGTGTTTCAAATCTGCTCTGTCTAAAGGGACGTTCCACTCTGTGAGTTCAATGCACACAACACAAAGAATTTACTGAGAATTCTTCCGTCTAGCATTCAATGAAGAAATCCCGTTTCCAACGAAGGCCTCAAACAGGTCCATGTATCCACTTGCAGACTTTACAAACAGTGTGTTTCCAAACTCCTCTATGAAAAGAAAGGTTAAACTCTGTGAGTTGAACGCACACATCACAAAGCACTTTCTGAGAATGATTCTGTCTGGTTATTATACGAAGATATTTCCTTTTCTGCAATTGTCCTCAAATCGCTTGAAATCTCCACCTGAAAATGCCACAGCAAGAGTGTTTCAAATCTGCTCTCTCTAAAGCAAGGTTCAACTCTGTGAGTTGAATACACACAACACAAAAAAGTTACTGAGAACTCTTCTTAGTCTAGCATTAAAGGAAGAAACCCCGTTTGCAACGAAGGCCTCAAAGAGGTCCAAATATCAACTTGCAGACATAACAAGCAGAGTGTTTCTAAGCTGCTCTCAGAAAAGAAAGGTTAAACTCTGTGAGTTGAAGGCACACATCACAAAGTAGTTTCTGAGAATGATTCTGTCTAGTTTTTATTTGAAGATACTTCCTTTTCTACTGTTGGCATCAAATCGCTTGAAATCTCCACTTGCAAACTCCACAAAAAGAGTGTTTCAAATCTGCTCTGTGCAAAGGGACGTTCCACTCTGTGAGTTGAATACACACAGCACAAAGAAGTTACTGAGAATTCTTCTGTCTAGCCTTATATGAAAAAAACCCGTTTCCAACGAAGGCCTCAAAGAGGTCTGAATATCCACTTGCAGACTTTACAAACAGAGTGTTTCCTAACTGCTCTATGAAAAGAAAGGTTAAACTCTGTGAGTTGAACGCACACATCACAAAGGAGTTTCTGAGAATCATTCTGTCTGGTTTTTATTTGAAGATGTTTCCCTTTCTACTGTTGGCATCAAATGGCTAGAAATCTCCACTTGCAAATTCCGCAAAAAGAGTGTTTCAAATCTGCTCTGTGTAAAGGGACGTTCCACTCTGTCAGTTGAATGCACACAACACAAAGAATTTACTGAGAATTCTTCCGTCTAGCATTCAATGAAGAAATCCCGTTTCCAACGAAGGCCTCAAACAGGTCCATATATCCACTTGCAGACTTTACAAACAGAGTGTTTCCAAACTGCTCTATGAAAAGAAAGGTTAAACTATGTGAGTTGAACGCACACATCACAAAGAATTTTCTGAGAATGATTCTGTCTGGTTATTATACGAAGATATTTCCTTTTCTGCAATTGTCCTCAAATCGCTTGAAATCTCCACCTGAAAATGCCACAGCAAGAGTGTTTCAAATCTGCTCTCTCTAAAGCAAGGTTCAACTCTGTGAGTTGAATACACACAACACAAAAAAGTTACTGAGAACTCTTCTTAGTCTAGCATGAAAGGAAGAAACCCCGTTTGCAACGAAGGCCTCAAAGAGGTCCAAATATCCACTTGCAGACATAACAAGCAGAGTGTTTCTAAACTGCTCTAAGAAAAGAAAGGTTAAACTCTGTGAGTTGAAGGCACACATCACAAAGTAGTTTCTGAGAATGATTCTGTCTAGTTTTTATTTGAAGCATATTTCCTTTTCTACTGTTGGCATCAAATCGCTTGAAATCTCCACTTGCAAATTCCACAAAAAGAGTGTTTCTAATCTGCTCTGTGCAAAGGGACGTTCCACTCTGTGAGTTGAATACACACAGCACAAAGAAGTTACTGAGAATTCTTCTGTCTAGCATGAAATGAAGAAATCCCGTTTCCAACGAAGGCCTCAATGCGGTCCATATATCCACTTGCAGACTTTACAAACAGAGTGTTTCCAAACTGCTCTATGAAAAGAAAGGTTAAACTATGTGAGTTGAACGCACACATCACAAAGAATTTTCTGAGAATGATTCTGTCTGGTTTTTATTTGAAGATATTTCCCTTTCTACTGTTGGCATCAAATGGCTAGAAATCTCCACTTGCAAATTCCGCAAAAAGAGTGTTTCAAATCTGCTCTGTCTAAAGGGACGTTCCACTCTGTGAGTTGAATGCACACAACACAAAGAATTTACTGAGAATTCTTCCGTCTAGCATTCAATGAAGAAATCCCGTTTCCAACGAAGGCCTCAAACAGGTCCATATATCCACTTGCAGAGTTTACAAACAGTGTGTTTCCAAACTCCTCTATGAAAAGAAAGGTTAAACTCTGTGAGTGGAACGCACACATCACAAAGCACTTTCTGAGAATGATTCTGTCTGGTTATTATACGAAGATATTTCCTTTTCTGCAATTGTCCTCAAAACGCTTGAAATCTCCACCTGAAAATGCCACAGCAAGAGTGTTTCAAATCTGCTCTCTCTAAAGCAAGGTTCAACTCTGTGAGTTGAATACACACAACACAAAAAAGTTACTGAGAACTCTTCTTAGTCTAGCATGAAAGGAAGAAACCCCGTTTGCAACGAAGGCCTCAAAGAGGTCCAAATATCCACTTGCAGACATAACAAGCAGAGTGTTTCTAAACTGCTCTAAGAAAAGAAAGGTTAAACTCTGTGAGTTGAAGGCACACATCACAAAGTAGTTTCTGAGAATGATTCTGTCTAGTTTTTATTTGAAGATATTTCCTTTTCTACTGTTGGCATCAAATCGCTTGAAATCTCCACTTGCAAATTCCACAAAAAGAGTGTTTCAAATCTGCTCTGTGCAAACGGACGTTCCAGTCTGTGAGTTGAATACACACAGCACAGAGAAGTTACTGAGAATTCTTCTGTCTAGCATGAAATGAAGAAATCCCGTTTCCAACGAAGGCCTCAATGCGGTCCATATATCCACTTGCAGACTTTACAAACAGAGTGTTTCCAAACTGCTCTATGAAAAGAAAGGTTAAACTATGTGAGTTGAACGCACACATCACAAAGAATTTTCTGAGAATGATTCTGTCTGGTTTTTATTTGAAGATATTTCCCTTTCTACTGTTGGCATCAAATGGCTAGAAATCTCCACTTGCAAATTCCGCAAAAAGAGTGTTTCAAATCTGCTCTGTCTAAAGGGACGTTCCACTCTGTGAGTTGAATGCACACAACACAAAGAATTTACTGAGAATTCTTCCGTCTAGCATTCAATGAAGAAATCCCGTTTCCAACGAAGGCCTCAAACAGGTCCATATATCCACTTGCAGACTTTACAAACAGTGTGTTTCCAAACTCCTCTATGAAAAGAAAGGTTAAACTCTGTGAGTTGAACGCACACATCACAAAGCACTTTCTGAGAATGATTCTGTCTGGTTATTATACGAAGATATTTCCTTTTCTGCAATTGTCCTCAAAACGCTTGAAATCTCCACCTGAAAATGCCACAGCAAGAGTGTTTCAAATCTGCTCTCTCTAAAGCAAGGTTCAACTCTGTGAGTTGAATACACACAACACAAAAAAGTTACTGAGAACTCTTCTTAGTCTAGCATGAAAGGAAGAAACCCCGTTTGCAACGAAGGCCTCAAAGAGGTCCAAATATCCACTTGCAGACATAACAAGCAGAGTGTTTCTAAACTGCTCTAAGAAAAGAAAGGTTAAACTCTGTGAGTTGAAGGCACACATCACAAAGCACTTTCTGAGAATGATTCTGTCTAGTTTTTATTTGAAGATATTTCCCTTTCTACTGTTGGCATCAAATGGCTAGAAATCTCCACTTGCAACTTCCGCAAAAAGAGTGTTTCAAATCTGCTCTGTCTAAAGGGACGTTCCACTCTGTGAGTTGAATACACACAACACAAAGAATTTACTGAGAATTCTTCCGTCTAGCATTCAATGAAGAAATCCCGTTTCCAACGAAGGCCTCAAACAGGTCCATATATCCACTTGCAGACGTTACAAACAGTGTGTTTCCAAACTCCTCTATGAAAAGAAAGGTTAAACTCTGTGAGTTGAACGCACACATCACAAAGCACTTTCTGAGAATGATTCTGTCTGGTTATTATACGAAGATATTTCCTTTTCTGCAATTGTCCTCAAATCGCTTGAAATCTCCACCTGAAAATGCCACAGCAAGAGTGTTTCAAATCTGCTCTCTCTAAAGCAAGGTTCAACTCTGTGAGTTGAATACACACAACACAAAAAAGTTACTGAGAACTCTTCTTAGTCTAGCATGAAAGGAAGAAACCCCGTTTGCAACGAAGGCCTCAAAGAGGTCCAAATATCCACTTGCAGACATAACAAGCAGAGTGTTTCTAAACTGCTCTAAGAAAAGAAAGGTTAAACTCTGTGAGTTGAAGGCACACATCACAAAGTAGTTTCTGAGAATGATTCTGTCTAGTTTTTATTTGAAGATATTTCCTTTTCTACTGTTGACATCAAATCGCTTGAAATCTCCACTTGCAAACTCCACAAAAAGAGTGTTTCAAATCTGCTCTGTGTAAAGGGACGTTCCACTCTGTGAGTTGAATACACACAGCACAAAGAAGTTACTGAGAATTCTTCTGTCTAGCATGAAATGAAGAAATCCCATTTCCAACGAAGGCCTCAAAGCGGTCCATATATCCACTTGCAGACTTTACCAACAGAGTGTTTCCAAACTGCTCTATGAAAAGAAAGGTTAAACTATGTGAGTTGAACGCACACATAAGAAAGAATTTTCTGAGAATGATTCTGTCTGGTTTTTATTTGAAGATATTTCCCTTTCTACTGTTGGCATCAAATGGCTAGAAATCTCCACTTGCAAATTCCGCAAAAAGAGTGTTTCAAATCTGCTCTGTCTAAAGGGACGTTCCACTCTGTGAGTTGAATGCACACAACACAAAGAATTTACTGAGAATTCTTCCGTCTAGCATTCAATGAAGAAATCCCGTTTCCAACGAAGGCCTCAAACAGGTCCATATATCCACTTGCAGACTTTACAAACAGTGTGTTTCCAAACTCCTCTATGAAAAGAAAGGTTAAACTCTGTGAGTTGAACGCACACATCACAAAGCACTTTCTGAGAATGATTCTGTCTGGTTATTATACGAAGATATTTCCTTTTCTGCAATTGTCCTCAAATCGCTTGAAATCTCCACCTGAAAATGCCACAGCAAGAGTGTTTCAAATCTGCTCTCTCTAAAGCAAGGTTCAACTCTGTGAGTTGAATACACACAACACAAAAAAGTTACTGAGAACTCTTCTTAGTCTAGCATGAAAGGAAGAAACCCCGTTTGCAACGAAGGCCTCAAAGAGGTCCAAATATCCACTTGCAGACATAACAAGCAGAGTGTTTCTAAACTGCTCTAAGAAAAGAAAGGTTAAACTCTGTGAGTTGAAGGCACACATCACAAAGTAGTTTCTGAGAATGATTCTGTCTAGTTTTTATTTGAAGATATTTCCTTTTCTACTGTTGGCATCAAATCGCTTGAAATCTCCACTTGCAAACTCCACAAAAAGAGTGTTTCAAATCTGCTCTGTGTAAAGGGACGTTCCACTCTGTGAGTTGAATACACACAGCACAAAGAAGTTACTGAGAATTCTTCTGTCTAGCATGAAATGAAGAAATCCCGTTTCCAACGAAGGCCTCAATGCGGTCCATATATCCACTTGCAGACTTTACAAACAGAGTGTTTCCAAACTGCTCTATGAAAAGAAAGGTTAAACTATGTGAGTTGAACGCACACATCACAAAGAATTTTCTGAGAATGATTCTGTCTGGTTTTTATTTGAAGATATTTCCCTTTCTACTGTTGGCATCAAATGGCTAGAAATCTCCACTTGCAAATTCCGCAAAAAGAGTGTTTCAAATCTGCTCTGTCTAAAGGGACGTTCCACTCTGTGAGTTGAATGCACACAACACAAAGAATTTACTGAGAATTCTTCCGTCTAGCATTCAATGAAGAAATCCCGTTTCCAACGAAGGGCTCAAACAGGTCCATATATCCACTTGCAGACTTTACAAACAGTGTGTTTCCAAACTCCTCTATGAAAAGAAAGGTTAAACTCTGTGAGTTGAACGCACACATCAAAAAGCACTTTCTGAGAATGATTCTGTCTGGTTATTATACGAAGATATTTCCTTTTCTGCAATTGTCCTCAAATCGCTTGAAATCTCCACCTGAAAATGCCACAGCAGGAGTGTTTCAAATCTGCTCTCTCTAAAGCAAGGTTCAACTCTGTGAGTTGAATACACACAACACAAAAAAGTTACTGAGAACTCTTCTTAGTCTAGCATGAAAAGAAGAAACCCCGTTTGCAACGAAGGCCTCAAAGAGGTCCAAATATCCACTTGCAGACATAACAAGCAGAGTGTTCCTAAACTGCTCTAAGAAAAGAAAGGTTAAACTCTGTGAGTTGAAGGCACACATCACAAAGTAGTTTCTGAGAATGATTCTGTCTAGTTTTATTTGAAGATATTTCCTTTTCTACTGTTGGCATCAAATCGCTTGAAATCTCCACTTGCAAATTCCACAAAAAGAGTGTTTCAAATCTGCTCTGTGCAAAGGGACGTTCCACTCTGTGAGTTGAATACACACAGCACAAAGAAGTTACTGAGAATTCTTCTGTCTAGCATGAAATGAAGAAATCCCGTTTCCAACGAAGGCCTCAATGCGGTCCATATATCCACTTGCAGACTTTACAAACAGAGTGTTTCCAAACTGCTCTATGAAAAGAAAGGTTAAACTATGTGAGTTGAACGCACACATCACAAAGAATTTTCTGAGAATGATTCTGTCTGGTTTTTATTTGAAGATATTTCCCTTTCTACTGTTGGCATCAAATGGCTAGAAATCTCCACTTGCAAATTCCGCAAAAAGAGTGTTTCAAATCTGCTCTGTCTAAAGGGACGTTCCACTCTGTGAGTTGAATGCACACAACACAAAGAATTTACTGAGAATTCTTCCGTCTAGCATTCAATGAAGAAATCCCGTTTCCAACGAAGGCCTCAAACAGGTCCATATATCCACTTGCAGACTTTACAAACAGTGTGTTTCCAAACTCCTCTATGAAAAGAAAGGTTAAACTCTGTGAGTGGAACGCACACATCACAAAGCACTTTCTGAGAATGATTCTGTCTGGTTATTATACGAAGATATTTCCTTTTCTGCAATTGTCCTCAAAACGCTTGAAATCTCCACCTGAAAATGCCACAGCAAGAGTGTTTCAAATCTGCTCTCTCTAAAGCAAGGTTCAACTCTGTGAGTTGAATACACACAACACGGAAAAGTTACTGAGAACTCTTCTTAGTCTAGCATGAAAGGAAGAAACCCCGTTTGCAACGAAGGCCTCAAAGAGGTCCAAATATCCACTTGCAGACATAACAAGCAGAGTGTTTCTAAACTGCTCTAAGAAAAGAAAGGTTAAACTCTGTGAGTTGAAGGCACACATCACAAAGTAGTTTCTGAGAATGATTCTGTCTAGTTTTTATTTGAAGATATTTCCTTTTCTACTGTTGGCATCAAATCGCTTGAAATCTCCACTTGCAAACTCCACAAAAAGAGTGTTTCAAATCTGCTCTGTGTAAAGGGACGTTCCACTCTGTGAGTTGAATACACACAGCACAAAGAAGTTACTGAGAATTCTTCTGTCTAGCATGAAATGAAGAAATCCCGTTTCCAACGAAGGCCTCAATGCGGTCCATATATCCACTTGCAGACTTTACAAACAGAGTGTTTCCAAACTGCTCTATGAAAAGAAAGGTTAAACTATGTGAGTTGAACGCACACATCACAAAGAATTTTCTGAGAATGATTCTGTCTGGTTTTCATTTGAAGATATTTCCCTTTCTACTGTTGGCATCAAATGGCTAGAAATCTCCACTTGCAAATTCCGCAAAAAGAGTGTTTCAAATCTGCTCTGTCTAAAGGGACGTTCCACTCTGTGAGTTGAATGCACACAACACAAAGAATTTACTGAGAATTCTTCCGTCTAGCATTCAATGAAGAAATCCCGTTTCCAACGAAGGCCTCAAACAGGTCCATATATCCACTTGCAGACTTTACAAACAGTGTGTTTCCAAACTCCTCTATGAAAAGAAAGGTTAAACTCTGTGAGTGGAACGCACACATCACAAAGCACTTTCTGAGAATGATTCTGTCTGGTTATTATACGAAGATATTTCCTTTTCTGCAATTGTCCTCAAATCGCTTGAAATCTCCACCTGAAAATGCCACAGCAAGAGTGTTTCAAATCTGCTCTCTCTAAAGCAAGGTTCAACTCTGTGAGTTGAATACACACAACACAAAAAAGTTACTGAGAACTCTTCTTAGTCTAGCATGAAAGGAAGAAACCCCGTTTGCAACGAAGGCCTCAAAGAGGTCCAAATATCCACTTGCAGACATAACAAGCAGAGTGTTTCTAAACTGCTCTAAGAAAAGAAAGGTTAAACTCTGTGAGTTGAAGGCACACATCACAAAGTAGTTTCTGAGAATGATTCTGTCTAGTTTTTATTTGAAGATATTTCCTTTTCTACTGTTGGCATCAAATCGCTTGAAATCTCCACTTGCAAACTCCACAAAAAGAGTGTTTCAAATCTGCTCTGTGTAAAGGGACGTTCCACTCTGTGAGTTGAATACACACAGCACAAAGAAGTTACTGAGAATTCTTCTGTCTAGCATGAAATGAAGAAATCCCGTTTCCAACGAAGGCCTCAATGCGGTCCATATATCCACTTGCAGACTTTACAAACAGAGTGTTTCCAAACTGCTCTATGAAAAGAAAGGTTAAACTATGTGAGTTGAACGCACACATCACAAAGAATTTTCTGAGAATGATTCTGCCTGGTTTTTATTTGAAGATATTTCCCTTTCTACTGTTGGCATCAAATGGCTAGAAATCTCCACTTGCAAATTCCGCAAAAAGAGTGTTTCAAATCTGCTCTGTCTAAAGGGACGTTCCACTCTGTGAGTTGAATGCACACAACACAAAGAATTTACTGAGAATTCTTCCGTCTAGCATTCAATGAAGAAATCCCGTTTCCAACGAAGGCCTCAAACAGGTCCATATATCCACTTGCAGACTTTACAAACAGTGTGTTTCCAAACTCCTCTATGAAAAGAAAGGTTAAACTCTGTGAGTGGAACGCACACATCACAAAGCACTTTCTGAGAATGATTCTGTCTGGTTATTATACGAAGTAGTTCCTTTTCTGCAATTGTCCTCAAATCGCTTGAAATCTCCACCTGAAAATGCCACAGCAAGAGTGTTTCAAATCTGCTCTCTCTAAAGCAAGGTTCAACTCTGTGAGTTGAATACACACAACACAAAAAAGTTACTGAGAACTCTTCTTAGTCTAGCATGAAAGGAAGAAACCCCGTTTGCAACGAAGGCCTCAAAGAGGTCCAAATATCCACTTGCAGACATAACAAGCAGAGTGTTTCTAAACTGCTCTAAGAAAAGAAAGGTTAAACTCTGTGAGTTGAAGGCACACATCACAAAGTAGTTTCTGAGAATGATTCTGTCTAGTTTTTATTTGAAGATATTTCCTTTTCTACTGTTGGCATCAAATCGCTTGAAATCTCCACTTGCAAACTCCACAAAAAGAGTGTTTCAAATCTGCTCTGTGTAAAGGGACGTTCCACTCTGTGAGTTGAATACACACAGCACAAAGAAGTTACTGAGAATTCTTCTGTCTAGCATGAAATGAAGAAATCCCGTTTCCAACGAAGGCCTCAATGCGGTCCATATATCCACTTGCAGACTTTACAAACAGAGTGTTTCCAAACTGCTCTATGAAAAGAAAGGTTAAACTATGTGAGTTGAACGCACACATCACAAAGAATTTTCTGAGAATGATTCTGTCTGGTTTTTATTTGAAGATATTTCCCTTTCTACTGTTGGCATCAAATGGCTAGAAATCTCCACTTGCAAATTCCACAAAAAGAGTGTTTCAAATCTGCTCTGTCTAAAGGGACGTTCCACTCTGTGAGTTGAATGCACACAACACAAAGAATTTACTGAGAATTCTTCCGTCTAGCATTCAATGAAGAAATCCCGTTTCCAACGAAGGCCTCAAACAGGTCCATATATCCACTTGCAGACTTTACAAACAGTGTGTTTCCAAACTCCTCTATGAAAAGAAAGGTTAAACTCTGTGAGTTGAACGCACACATCACAAAGCACTTTCTGAGAATGATTCTGTCTGGTTATTATACGAAGATATTTCCTTTTCTGCAATTGTCCTCAAATCGCTTGAAATCTCCACCTGAAAATGCCACAGCAAGAGTGTTTCAAATCTGCTCTCTCTAAAGCAAGGTTCAACTCTGTGAGTTGAATACACACAACACAAAAAAGTTACTGAGAACTCTTCTTAGTCTAGCATGAAAGGAAGAAACCCCGTTTGCAACGAAGGCCTCAAAGAGGTCCAAATATCCACTTGCAGACATAACAAGCAGAGTGTTTCTAAACTGCTCTAAGAAAAGAAAGGTTAAACTCTGTGAGTTGAAGGCACACATCACAGAGTAGTTTTTGAGAATAATTCTGTCTAGTTTTTATTTGAAGATATTTCCTTTTCTACTGTTGGCATCAAATCGCTTGAAATCTCCACTTGCAAACTCCACAAAAAGAGTGTTTCAAATCCGCTCTGTGCAAAGGGACGTTCCACTCTGTGAGTTGAATACACACAGCACAAAGAAGTTACTGAGAATTCTTCTGTCTAGCATGAAATGAAGAAATCCCGTTTCCAACGAAGGCCTCAATGCGGTCCATATATCCACTTGCAGACTTTACAAACAGAGTGTTTCCAAACTGCTCTATGAAAAGAAAGGTTAAACTATGTGAGTTGAACGCACACATCACAAAGAATTTTCTGAGAATGATTCTGCCTGGTTTTTATTTGAAGATATTTCCCTTTCTACTGTTGGCATCAAATGGCTAGAAATCTCCACTTGCAAATTCCGCAAAAAGAGTGTTTCAAATCTGCTCTGTCTAAAGGGACGTTCCACTCTGTGAGTTGAATGCACACAACACAAAGAATTTACTGAGAATTCTTCCGTCTAGCATTCAATGAAGAAATCCCGTTTCCAACGAAGGCCTCAAACAGGTCCATATATCCACTTGCAGACTTTACAAACAGTGTGTTTCCAAACTCCTCTATGGAAAGAAAAGTTAAACTCTGTGAGTTGAACGCACACATCACAAAGCACTTTCTGAGAATGATTCTGTCTGGTTATTATACGAAGATATTTCTTTTTCTGCAATTGTCCTCAAATCGCTTGAAATCTCCACCTGAAAATGTCACAGCAAGAGTGTTTCAAATCTGCTCTCTCTAAAGCAAGGTTCAACTCTGTGAGTTGAATACACACAACACAAAAAAGTTACTGAGAACTCTTCTTAGTCTAGCATGAAAGGAAGAAACCCCGTTTGCAACGAAGGCCTCAAAGAGGTCCAAATATCCACTTGCAGACATAACAAGCAGAGTGTTTCTAAACTGCTCTAAGAAAAGAAAGGTTAAACTCTGTGAGTTGAAGGCACACATCACAAAGTAGTTTCTGAGAATGATTCTGTCTAGTTTTTATTTGAAGATATTTCCTTTTCTACTGTTGGCATCAAATCGCTTGAAATCTCCACTTGCAAACTCCACAAAAAGAGTGTTTCAAATCTGCTCTGTGTAAAGGGACGTTCCACTCTGTGAGTTGAATACACACAGCACAAAGAAGTTACTGAGAATTCTTCTGTCTAGCATGAAATGAAGAAATCCCGTTTCCAACGAAGGCCTCAAAGCGGTCCATATATCCACTTGCAGACTTTACAAACAGAGTGTTCCCAAACTGCTCTATGAAAAGAAAGGTTAAACTATGTGAGTTGAACGCACACATCACAAAGAATTTTCTGAGAATGATTCTGTCTGGTTTTTATTTGAAGATATTTCCCTTTCTACTGTTGGCATCAAATGGCTAGAAATCTCCACTTGCAAATTCCGCAAAAAGAGTGTTTCAAATCTGCTCTGTCTAAAGGGACGTTCCACTCTGTGAGTTGAATGCACACAACACAAAGAATTTACTGAGAATTCTTCCGTCTAGCATTCAATGAAGAAATCCCGTTTCCAACGAAGGCCTCAAACAGGTCCATATATCCACTTGCAGAGATTACAAACAGTGTGTTTCCAAACTCCTCTATGAAAAGAAAGGTTAAACTCTGTGAGTGGAACGCACACATCACAAAGCACTTTCTGAGAATGATTCTGTCTGGTTATTATACGAAGATATTCCCTTTTCTGCAATTTTCCTCAAATCGCTTGAAATCTCCACCTGAAAATGCCACAGCAAGAGTGTTTCAAATCTGCTCTCTCTAAAGCAAGGTTCAACTCTGTGAGTTGAATACACACAGCACAAAGAAGTTACTGAGAATTCTTCTGTCTAGCATGAAATGAAGAAATCCCGTTTCCAACGAAGGCCTCAATGCGGTCCATATATCCACTTGCAGACTTTACAAACAGAGTGTTTCCAAACTGCTCTATGAAAAGAAAGGTTAAACTATGTGAGTTGAACGCACACATCACAAAGAATTTTCTGAGAATGATTCTGTCTGGTTTTTATTTGAAGATATTTCCCTTTCTACTGTTGGCATCAAATGGCTAGAAATCTCCACTTGCAAATTCCGCAAAAAGAGTGTTTCAAATCTGCTCTGTCTAAAGGGACGTTCCACTCTGTGAGTTGAATGCACACAACACAAAGAATTTACTGAGAATTCTTCCGTCTAGCATTCAATGAAGAAATCCCGTTTCCAACGAAGGCCTCAAACAGGTCCATATATCCACTTGCAGACTTTACAAACAGTGTGTTTCCAAACTCCTCTATGAAAAGAAAGGTTAAACTCTGTGAGTTGAACGCACACATCACAAAGCACTTTCTGAGAATGATTCTGTCTGGTTATTATACGAAGATATTTCCTTTTCTGCAATTGTCCTCAAATCGCTTGAAATCTCCACCTGAAAATGCCACAGCAAGAGTGTTTCAAATCTGCTCTCTCTAAAGCATGGTTCAACTCTGTGAGTTGAATACACACAACACAAAAAAGTTACTGAGAACTCTTCTTAGTCTAGCATGAAAGGAAGAAACCCCGTTTGCAACGAAGGCCTCAAAGAGGTCCAAATATCCACTTGCAGACATAACAAGCAGAGTGTTTCTAAACTGCTCAAAGAAAAGAAAGGTTAAACTCTGTGAGTTGAAGGCAGACATCACAAAGTAGTTTCTGAGAATGATTCTGTCTAGTTTTTATTTGAAGATATTTCCTTTTCTACTGTTGGCATCAAATCGCTTGAAATCTCCACTTGCAAACTCCACAAAAAGAGTGTTTCAAATCTGCTCTGTGCAAAGGGACGTTCCACTCTGTGAGTTGAGTACACACAGCACAAAGAAGTTACTGAGAATTCTTCTGTCTAGCATGAAATGAAGAAATCCCGTTTCCAACGAAGGCCTCAATGCGGTCCATATATCCACTTGCAGACTTTACAAACAGAGTGTTTCCAAACTGCTCTATGAAAAGAAAGGTTAAACTATGTGAGTTGAACGCACACATCACAAAGAATTTTCTGAGAATGATTCTGTCTGGTTTTTATTTGAAGATATTTCCCTTTCTACTGTTGGCATCAAATGGCTAGAAATCTCCACTTGCAAATTCCGCAAAAAGAGTGTTTCAAATCTGCTCTGTCTAAAGGGACGTTCCACTCTGTGAGTTGAATGCACACAACACAAAGAATTTACTGAGAATTCTTCCGTCTAGCATTCAATGAAGAAATCCCGTTTCCAACGAAGGCCTCAAACAGGTCCATATATCCACTTGCAGACTTTACAAACAGTGTGTTTCCAAACTCCTCTATGAAAAGAAAGGTTAAACTCTGTGAGTGGAACGCACACATCACAAAGCACTTTCTGAGAATGATTCTGTCTGGTTATTATACGAAGATATTTCCTTTTCTGCAATTGTCCTCAAATCGCTTGAAATCTCCACCTGAAAATGCCACAGCAAGAGTGTTTCAAATCTGCTCTCTCTAAAGCAAGGTTCAACTCTGTGAGTTGAATACACACAACACAAAAAAGTTACTGAGAACTCTTCTTAGTCTAGCATTAAATGAAGAAACCCCGTTTGCAACGAAGGCCACAAAGAGGTCCAAATATCCACTTGCAGACATAACAAGCAGAGTGTTTCTAAACTGCTCTAAGAAAAGAAAGGTTAAACTCTGTGAGTTGAAGGCACACATCACAAAGTAGTTTCTTAGAATGATTCTGTCTAGTTTTTATTTGAAGATATTTCCTTTTCTACTGCTGGCATCAAATCGCTTGAAATCTCCACTTGCAAATTCCACAAAAAGAGTGTTTCAAATCTGCTCTGTCTAAAGGGACGTTCCACTCTGTGAGTTGAATACACACAGCACAAAGAAGTTACTGAGAATTCTTCTGTCTAGCATGAAATGAAGAAATCCCGTTTCCAACGAAGGCCTCAATGCGGTCCATATATCCACTTGCAGACTTTACAAACAGAGTGTTTCCAAACTGCTCTATGAAAAGAAAGGTTAAACTACGTGAGTTGAACGCACACATCACAAAGAATTTTCTGAGAATGATTCTGTCTGGTTTTTATTTGAAGATATTTCCCTTTCTACTGTTGGCATCAAATGGCTAGAAATCTCCACTTGCAAATTCCGTAAAAAGAGTGTTTCAAATCTGCTCTGTCTAAAGGGACGTTCCACTCTGTGAGTTGAATGCACACAACACAAAGAATTTACTGAGAATTCTTCCGTCTAGCGTTCAATGAAGAAATCCCGTTTCCAACGAAGGCCTCAAAGAGGTCCATATATCCACTTGCAGACTTTACAAACAGTGTGTTTCCAAACTCCTCTATGAAAAGAAAGGTTAAACTCTGTGAGTGGATCGCACACATCACAAAGCACTTTCTGAGAATGATTTTGTCTGGTTATTATACGAAGATATTTCCTTTTCTGCAATTGTCCTCAAATCGCTTGAAATCTCCACCTGAAAATGCCACAGCAAGAGTGTTTCAAATCTGCTCTCTCTAAAGCAAGGTTCAACTCTGTGAGTTGAATACACACAACACAAAAAAGTTACTGAGAACTCTTCTTAGTCTAGCATGAAAGGAAGAAACCCCGTTTGCAACGAAGGCCTCAAAGAGGTCCAAATATCCACTTGCAGACATAACAAGCAGAGTGTTTCTAAACTGCTCTAAGAAAAGAAAGGTTAAACTCTGTGAGTTGAAGGCACACATCACAAAGTAGTTTCTGAGAATGATTCTGTCTAGTTTTTATTTGAAGATATTTCCTTTTCTACTGTTGGCATCAAATCGCTTGAAATCTCCACTTGCAAATTCCACAAAAAGAGTGTTTCAAATCTGCTCTGTGCAAAGGGACGTTCCACTCTGTGAGTTGAATACACACAGCACAAAGAAGTTACTGAGAATTCTTCTGTCTAGCATGAAATGAAGAAATCCCGTTTCCAACGAAGGCCTCAATGCGGTCCATAGATCCACTTGCAGACTTTACAAACAGAGTGTTTCCAAACTGCTCTATGAAAAGAAAGGTTAAACTATGTGAGTTGAACGCACACATCACAAAGAATTTTCTGAGAATGATTCTGTCTGGTTTTTATTTGAAGATATTTCCCTTTCTACTGTTGGCATCAAATGGCTAGAAATCTCCACTTGCAAATTCCGCAAAAAGAGTGTTTCAAATCTGCTCTGTCTAAAGGGACGTTCCACTCTGTGAGTTGAATGCACACAACACAAAGAATTTACTGAGAATTCTTCCGTCTAGCATTCAATGAAGAAATCCCGTTTCCAACGAAGGCCTCAAACAGGTCCATATATCCACTTGCAGAGTTTACAAACAGTGTGTTTCCAAACTCCTCTATGAAAAGAAAGGTTAAACTCTGTGAGTGGAACGCACACATCACAAAGCACTTTCTGAGAATGATTCTGTCTGGTTATTATACGAAGATATTTCCTTTTCTGCAATTGTCCTCAAAACGCTTGAAATCTCCACCTGAAAATGCCACAGCAAGAGTGTTTCAAATCTGCTCTCTCTAAAGCAAGGTTCAACTCTGTGAGTTGAATACACACAACACAAAAAAGTTACTGAGAACTCTTCTTAGTCTAGCATTAAAGGAAGAAACCCCGTTTGCAACGAAGGCCTCAAAGAGGTCCAAATATCCACTTGCAGACATAACAAGCAGAGTGTTTCTAAACTGCTCTAAGAAAAGAAAGGTTAACCTTTGTGAGTTGAAGGCACACATCACAAAGTAGTTTCTGAGAATGATTCTGTCTAGTTTTTATTTGAAGATATTTCCTTTTCTACTGTTGGCATCAAATCGCTTGAAATCTCCACTTGCAAATTCCGCAAAAAGGGTGTTTCAAATCTGCTCTGTGTAAAGGGACGTTCCACTCTGTGAGTTGAATACACACAGCACAAAGAAGTTACTGAGAATTCTTCTGGCTAGCATGAAATGAAGAAATCCCGTTTCCAACGAAGGCCTCAATGAGGTCCATATATCCACTTGCAGACTTTACAAACAGAGTGTTTCCAAACTGCTCTATGAAAAGAAAGGTTAAATTATGTGAGTTGAACGCACACATCACAAAGAATTTTCTGAGAATGATTCTGTCTGGTTTTTATTTGAAGATATTTCCCTTTCTACTGTTGGCATCAAATGGCTAGAAATCTCCACTTGCAAATTCCGCATAAAGAGTGTTTCAAATCTGCTCTGTCTAAAGGGACGTTCCACTCTGTGAGTTGAATGCACACAACACAAAGAATTTACTGAGAATTCTTCCGTCTAGCATTCAATGAAGAAATCCCGTTTCCAACGAAGGCCTCAAACAGGTCCATATATCCACTTGCAGACTTTACAAACAGTGTGTTTCCAAACTCCTCTATGAAAAGAAAGGTTAAACTCTGTGAGTTGAACGCACACATCACAAAGCACTTTCTGAGAATGATTCTGTCTGGTTATTATACGAAGATATTTCCTTTTCTGCAATTGTCCTCAAATCGCTTGAAATCTCCACCTGAAAATGCCACAGCAAGAGTGTTTCAAATCTGCTCTCTCTAAAGCAAGGTTCAACTCTGTGAGTTGAATACACACAACACAAAAAAGTTACTGAGAACTCTTCTTAGTCTAGCATGAAAGGAAGAAACCCCGTTTGCAACGAAGGCCTCAAAGAGGTCCAAATATCCACTTGCAGACATAACAAGCAGAGTGTTTCTAAACTGCTCTAAGAAAAGAAAGGTTAAACTCTGTGAGTTGAAGGCACACATCACAAAGTAGATTCTGAGAATGATTCTGTCTAGTTTTTATTTGAAGATATTTCCTTTTCTACTGTTGGCATCAAATCGCTTGAAATCTCCACTTGCAAACTCCACAAAAAGAGTGTTTCAAATCTGCTCTGTCTAAAGGGACGTTCCACTCTGTGAGTTGAATGCACACAACACAAAGAATTTACTGAGAATTCTTCCGTCTAGCATTCAATGAAGAAATCCCGTTTCCAACGAAGGCCTCAAACAGGTCCATATATCCACTTGCAGACTTTACAAACAGTGTGTTTCCAAACTCCTCTATGAAAAGAAAGGTTAAACTCTGTGAGTTGAACGCACACATCACAAAGCACTTTCTGAGAATGATTCTGTCTGGTTATTATACGAAGATATTTCCTTTTCTGCAATTGTCCTCAAATCGCTTGAAATCTCCACCTGAAAATGCCACAGCAAGAGTGTTTCAAATCTGCTCTCTCTAAAGCAAGGTTCAACTCTGTGAGTTGAATACACACAACACAAAAAAGTTACTGAGAACTCTTCTTAGTCTAGCATGAAAGGAAGAAACCCCGTTTGCAACGAAGGCCTCAAAGAGGTCCAAATATCCACTTGCAGACATAACAAGCAGAGTGTTTCTAAACTGCTCTAAGAAAAGAAAGGTTAAACTCTGTGAGTTAAAGGCACACATCACAAAGTAGTTTCTGAGAATGATTCTGTCTATTTTTTATTTGAAGATATTTCCTTTTCTACTGTTGGCATCAAATCGCTTGAAATCTCCACTTGCAAACTCCACAAAAAGAGTGTTTCAAATCTGCTCTGTGCAAAGGGACGTTCCACTCTGTGAGTTGAATACACACAGCACAAAGAAGTTACTGAGAATTCTTCTGTCTAGCATGAAATGAAGAAATCCCGTTTCCAACGAAGGCCTCAAATGCGGTCCATATATCCACTTGCAGACTTTACAAACAGAGTGTTTCCAAACTGCTCTATGAAAAGAAAGGTTAAACTATGTGAGTTGAACGCACACATCACAAAGAATTTTCTGAGAATGATTCTGTCTGGTTTTTATTTGAAGATATTTCCCTTTCTACTGTTGGCATCAAATGGCTAGAAATCTCCACTTGCAAATTCCGCAAAAAGAGTGTTTCAAATCTGCTCTGTCTAAAGGGACGTTCCACTCTGTGAGTTGAATGCACACAACACAAAGAATTTACTGAGAATTCTTCCGTCTAGCATTCAATGAAGAAATCCCGTTTCCAACGAAGGCCTCAAACAGGTCCATATATCCAATTGCAGACTTTACAAACAGTGTGTTTCCAAACTCCTCTATGAAAAGAAAGGTTAAACTCTGTAAGTTGAACGCACACATCACAAAGCACTTTCTGAGAATGATTCTGTCTGGTTGTTATACGAAGATATTTCCTTTTCTGCAATTGTCCTCAAATCGCTTGAAATCTCCACCTGAAAATGCCACAGCAAGAGTGTTTCAAATCTGCTCTCTCTAAAGCAAGGTTCAACTCTGTGAGTTGAATACACACAACACAAAAAAGTTACTGAGAACTCTTCTTAGTCTAGCATGAAAGGAAGAAACCCCGTTTGCAACGAAGGCCTCAAAGAGGTCCAAATATCCACTTGCAGACATAACAAGCAGAGTGTTTCTAAACTGCTCTAAGAAAAGAAAGGTTAAACTCTGTGAGTTGAAGGCACACATCACAAAGTAGTTTCTGAGAATGATTCTGTCTAGTTTTTATTTGAAGATATTTCCTTTTCTACTGTTGGCATCAAATCGCTTGAAATCTCCACTTGCAAATTCCACAAAAAGAGTGTTTCAAATCTGCTCTGTGCAAAGGGACGTTCCACTCTGTGAGTTGAATACACACAGCACAAAGAAGTTACTGAGAATTCTTCTGTCTAGCATGAAATGAAGAAATCCCGTTTCCAACGAAGGCCTCAATGCGGTCCATATATCCACTTGCAGACTTTACAAACAGAGTGTTTCCAAACTGCTCTATGAAAAGAAAGGTTAAACTATGTGAGTTGAACGCACACATCACAAAGAATTTTCTGAGAATGATTCTGTCTGGTTTTTATTTGAAGATATTTCCCTTTCTACTGTTGGCATCAAATGGCTAGAAATCTCCACTTGCAAATTCCGCAAAAAGAGTGTTTCAAATCTGCTCTGTCTAAAGGGACGTTCCACTCTGTGAGTTGAATGCACACAACACAAAGAATTTACTGAGAATTCTTCCGTCTAGCATTCAATGAAGAAATCCCGTTTCCAACGAAGGCCTCAAACAGGTCCATATATCCACTTGCAGACTTTACAAACAGTGTGTTTCCAAACTCCTCTATGAAAAGAAAGGTTAAACTCTGTGAGTGGAACGCACACATCACAAAGCACTTTCTGAGAATGATTCTGTCTGGTTATTATACGAAGATATTTCCTTTTCTGCAATTGTCCTCAAATCGCTTGAAATCTCCACCTGAAAATGCCACAGCAAGAGTGTTTCAAATCTGCTCTCTCTAAAGCAAGGTTCAACTCTGTGAGTTGAATACACACAACACAAAAAAGTTACTGAGAACTCTTCTTAGTCTAGCATGAAAGGAAGAAACCCCGTTTGCAACGAAGGCCTCAAAGAGGTCCAAATATCCACTTGCAGACATAACAAGCAGAGTGTTTCTAAACTGCTCTAAGAAAAGAAAGGTTAAACTCTGTGAGTTGAAGGCACACATCACAAAGTAGTTTCTGAGAATGATTCTGTCTAGTTTTTATTTGAAGATATTTCCTTTTCTACTGTTGGCATCAAATCGCTTGAAATCTCCACTTGCAAACTCCACAAAAAGAGTGTTTCAAATCTGCTCTGTGCAAAGGGACGTTCCACTCTGTGAGTTGAATACACACAGCACAAAGAAGTTACTGAGAATTCTTCTGTCTAGCATGTAATGAAGAAATCCCGTTTCCAACGAAGGCCTCAATGCGGTCCATATATCCACTTGCAGACTTTACAAACAGAGTGTTTCCAAACTGCTCTATGAAAAGAAAGGTTAAACTATGTGAGTTGAACGCACACATCACAAAGAATTTTCTGAGAATGATTCTGTCTGGTTTTTATTTGAAGATATTTCCCTTTCTACTGTTGGCATCAAATGGCTAGAAATCTCCACTTGCAAATTCCGCAAAAAGAGTGTTTCAAATCTGCTCTGTCTAAAGGGACGTTCCACTCTGTCAGTTGAATGCACACAACACAAAGAATTTACTGAGAATTCTTCCGTCTAGCATTCAATGAAGAAATCCCGTTTCCAACGAAGGCCTCAAACAGGTCCATATATCCAATTGCAGACTTTACAAACAGTGTGTTGCCAAACTCCTCTATGAAAAGAAAGGTTAAACTCTGTGAGTTGAACGCACACATCACAAAGCACTTTCTGAGAATGATTCTGTCTGGTTATTATACGAAGATATTTCCTTTTCTGCAATTGTCCTCAAATCGCTTGAAATCTCCACCTGAAAATGCCACAGCAAGAGTGTTTCAAATCTGCTCTCTCTAAAGCAAGGTTCAACTCTGTGATTTGAATACACACAACACAAAAAAGTTACTGAGAACTCTTCTTAGTCTAGCATTAAAAGAAGAAACCCCGTTTGCAACGAAGGCCTCAAAGAGGTCCAAATATCCACTTGCAGACATAACAAGCAGAGTGTTTCTAAACTGCTCTAAGAAAAGAAAGGTTAAACTCTGAGTTGAAGGCACACATCACAAAGTAGTTTCTGAGAATGATTCTGTCTAGTTTTTATTTGAAGATATTTCCTTTTCTACTGTTGGCATCAAATCGCTTGAAATCTCCACTTGCAAACTCCACAAAAAGAGTGTTTCAAATCTGCTCTGTGTAAAGGGACGTTCCACTCTGTGAGTTGAATACACACAGCACAAAGAAGTTACTGAGAATTCTTCTGTCAAGCACGAAATGAAGAAATCCCGTTTCCAACGAAGGCCTCAATGCGGTCTATATATCCACTTGCAGACTTTACAAACAGAGTGTTTCCAAACTGCTCTATGAAAAGAAAGGTTAAACTATGTGAGTTGAACGCACACATCACAAAGAATTTTCTGAGAATGATTCTGTCTGGTTTTTATTTGAAGATATTTCCCTTTCTACTGTTGGCATCAAATGGCTAGAAATCTCCACTTGCAAATTCCGCAAAAAGAGTGTTTCAAATCTGCTCTGTCTAAAGGGACGTTCCACTCTGTGAGTTGAATGCACACAACACAAAGAATTTACTGAGAATTCTTCCGTCTAGCATTCAATGAAGAAATCCCGTTTCCAACGAAGGCCTCAAACAGGTCCATATATCCAATTGCAGACTTTACAAACAGTGTGTTTCCAAACTCCTCTATGAAAAGAAAGGTTAAACTCTGTGAGTTGAACGCACACATCACAAAGCACTTTCTGAGAATGATTCTGTCTGGTTATTATACGAAGATATTTCCTTTTCTGCAATTGTTCTCAAATCGCTTGAAATCTCCACCTGAAAATTCCACAGCGAGAGTGTTTCAAATCTGCTCTCTCTAAAGCAAGGTTCAACTCTGTGAGTTGAATACACACAACACAAAAAAGTTACTGAGAACTCTTCTTAGTCTAGCATGAAAGGAAGAAACCCCGTTTGCAACGAAGGCCTCAAAGAGGTCCAAATATCCACTTGCAGACATAACAAGCAGAGTGTTTCTAAACTGCTCTAAGAAAAGAAAGGTTAAACTCTGTGAGTTGAAGGCACACATCACAAAGTAGTTTCTGAGAATGATTCTGTCTAGTTTTTATTTGAAGATATTTCCTTTTCTACTGTTGGCATCAAATCGCTTGAAATCTCCACTTGCAAAGTCCACAAAAAGAGTGTTTCAAATCTGCTCTGTGCAAAGGGACGTTCCACTCTGTGAGTTGAATACACACAGCACAAAGAAGTTACTGAGAATTCTTCTGTCTAGCATGAAATGAAGAAATCCCGTTTCCAACGAAGGCCTCAATGCGGTCCATATATCCACTTGCAGACTTTACAAACAGAGTGTTTCCAAACTGCTCTATGAAAAGAAAGGTTAAACTATGTGAGTTGAACGCACACATCACAAAGAATTTTCTGAGAATGATTCTGTCTGGTTTTTATTTGAAGATATTTCCCTTTCTACTGTTGGCATCAAATGGCTAGAAATCTCCACTTGCAAATTCCGCAAAAAGAGTGTTTCAAATCTGCTCTGTCTAAAGGGACGTTCCACTCTGTGAGTTGAATGCACACAACACAAAGAATTTACTGAGAATTCTTCCGTCTAGCATTCAATGAAGAAATCCCGTTTCCAACGAAGGGCTCAAACAGGTCCATATATCCACTTGCAGACTTTACAAACAGTGTGTTTCCAAACTCCTCTATGAAAAGAAAAGTTAAACTCTGTGAGTTGAACGCACACATCAAAAAGCACTTTCTGAGAATGATTCTGTCTGGTTATTATACGAAGATATTTCCTTTTCTGCAATTGTCCTCAAATCGCTTGAAATCTCCACCTGAAAATGCCACAGCAGGAGTGTTTCAAATCTGCTCTCTCTAAAGCAAGGTTCAACTCTGTGAGTTGAATACACACAACACAAAAAAGTTACTGAGAACTCTTCTTAGTCTAGCATGAAAGGAAGAAACCCCGTTTGCAACGAAGGCCTCAAAGAGGTCCAAATATCCACTTGCAGACATAACAAGCAGAGTGTTTCTAAACTGCTCTAAGAAAAGAAAGGTTAAACTCTGTGAGTTGAAGGCACACATCACAAAGTAGTTTCTGAGAATGATTCTGTCTAGTTTTTATTTGAAGATATTTCCTTTTCTACTGTTGGCATCAAATCGCTTGAAATCTCCACTTGCAAATTCCACAAAAAGAGTGTTTCAAATCTGCTCTGTGCAAAGGGACGTTCCACTCTGTGAGTTGAATACACACAGCACAAAGAAGTTACTGAGAATTCTTCTGTCTAGCATGAAATGGAGAAATCCCGTTTCCAACGAAGGCCTCAATGCGGTCCATATATCCACTTGCAGACTTTACAAACAGAGTGTTTCCAAACTGCTCTATGAAAAGAAAGGTTAAACTATGTGATTTGAACGCACACATCACAAAGAATTTTCTGAGAATGATTCTGTCTGGTTTTTATTTGAAGATATTTCCCTTTCTACTGTTGGCATCAAATGGCTAGAAATCTCCACTTGCAAATTCCGCAAAAAGAGTGTTTCAAATCTGCTCTGTCTAAAGGGACGTTCCACTCTGTCAGTTGAATGCACACAACACAAAGAATTTACTGAGAATTCTTCCGTCTAGCATTCAATGAAGAAACCCCTTTTACAACGAAGGCCTCAAACAGGTCCATATATCCAATTGCAGACTTTACAAACAGTGTGTTTCCAAACTCCTCTATGAAAAGAAAGGTTAAACTCTGTGAGTTGAACGCACACATCACAAAGCACTTTCTGAGAATGATTCTGTCTGGTTGTTATACGAAGATATTTCCTTTTCTGCAATTGTCCTCAAATCGCTTGAAATCTCCACCTGAAAATGCCACAGCAAGAGTGTTTCAAATCTGCTCTCTCTAAAGCAAGGTTCAACTCTGTGAGTTGAATACACACAACACAAAAAAGTTACTGAGAACTCTTCTTAGTCTAGCATTAAAGGAAGAAACCCCGTTTGCAACGAAGGCCTCAAAGAGGTCCAAATATCCACTTGCAGACATAACAAGCAGAGTGTTTCTAAACTGCTCTAAGAAAAGAAAGGTTAAACTCTGTGAGTTGAAGGCACACATCACAAAGTAGTTTCTGAGAATGATTCTGTCTAGTTTTTATTTGAAGATATTTCCTTTTCTACTGTTGGCATCAAATCGCTTGAAATCTCCACTTGCAAACTCCACAAAAAGAGTGTTTCAAATCTGCTCTGTGTAAAGGGACGTTCCACTCTGTGAGTTGAATACACACAGCACAAAGAAGTTACTGAGAATTCTTCTGTCTAGCATGAAATGAAGAAATCCCGTTTCCAACGAAGGCCTCAATGCGGTCCATATATCCACTTGCAGACTTTACAAACAGAGTGTTTCCAAACTGCTCTATGAAAAGAAAGGTTAAACTATGTGAGTTGAACGCACACATCACAAAGAATTTTCTGAGAATGATTCTGTCTGGTTTTTATTTGAAGATATTTCCCTTTCTACTGTTGGCATCAAATGGCTAGAAATCTCCACTTGCAAATTCCGCAAAAAGAGTGTTTCAAATCTGCTCTGTCTAAAGGGACGTTCCACTCTGTGAGTTGAATGCACACAACACAAAGAATTTACTGAGAATTCTTCCGTCTAGCATTCAATGAAGAAATCCCGTTTCCAACGAAGGCCTCAAACAGGTCCATATATCCAATTGCAGACTTTACAAACAGTGTGTTTCCAAACTCCTCTATGAAAAGAAAGGTTAAACTCTGTGAGTTGAACGCACACATCACAAAGCACTTTCTGAGAATGATTCTGTCTGGTTGTTATACGAAGATATTTCCTTTTCTGCAATTGTCCTCAAATCGCTTGAAATCTCCACCTGAAAATGCCACAGCAAGAGTGTTTCAAATCTGCTCTCTCTAAAGCAAGGTTCAACTCTGTGAGTTGAATACACACAACACAAAAATGTTACTGAGAACTCTTCTTAGTCTAGCATGAAAGGAAGAAACCCCGTTTGCAACGAAGGCCTCAAAGAGGTCCAAATATCCACTTGCAGACATAACAAGCAGAGTGTTTCTAAACTGCTCTAAGAAAAGAAAGGTTAAACTCTGTGAGTTGAAGGCACACATCACAAAGTAGTTTCTGAGAATGATTCTGTCTAGTTTTTATTTGAAGATATTTCCTTTTCTACTGTTGGCATCAAATCGCTTGAAATCTCCACTTGCAAACTCCACAAAAAGAGTGTTTCAAATCTGCTCTGTGTAAAGGGACGTTCCACTCTGTGAGTTGAATACACACAGCACAAAGAAGTTACTGAGAATTCTTCTGTCTAGCATGAAATGAAGAAATCCCGTTTCCAACGAAGGCCTCAATGCGGTCCATATATCCACTTGCAGACTTTACAAACAGAGTGTTTCCAAACTGCTCTATGAAAAGAAAGGTTAAACTATGTGAGTTGAACGCACACATCACAAAGAATTTTCTGAGAATGATTCTGTCTGGTTTTTATTTGAAGATATTTCCCTTTCTACTCTTGGCATCAAATGGCTAGAAATCTCCACTTGCAAATTCCGCAAAAAGAGTGTTTCAAATCTGCTCTGTCTAAAGGGACGTTCCACTCTGTGAGTTGAATGCACACAACACAAAGAATTTACTGAGAATTCTTCCGTCTAGCATTCAATGAAGAAATCCCGTTTCCAACGAAGGGCTCAAACAGGTCCATATATCCACTTGCAGACTTTACAAACAGTGTGTTTCCAAACTCCTCTATGAAAAGAAAGGTTAAACTCTGTGAGTTGAACGCACACATCAAAAAGCACTTTCTGAGAATGATTCTGTCTGGTTATTATACGAAGATATTTCCTTTTCTGCAATTGTCCTCAAATCGCTTGAAATCTCCACCTGAAAATGCCACAGCAGGAGTGTTTCAAATCTGCTCTCTCTAAAGCAAGGTTCAACTCTGTGAGTTGAATACACACAACACAAAAAAGTTACTGAGAACTCTTCTTAGTCTAGCATGAAAGGAAGAAACCCCGTTTGCAACGAAGGCCTCAAAGAGGTCCAAATATCCACTTGCAGACATAACAAGCAGAGTGTTTCTAAACTGCTCTAAGAAAAGAAAGGTTAAACTCTGTGAGTTGAAGGCACACATCACAAAGTAGTTTCTGAGAATGATTCTGTCTAGTTTTTATTTGAAGATATTTCCTTTTCTACTGTTGGCATCAAATCGCTTGAAATCTCCACTTGCAAATTCCACAAAAAGAGTGTTTCAAATCTGCTCTGTGCAAAGGGACGTTCCACTCTGTGAGTTGAATACACACAGCACAAAGAAGTTACTGAGAATTCTTCTGTCTAGCATGAAATGAAGAAATCCCGTTTCCAACGAAGGCCTCAATGCGGTCCATATATCCACTTGCAGACTTTACAAACAGAGTGTTTCCAAACTGCTCTATGAAAAGAAAGGTTAAACTATGTGAGTTGAACGCACACATCACAAAGAATTTTCTGAGAATGATTCTGTCTGGTTTTTATTTGAAGATATTTCCCTTTCTACTGTTGGCATCAAATGGCTAGAAATCTCCACTTGCAAATTCCGCAAAAAGAGTGTTTCAAATCTGCTCTGTCTAAAGGGACGTTCCACTCTGTGAGTTGAATGCACACAACACAAAGAATTTACTGAGAATTCTTCCGTCTAGCATTCAATGAAGAAATCCCGTTTCCAACGAAGGCCTCAAACAGGTCCATATATCCAATTGCAGACTTTACAAACAGTGTGTTTCCAAACTCCTCTATGAAAAGAAAGGTTAAACTCTGTGAGTGGAACGCACACATCACAAAGCACTTTCTGAGAATGATTCTGTCTGGTTATTATACGAAGATATTTCTTTTTCTGCAATTGTCCTCAAATCGCTTGAAATCTCCACCTGAAAATGCCACAGCAAGAGTGTTTCAAATCTGCTCTCTCTAAAGCAAGGTTCAACTCTGTGAGTTGAATACACACAACACAAAAAAGTTACTGAGAACTCTTCTTAGTCTAGCATGAAAGGAAGAAACCCCGTTTGCAACGAAGGCCTCAAAGAGGTCCAAATATCCACTTGCAGACATAACAAGCAGAGTGTTTCTAAACTGCTCTAAGAAAAGAAAGGTTAAACTCTGTGAGTTGAAGGCACACATCACAAAGTAGTTTCTGAGAATGATTCTGTCTAGTTTTTATTTGAAGATATTTCCTTTTCTACTGTTGGCATCAAATCGCTTGAAATCTCCACTTGCAAACTCCACAAAAAGAGTGTTTCAAATCTGCTCTGTGTAAAGGGACGTTCCACTCTGTGAGTTGAATACACACAGCACAAAGAAGTTACTGAGAATTCTTCTGTCTAGCATGAAATGAAGAAATCCCGTTTCCAACGAAGGCCTCAATGCGGTCCATATATCCACTTGCAGACTTTACAAACAGAGTGTTTCCAAACTGCTCTATGAAAAGAAAGGTTAAACTATGTGAGTTGAACGCACACATCACAAAGAATTTTCTGAGAATGATTCTGTCTGGTTTTTATTTGAAGATATTTCCCTTTCTACTGTTGGCATCAAATGGCTAGAAATCTCCACTTGCAAATTCCGCAAAAAGAGTGTTTCAAATCTGCTCTGTCTAAAGGGACGTTCCACTCTGTGAGTTGAATGCACACAACACAAAGAATTTACTGAGAATTCTTCCGTCTAGCATTCAATGAAGAAATCCCGTTTCCAACGAAGGCCTCAAACAGGTCCATATATCCAATTGCAGACTTTACAAACAGTGTGTTTCCAAACTCCTCTATGAAAAGAAAGGTTAAACTCTGTGAGTTGAACGCACACAACACAAAGCACTTTCTGAGAATGATTCTGTCTGGTTATTATACGAAGATATTTCCTTTTCTGCAATTGTCCTCAAAACGCTTGAAATCTCCACCTGAAAATGCCACAGCAAGAGTGTTTCAAATCTGCTCTCTCTAAAGCAAGGTTCAACTCTGTGAGTTGAATACACACAACACAAAAAAGTTACTGAGAACTCTTCTTAGTCTAGCATGAAAGGAAGAAACCCCGTTTGCAACGAAGGCCTCAAAGAGGTCCAAATATCCACTTGCAGACATAACAAGCAGAGTGTTTCTAAACTGCTCTAAGAAAAGAAAGGTTAAACTCTGTGAGTTGAAGGCACACATCACAAAGTAGTTTCTGAGAATGATTCTGTCTAGTTTTTATTTGAAGATATTTCCTTTTCTACTGTTGGCATCAAATCGCTTGAAATCTCCACTTGCAAACTCCACAAAAAGAGTGTTTCAAATCTGCTCTGTGCAAAGGGACGTTCCACTCTGTGAGTTGAATACACACAGCACAAAGAAGTTACTGAGAATTCTTCTGTCTAGCATGAAATGAAGAAATCCCGTTTCCAACGAAGGCCTCAATGCGGTCCATATATCCACTTGCAGACTTTACAAACAGAGTGTTTCCAAACTGCTCTATGAAAAGAAAGGTTAAACTATGTGAGTTGAACGCACACATCACAAAGAATTTTCTGAGAATGATTCTGTCTGGTTTTTATTTGAAGATATTTCCCTTTCTACTGTTGGCATCAAATGGCTAGAAATCTCCACTTGCAAATTCCGCAAAAAGAGTGTTTCAAATCTGCTCTGTCTAAAGGGACGTTCCACTCTGTGAGTTGAATGCACACAACACAAAGAATTTACTGAGAATTCCTCCGCCTAGCATTCAATGAAGAAATCCCGTTTCCAACGAAGGCCTCAAACAGGTCCATATATCCACTTGCAGACTTTACAAACAGTGTGTTTCCAAACTCCTCTATGAAAAGAAAGGTTAAACTCTGTGAGTGGAACGCACACATCACAAAGCACTTTCTGAGAATGATTCTGTCTGGTTGTTATACGAAGATATTTCCTTTTCTGCAATTGTCCTCAAATCGCTTGAAATCTCCACCTGAAAATGCCACAGCAAGAGTGTTTCAAATCTGCTCTCTCTAAAGCAAGGTTCAACTCTGTGAGTTGAATACACACAACACAAAAAAGTTACTGAGAACTCTTCTTAGTCTAGCATGAAAGGAAGAAACCCCGTTTGCAACGAAGGCCTCAAAGAGGTCCAAATATCCACTTGCAGACATAACAAGCAGAGTGTTTCTAAACTGCTCTAAGAAAAGAAAGGTTAAACTCTGTGAGTTGAAGGCACACATCACAAAGTACTTTCTGAGAATGGTTCTGTCTAGTTTTTATTTGAAGATATTTCCTTTTCTACTGTTGGCATCAAATCGCTTGAAATCTCCACTTGCAAATTCCACAAAAAGAGTGTTTCAAATCTGCTCTGTGCAAACGGACGTTCCAGTCTGTGAGTTGAATACACACAGCACAGAGAAGTTACTGAGAATTCTTCTGTCTAGCATGAAATGAAGAAATCCCGTTTCCAACGAAGGCCTCAATGCGGTCCATATATCCACTTGCAGACTTTACAAACAGAGTGTTTCCAAACTGCTCTATGAAAAGAAAGGTTAAACTATGTGAGTTGAACGCACACATCACAAAGAATTTTCTGAGAATGATTCTGTCTGGTTTTTATTTGAAGATATTTCCCTTTCTACTGTTGGCATCAAATGGCTAGAAATCTCCACTTGCAAATTCCGCAAAAAGAGTGTTTCAAATCTGCTCTGTCTAAAGGGACGTTCCACTCTGTGAGTTGAATGCACACCACACAAAGAATTTACTGAGAATTCTTCCGTCTAGCATTCAATGAAGAAATCCCGTTTCCAACGGAAGCCTCAAACAGGTCCATATATCCAATTGCAGACTTTACAAACAGGGTGTTTCCAAGCTCCTCTATGAAAAGAAAGGTTAAACTCTGTGAGTTGAACGCACACATCACAAAGCACTTTTTGAGAATGATTCTGTCTGGTTATTATACGGAAGATATTTCCTTTTCTGCAATTGTCCTCAAATCGCTTGAAATCTCCACCTGAAAATGCCACAGCAAGAGTGTTTCAAATCTGCTCTCTCTAAAGCAAGGTTCAACTCTGTGAGTTGAATACACACAACACAAAAAAGTTACTGAGAACTCTTCTTAGTCTAGCATGAAAGGAAGAAACCCCGTTTGCAACGAAGGCCTCAAAGAGGTCCAAATATCCACTTGCAGACATAACAAGCAGAGTGTTTCTAAACTGCTCTAAGAAAAGAAAGGTTAAACTCTGTGAGTTGAAGGCACACATCACAAAGTAGTTTCTGAGAATGATTCTGTCTAGTTTTTATTTGAAGATATTTCCTTTTCTACTGTTGGCATCAAATCGCTTGAAATCTCCACTTGCAAACTCCACAAAAAGAGTGTTTCAAATCTGCTCTGTGCAAAGGGACGTTCCACTCTGTGAGTTGAATACACACAGCACAAAGAAGTTACTGAGAATTCTTCTGTCTAGCATGAAATGAAGAAATCCCGTTTCCAACGAAGGCCTCAAAGCGGTCCATATATCTACTTGCAGACTTTACAAACAGAGTGTTTCCAAACTGCTCTATGAAAAGAAAGGTTAAACTATGTGAGTTGAACGCACACATCACAAAGAATTTTCTGAGAATGATTCTGTCTAGTTTTTATTTGAAGATATTTCCCTTTCTATTGTTGGCATCAAATGGCTTGAAATCTCCACTTCCAAATTTCGCAAAAAGAGTGTTTCAAATCTGCTCTGTCTAAAGGGACATTCCACTCGGTGAGTTGAATGCACACAACACAAAGAATTTACTGAGAATTCTTCTGTCTAGCATTCAATGAAGAAATCCCGTTTCCAAGGAATGCCTCAAAGCGGTACATATATCCACTTGCAGATTTTACAAACAGTGTGTTTCGAAACTGCTCTATGAAAAGAAAGGTTAAACTATGTGAGCTGAACGCACACATCACAAAGAATTTTCTGAGAATGATTCTGTCTAATTTTTATTTGAAGATATTCCCTTTCCAACTTTTGGCATCAAATCGCTTGAATTCTCCACTTTTAAATTCCACAAAAAGAGTGTTTCAAAACTGCTCTGTGTAATGGGACATTCCAATCTGTCAGTTGAATACACACAACACAAAGAAGTTACTGAGAATTCTTCTGTCTAGCATGAAATTAAGAAATTCCGTTTCCAACGAAGTCCTCAAAGCGGTCCATATATCCACTTGCAGACATTACCAACAGAGTGTTTCCAAACTGGTCTATGAAAAGAAAGGTTAAACTATGTGAGTTGAACGCACACATCACAAAGAATTTTCTGAGGATGATTCTGTCTAGTTTTTATTTGAAGATATTTCCCTTTCTACCGTTGGCATCAAATGGCTAGAAATCTCCAATTGCAAATTCCGCAAAAAGAGTGTTTCAAATCTGCTCTGTCTAAAGGGACGTTCCACTCTGTGAGTTGAATGCACACAACACAAAGAATTTACTGAGAATTCTTCCGTCTAGCATTCAATGAAGAAATCCCGTTTCCAACGAAGGCCTCAAACAGGTCCATATATCCACTTGCAGACTTTACAAACAGTGTGTTTCCAAACTCCTCTATGAAAAGAAAGGTTAAACTCTGTGAGTTGAACGCACACATCACAAAGCACTTTCTGAGAATGATTCTGTCTGGTTATTATACGAAGATATTTCCTTTTCTGCAATTGTCCTCAAATCGCTTGAAATCTCCACCTGAAAATGCCACAGCAAGAGTGTTTCAAATCTGCTCTCTCTAAAGCAAGGTTCGACTCTGTGAGTCGAATACACACAACACAAAAAAGTTACTGAGAACTCTTCTTAGTCTAGTATGAAAGGAAGAAACCCCGTTTGCAACGAAGGCCTCAAAGAGGTCCAAATATCCACTTGCAGACATAACAAGCAGAGTGTTTCTAAACTGCTCTAAGAAAAGAAAGGTTAAACTCTGTGAGTTGAAGGCACACATCACAAAGTAGTTTCTGAGAATGATTCTGTCTAGTTTTTATTTGAAGATATTTCCTTTTCTACTGTTGGCATCAAATCGCTTGAAATCTCCACTTGCAAATTCCACAAAAAGAGTGTTTCAAATCTGCTCTGTGCAAAGGGACGTTCCACTCTGTGAGTTGAATACACACAGCACAAAGAAGTTACTGAGAATTCTTCTGTCTAGCATGAAATGAAGAAATCCCGTTTCCAACGAAGGCCTCAATGCGGTCCATATATCCACTTGCAGACTTTACAAACAGAGTGTTTCCAAACTGCTCTATGAAAAGAAAGGTTATACTATGCGAGTTGAACGCACACATCACAAAGAATTTTCTGAGAATGATTCTGTCTGGTTTTTATTTGAAGATATTTCCCTTTCTACTGTTGGCATCAAATGGCTAGAAATCTCCACTTGCAAATTCCGCAAAAAGAGTGTTTCAAATCTGCTCTGTCTAAAGGGACGTTCCACTCTGTGAGTTGAATGCACACAACACAAAGAATTTACTGAGAATTCTTCCGTCTAGCATTCAATGAAGAAATCCCGTTTCCAACGAAGGCCTCAAAGAGGTCCATATATCCACTTGCAGACTTTACAAACAGTGTGTTTCCAAACTCCTCTATGAAAAGAAAGGTTAAACTCTGTGAGTGGAACGCACACATCACAAAGCACTTTCTGAGAATGATTCTGTCTGGTTGTTATACGAAGATATTTCCTTTTCTGCAATTGTCCTCAAATCGCTTGAAATCTCCACCTGAAAATGCCACAGCAAGAGTGTTTCAAATCTGCTCTCTCTAAAGCAAGGTTCAACTCTGTGAGTTGAATACACACAACACAAAAAATTTACTGAGAACTCTTCTTAGTCTAGCATGAAAGGAAGAAACCCCGTTTGCAACGAAGGCCTCAAAGAGGTCCAAATATCCACTTGCAGACATAACAAGCAGAGTGTTTCTAAACTGCTCTAAGAAAAGAAAGGTTAAACTCTGTGAGTTGAAGGCACACATCACAAAGTAGTTTCTGAGAATGATTCTGTCTAGTTTTTATTTGAAGATATTTCCTTTTCTACTGTTGGCATCAAATCGCTTGAAATCTCCACTTGCAAACTCCACAAAAAGAGTGTTTCAAATCTGCTCTGTGTAAAGGGACGTTCCACTCTGTGAGTTGAATACACACAGCACAAAGAAGTTACTGAGAATTCTTCTGTCTAGCATGAAATGAAGAAATCCCGTTTCCAACGAAGGCCTCAATGCGGTCCATATATCCACTTGCAGACTTTACAAACAGAGTGTTTCCAAACTGCTCTATGAAAAGAAAGGTTAAACTATGTGAGTTGAACGCACACATCACAAAGAATTTTCTGAGAATGATTCTGTCTGGTTTTTATTTGAAGATATTTCCCTTTCTACTGTTGGCATCAAATGGCTAGAAATCTCCACTTGCAAATTCCGCAAAAAGAGTGTTTCAAATCTGCTCTGTCTAAAGGGACGTTCCACTCTGTGAGTTGAATGCACACAACACAAAGAATTTACTGAGAATTCTTCGGTCTAGCATTCAATGAAGAAATCCCGTTTCCAACGAAGGCCTCAAAGAGGTCCATATATCCACTTGCAGACTTTACAAACAGTGTGTTTCCAAACTCCTCTATGAAAAGAAAGGTTAAACTCTGTGAGTTGAACGCACACATCACAAAGCACTTTCTGAGAATGATTCTGTCTGGTTGTTATACGAAGATATTTCCTTTTCTGCAATTGTCCTCAAATCGCTTGAAATCTCCACCTGAAAATGCCACAGCAAGAGTGTTTCAAATCTGCTCTCTCTAAAGCAAGGTTCAACTCTGTGAGTTGAATACACACAACACAAAAAAGTTACTGAGAACTCTTCTTAGTCTAGCATGAAAGGAAGAAACCCCGTTTGCAACGAAGGCCTCAAAGAGGTCCAAATATCCACTTGCAGACATAACAAGCAGAGTGTTTCTAAACTGCTCTAAGAAAAGAAAGGTTAAACTCTGTGAGTTGAAGGCACACATCACAAAGTAGTTTCTGAGAATGATTCTGTCTAGTTTTTATTTGAAGATATTTCCTTTTCTACTGTTGGCATCAAATCGCTTGAAATCTCCACTTGCAAACTCCACAAAAAGAGTGTTTCAAATCTGCTCTGTGTAAAGGGACGTTCCACTCTGTGAGTTGAATACACACAGCACAAAGAAGTTACTGAGAATTCTTCTGTCTAGCATGAAATGAAGAAATCCCGTTTCCAACGAAGGCCTCAATGCGGTCCATATATCCACTTGCAGACTTTACAAACAGAGTGTTTCCAAACTGCTCTATGAAAAGAAAGGTAAAACTATGTGAGTTGAACGCACACATCACAAAGAATTTTCTGAGAATGATTCTGTCTGGTTTTTATTTGAAGATATTTCCCTTTCTACTGTTGGCATCAAATGGCTAGAAATCTCCACTTGCAAATTCCGCAAAAAGAGTGTTTCAAATCTGCTCTGTCTAAAGGGACGTTCCACTCTGTGAGTTGAATGCACAAAACACAAAGAATTTACTGAGAATTCTTCCGTCTAGCATTCAATGAAGAAATCCCGTTTCCAACGAAGGCCTCAAACAGGTCCATATATCCAATTGCAGACTTTACAAACAGTGTGTTTCCAAACTCCTCTATGAAAAGAAAGGTTAAACTCTGTGAGTTGAACGCACACAACACAAAGCACTTTCTGAGAATGATTCTGTCTGGTTATTATACGAAGATATTTCCTTTTCTGCAATTGTCCTCAAATCGCTTGAAATCTCCACCTGAAAATGCCACAGCAAGAGTGTTTCAAATCTGCTCTCTCTAAAGCAAGGTTCAACTCTGTGAGTTGAATACACACAACACAAAAAGTTACTGAGAACTCTTCTTAGTCTAGCATGAAAGGAAGAAACCCCGTTTGCAACGAAGGCCTCAAAGAGGTCCAAATATCCACTTGCAGACATAACAAGCAGAGTGTTTCTAAAGTGCTCTAAGAAAAGAAAGGTTAAACTCTGTGAGTTGAAGGCACACATCACAAAGTAGTTTCTGAGAATGATTCTGTCTAGTTTTTATTTGAAGATATTTCCTTTTCTACTGTTGGCATCAAATCGCTTGAAATCTCCACTTGCAAACTCCACAAAAAGAGTGTTTCAAATCTGCTCTGTGTAAAGGGACGTTCCACTCTGTGAGTTGAATACACACAGCACAAAGAAGTTACTGAGAATTCTTCTGTCTAGCATGAAATGAAGAAATCCCGTTTCCAACGAAGGCCTCAATGCGGTCCATATATCCACTTGCAGACTTTACAAACAGAGTGTTTCCAAACTGCTCTATGAAAAGAAAGGTTAAACTATGTGAGTTGAACGCACACATCACAAAGAATTTTCTGAGAATGATTCTGTCTGGTTTTTATTTGAAGATATTTCCCTTTCTACTGTTGGCATCAAATGGCTAGAAATCTCCACTTGCAAATTCCGCAAAAAGAGTGTTTCAAATCTGCTCTGTCTAAAGGGACGTTCCACTCTGTGAGTTGAATGCACACAACACAAAGAATTTACTGAGAATTCTTCCGTCTAGCATTCAATGAAGAAATCCCGTTTCCAACGAAGGCCTCAAACAGGTCCATATATCCAATTGCAGACTTTACAAACAGTGTGTTTCCAAACTCCTCTATGAAAAGAAAGGTTAAACTCTGTGAGTGGAACGCACACATCACAAAGCACTTTCTGAGAATGATTCTGTCTGGTTATTATACGAAGATATTTCCTTTTCTGCAATTGTCCTCAAATCGCTTGAAATCTCCACCTGAAAATGCCACAGCAAGAGTGTTTCAAATCTGCTCTCTCTAAAGCAAGGTTCAACTCTGTGAGTTGAATACACACAACACAAAAAAGTTACTGAGAACTCTTCTTAGTCTAGCATGAAAGGAAGAAACCCCGTTTGCAACGAAGGCCTCAAAGAGGTCCAAATATCCACTTGCAGACATAACAAGCAGAGTGTTTCTAAACTGCTCTAAGAAAAGAAAGGTTAAACTCTGTGAGTTGAAGGCACACATCACAAAGTAGTTTCTGAGAATGATTCTGTCTAGTTTTTATTTGAAGATATTTCCTTTTCTACTGTTGGCATCAAATCGCTTGAAATCTCCACTTGCAAACTCCACAAAAAGAGTGTTTCAAATCTGCTCTGTGCAAAGGGACGTTCCACTCTGTGAGTTGAATACACACAGCACAAAGAAGTTACTGAGAATTCTTGTCTAGCATGAAATGAAGAAATCCCGTTTCCAACGAAGGCCTCAATGCGGTCTATATATCCACTTGCAGACATCACAAACAGAGTGTTTCCAAACTGCTCTATGAAAAGAAAGGTTAAACTATGTGAGTTGAACGCACACATCACAAAGAATTTTCTGAGAATGATTCTGTCTGGTTTTTATTTGAAGATATTTCCCTTTCTACTGTTGGCATCAAATGGCTAGAAATCTCCACTTGCAAATTCCGCAAAAAGAGTGTTTCAAATCTGCTCTGTCTAAAGGGACGTTCCACTCTGTGAGTTGAATGCACACCACACAAAGAATTTACTGAGAATTCTTCCGCCTAGCATTCAATGAAGAAATCCCGTTTCCAACGAAGGCCTCAAACAGGTCCATATATCCACTTGCAGACTTTACAAACAGTGTGTTTCCAAACTCCTCTATGAAAAGAAAGGTTAAACTCTGTGAGTGGAACGCACACATCACAAAGCACTTTCTGAGAATGATTCTGTCTGGTTGTTATACGAAGATATTTCCTTTTCTGCAATTGTCCTCAAATCGCTTGAAATCTCCACCTGAAAATGCCACAGCAAGAGTGTTTCAAATCTGCTCTCTCTAAAGCAAGGTTCAACTCTGTGAGTTGAATACACACAGCACAAAAAAGTTACTGAGAACTCTTCTTAGTCTAGCATGAAAGGAAGAAACCCCGTTTGCAACGAAGGCCTCAAAGAGGTCCAAATATCCACTTGCAGACATAACAAGCAGAGTGTTTCTAAACTGCTCTAAGAAAAGAAAGGTTAAACTCTGTGAGTTGAAGGCACACATCACAAAGTAGTTTCTGAGAATGGTTCTGTCTAGTTTTTATTTGAAGATATTTCCTTTTCTACTGTTGGCATCAAATCGCTTGAAATCTCCACTTGCAAATTCCACAAAAAGAGTGTTTCAAATCTGCTCTGTGCAAAGGGACGTTCCACTCTGTGAGTTGAATACACACAGCACAAAGAAGTTACTGAGAATTCTTCTGTCTAGCATGAAATGAAGAAATCCCGTTTCCAACGAAGGCCTCAATGCGGTCCATATATCCACTTGCAGACTTTACAAACAGAGTGTTTCCAAACTGCTCTATGAAAAGAAAGGTTAAACTATGTGAGTTGAACGCACACATCACAAAGAATTTTCTGAGAATGATTCTGTCTGGTTTTTATTTGAAGATATTTCCCTTTCTACTGTTGGCATCAAATGGCTAGAAATCTCCACTTGCAAATTCCGCAAAAAGAGTGTTTCAAATCTGCTCTGTCTAAAGGGACGTTCCACTCTGTGAGTTGAATGCACACCACACAAAGAATTTACTGAGAATTCTTCCGTCTAGCATTCAATGAAGAAATCCCGTTTCCAACGAAGGCCTCAAACAGGTCCATATATCCAATTGCAGACTTTACAAACAGTGTGTTTCCAAACTCCTCTATGAAAAGAAAGGTTAAACTCTGTGAGTTGAACGCACACATCACAAAGCACTTTCTGAGAATGATTCTGTCTGGTTGTTATACGAAGATATTTCCTTTTCTGCAATTGTCCTCAAATCGCTTGAAATCTCCACCTGAAAATGCCACAGCAAGAGTGTTTCAAATCTGCTCTCTCTAAAGCAAGGTTCAACTCTGTGAGTTGAATACACACAACACAAAAAAGTTACTGAGAACTCTTCTTAGTCTAGCATGAAAGGAAGAAACCCCGTTTGCAACGAAGGCCTCAAAGAGGTCCAAATATCCACTTGCAGACATAACAAGCAGAGTGTTTCTAAACTGCTCTAAGAAAAGAAAGGTTAAACTCTGTGAGTTGAAGGCACACATCACAAAGTAGTTTCTGAGAATGGTTCTGTCTAGTTTTTATTTGAAGATATTTCCTTTTCTACTGTTGGCATCAAATCGCTTGAAATCTCCACTTGCAAATTCCACAAAAAGAGTGTTTCAAATCTGCTCTGTGCAAACGGACGTTCCAGTCTGTGAGTTGAATACACACAGCACAGAGAAGTTACTGAGAATTCTTCTGTCTAGCATGAAATGAAGAAATCCCGTTTCCAACGAAGGCCTCAATGCGGTCCATATATCCACTTGCAGACTTTACAAACAGAGTGTTTCCAAACTGCTCTATGAAAAGAAAGGTTAAACTATGTGAGTTGAACGCACACATCACAAAGAATTTTCTGAGAATGATTCTGTCTGGTTTTTATTTGAAGATGTTTCCCTTTCTACTGTTGGCATCAAATGGCTAGAAATCTCCACTTGCAAATTCCGCAAAAAGAGTGTTTCAAATCTGCTCTGTCTAAAGGGACGTTCCACTCTGTCAGTTGAATGCACACAACACAAAGAATTTACTGAGAATTCTTCCGTCTAGCATTCAATGAAGAAATCCCGTTTCCAACGAAGGCCTCAAACAGGTCCATATATCCACTTGCAGACTTTACAAACAGACTGTTTCCAAACTCCTCTATGAAAAGAAAGGTTAAACTATGTGAGTTGAACGCACACATCACAAAGAATTTTCTGAGAATGATTCTGTCTGGTTATTATACGAAGATATTTCCTTTTCTGCAATTGTCCTCAAATCGCTTGAAATCTCCACCTGAAAATGCCACAGCAAGAGTGTTTCAAATCTGCTCTCTCTAAAGCAAGGTTCAACTCTGTGAGTTGAATACACACAACACAAAAAAGTTACTGAGAACTCTTCTTAGTCTAGCATGAAAGGAAGAAACCCCGTTTGCAACGAAGGCCTCAAAGAGGTCCAAATATCCACTTGCAGACATAACAAGCAGAGTGTTTCTAAACTGCTCTAAGAAAAGAAAGGTTAAACTCTGTGAGTTGAAGGCACACATCACAAAGTAGTTTCTGAGAATGATTCTGTCTAGTTTTTATTTGAAGATATTTCCTTTTCTACTGTTGGCATCAAATCGCTTGAAATCTCCACTTGCAAACTCCACAAAAAGAGTGTTTCAAATCTGCTCTGTGCAAAGGGACGTTCCACTCTGTGAGTTGAATACACACAGCACAAAGAAGTTACTGAGAATTCTTCTGTCTAGCATGAAATGAAGAAATCCCGTTTCCAACGAAGGCCTCAATGCGGTCCATATATCCACTTGCAGACTTTACAAACAGAGTGTTTCCAAACTGCTCTATGAAAAGAAAGGTTAAACTATGTGAGTTGAACGCACACATCACAAAGAATTTTCTGAGAATGATTCTGTCTGGTTTTTATTTGAAGATATTTCCCTTTCTACTGTTGGCATCAAATGGCTAGAAATCTCCACTTGCAAATTCCGCAAAAAGAGTGTTTCAAATCTGCTCTGTCTAAAGGGACGTTCCACTCTGTGAGTTGAATGCACACAACACAAAGAATTTACTGAGAATTCTTCCGTCTAGCATTCAATGAAGAAATCCCGTTTCCAACGAAGGCCTCAAACAGGTCCATATATCCACTTGCAGACTTTACAAACAGTGTGTTTCCAAACTCCTCTATGAAAAGAAAGGTTAAATTCTGTGAGTTGAACGCACACATCACAAAGCACTTTCTGAGTATGATTCTGTCTGGTTATTATACGAAGATATTTCCTTTTCTGCAATTGTCCTCAAATCGCTTGAAATCTCCACCTGAAAATGCCACAGCAAGAGTGTTTCAAATCTGCTCTCTCTAAAGCAAGGTTCAACTCTGTGAGTTGAATACACACAACACAAAAAAGTTACTGAGAACTCTTCTTAGTCTAGCATTAAAGGAAGAAACCCCGTTTGCAACGAAGGCCTCAAAGAGGTCCAAATATCAACTTGCAGACATAACAAGCAGAGTGTTTCTAAACTGCTCTAAGAAAAGAAAGGTTAAACTCTGTGAGTTGAAGGCACACATCACAAAGTAGTTTCTGAGAATGATTCTGTCTAGTTTTTATTTGAAGATACTTCCTTTTCTACTGTTGGCATCAAATCGCTTGAAATCTCCACTTGCAAACTCCACAAAACGAGTGTTTCAAATCTGCTCTGTGTAAAGGGACGTTCCACTCTGTGAGTTGAATACACACAGCACAAAGAAGTTACTGAGAATTCTTCTGTCTAGCATGAAATGAAGAAATCCCGTTTCCAACGAAGGCCTCAATGCGGTCCATAGATCCACTTGCAGACTTTACAAACAGAGTGTTTCCAAACTGCTCTATGAAAAGAAAGGTTAAACTATGTGAGTTGAACGCACACATCACAAAGAATTTTCTGAGAATGATTCTGTCTGGTTTTTATTTGAAGATATTTCCCTTTCTACTGTTGGCATCAAATGGCTAGAAATCTCCACTTGCAAATTCCACATAAAGAGTGTTTCAAATCTGCTCTGTCTAAAGGGACGTTCCACTCTGTGAGTTGAATGCACACAACACAAAGAATTTACTGAGAATTCTTCCGTCTAGCATTCAATGAAGAAATCCCGTTTCCAACGAAGGCCTCAAACAGGTCCATATATCCACTTGCAGACTTTACAAACAGTGTGTTTCCAAACTCCTCTATGAAAAGAAAGGTTAAACTCTGTGAGTTGAACGCACACATCACAAAGCACTTTCTGAGAATGATTCTGTCTGGTTATTATACGAAGATATTTCCTTTTCTGCAATTGTCCTCAAATCGCTTGAAATCTCCACCTGAAAATGCCACAGCAAGAGTGTTTCAAATCTGCTCTCTCTAAAGCAAGGTTCAACTCTGTGAGTTGAATACACACAACACAAAAAGGTTACTGAGAACTCTTCTTAGTCTAGCATTAAAGGAAGAAACCCCGTTTGCAACGAAGGCCTCAAAGAGGTCCAAATATCCACTTGCAGACATAACAAGCAGAGTGTTTCTAAGCTGCTCTAAGAAAAGAAAGGTTAAACTCTGTGAGTTGAAGGCACACATCACAAAGTAGTTTCTGAGAATGATTCTGTCTAGTTTTTATTTGAAGATATTTCCTTTTCTACTGTTGGCATCAAATCGCTTGAAATCTCCACTTGCAAACTCCACAAAAAGAGTGTTTCAAATCTGCTCTGTGCAAAGGGACGTTCCACTCTGTGAGTTGAATACACACAGCACAAAGAAGTTACTGAGAATTCTTCTGTCTAGCATGAAATGAAGAAATCCCGTTTCCAACGAAGGCCTCAATGCGGTCCATATATCCACTTGCAGACTTTACAAACAGAGTGTTTCCAAACTGCTCTATGAAAAGAAAGGTTAAACTATGTGAGTTGAACGCACACATCACAAAGAATTTTCTGAGAATGATTCTGTCTGGTTTTTATTTGAAGATATTTCCCTTTCTACTGTTGGCATCAAATGGCTAGAAATCTCCACTTGCAAATTCCGCAAAAAGAGTGTTTCAAATCTGCTCTGTCTAAAGGGACGTTCCACTCTGTGAGTTGAATGCACACAACACAAAGAATTTACTGAGAATTCCTCCGTCTAGCATTCAATGAAGAAATCCCGTTTCCAACGAAGGCCTCAAACAGGTCCATATATCCACTTGCAGAGTTTACAAACAGTGTGTTTCCAAACTCCTCTATGAAAAGAAAGGTTAAACTCTGTGAGTGGAACGCACACATCACAAAGCACTTTCTGAGAATGATTCTGTCTGGTTATTATACGAAGATATTTCCTTTTCTGCAATTGTCCTCAAAACGCTTGAAATCTCCACCTGAAAATGCCACAGCAAGAGTGTTTCAAATCTGCTCTCTCTAAAGCAAGGTTCAACTCTGTGAGTTGAATACACACAACACAAAAAAGTTACTGAGAACTCTTCTTAGTCTAGCATGAAAGGAAGAAACCCCGTTTGCAACGAAGGCCTCAAAGAGGTCCAAATATCCACTTGCAGACATAACAAGCAGAGTGTTTCTAAACTGCTCTAAGAAAAGAAAGGTTAAACTCTGTGAGTTGAAGGCACACATCACAAAGTAGTTTCTGAGAATGATTCTGTCTAGTTTTTATTTGAAGATATTTCCTTTTCTACTGTTGGCATCAAATCGCTTGAAATCTCCACTTGCAAACTCCACAAAAAGAGTGTTTCAAATCTGCTCTGTGCAAAGGGACGTTCCACTCTGTGAGTTGAATACACACAGCACAAAGAAGTTACTGAGAATTCTTCTGTCTAGCATGAAATGAAGAAATCCCGTTTCCAACGAAGGCCTCAATGCGGTCCATATATCCACTTGCAGACTTTACAAACAGAGTGTTTCCAAACAGCTCTATGAAAAGAAAGGTTAAACTATGTGAGTTGAACGCACACATCACAAAGAATTTTCTGAGAATGATTCTGTCTGGTTTTTATTTGAAGATATTTCCCTTTCTACTGTTGGCATCAAATGGCTAGAAATCTCCACTTGCAAATTCCGCAAAAAGAGTGTTTCAAATCTGCTCTGTCTAAAGGAACGTTCCACTCTGTGAGTTGAATGCACACAACACAAAGAATTTACTGAGAATTCTTCCGTCTAGCATTCAATGAAGAAATCCCGTTTCCAACGAAGGCCTCAAACAGGTCCATATATCCAATTGCAGACTTTACAAACAGTGTGTTTCCAAACTCCTTTATGAAAAGAAAGGTTAACTCTGTGAGTTGAATGCACACATCACAAAGCACTTTCTGATAATGATTCTGTCTAGTTTTTGTTTGCAGATATTTCCTTTTCTACTGTTGGCATCAAATCGCTTGAAATCTCCACTTGCAAATTCCACAAAAAGAGTGTTTCAAATCTGCTCTGTGTAAAGGGACGTTCCAATCTGTGAGTTGAATACACACAACACAATGAAGTTACTGAGAATTCTTCTGTCTAGCATGAAATGAAGAAATCCCGTTTCCAACGAAGGCCTCAAAGCGGTCCATATATCCACTTGCAGACATTACCAACAGAGTGTTCCCAAACTGCTCTATGAAAAGAAAGGTTAAACTATGTGAGTTGAACGCACACATCACAAAGAATTTTCTGAGAATGATTCTGTCTGGTTTTTATTTGAAGATATTTCCCTTTCTACTGTTGGCATCAAATGGCTAGAAATCTCCACTTGCAAATTCCGCAAAAAGAGTGTTTCAAATCTGCTCTGTCTAAAGGGACGTTCCACTCTGTGAGTTGAATGCACACAACACAAAGAATTTACTGAGAATTCTCCGTCTAGCATTCAATGAAGAAATCCCGTTTCCAACGAAGGCCTCAAACAGGTCCATATATCCACTTGCAGACTTTACAAACAGTGTGTTTCCAAACTCCTCTATGAAAAGAAAGGTTAAACTCTGTGAGTGGAACGCACACATCACAAAGCACTTTCTGAGAATGATTCTGTCTGGTTATTATACGAAGATATTTCCTTTTCTGCAATTGTCCTCAAAACGCTTGAAATCTCCACCTGAAAATGCCACAGCAAGAGTGTTTCAAATCTGCTCTCTCTAAAGCAAGGTTCAACTCTGTGAGTTGAATACACACAACACAAAAAAGTTACTGAGAACTCTTCTTAGTCTAGCATGAAAGGAAGAAACCCCGTTTGCAACGAAGGCCTCAAAGAGGTCCAAATATCCACTTGCAGACATAACAAGCAGAGTGTTTCTAAACTGCTCTAAGAAAAGAAAGGTTAAACTCTGTGAGTTGAAGGCACACATCACAAAGTAGTTTCTGAGAATGATTCTGTCTAGTTTTTATTTGAAGATATTTCCTTTTCTACTGTTGGCATCAAATCGCTTGAAATCTCCACTTGCAAACTCCACAAAAAGAGTGTTTCAAATCTGCTCTGTGCAAAGGGACGTTCCACTCTGTGAGTTGAATACACACAGCACAAAGAAGTTACTGAGAATTCTTCTGTCTAGCATGAAATGAAGAAATCCCGTTTCCAACGAAGGCCTCAATGCGGTCCATATATCCACTTGCAGACTTTACAAACAGAGTGTTTCCAAACTGCTCTATGAAAAGAAAGGTTAAACTATGTGAGTTGAACGCACACATCACAAAGAATTTTCTGAGAATGATTCTGTCTGGTTTTTATTTGAAGATATTTCCCTTTCTACTGTTGGCATCAAATGGCTAGAAATCTCCACTTGCAAATTCCGCAAAAAGAGTGTTTCAAATCTGCTCTGTCTAAAGGGACGTTCCACTCTGTGAGTTGAATGCACACAACACAAAGAATTTACTGAGAATTCTTCCGTCTAGCATTCAATGAAGAAATCCCGTTTCCAACGAAGGCCTCAAACAGGTCCATATATCCAATTGCAGACTTTACAAACAGTGTGTTTCCAAACTCCTCTATGAAAAGAAAGGTTAAACTCTGTGAGTTGAACGCACACATCACAAAGCACTTTCTGAGAATGATTCTGTCTGGTTATTATACGAAGATATTTCCTTTTCTGCAATTGTCCTCAAATCGCTTGAAATCTCCACCTGAAAATGCCACAGCAAGAGTGTTTCAAATCTGCTCTCTCTAAAGCAAGGTTCAACTCTGTGAGTTGAATACACACAACACAAAAAAGTTACTGAGAACTCTTCTTAGTCTAGCATTAAAGGAAGAAACCCCGTTTACAACGAAGGCCTCAAAGAGGTCCAAATATCCACTTGCAGACATAACAAGCAGAGTGTTTCTAAACTGCTCTAAGAAAAGAAAGGTTAAACTCTGTGAGTTGAAGGCACACATCACAAAGTAGTTTCTGAGAATGATTCTGTCTAGTTTTTATTTGAAGATATTTCCTTTTCTACTGTTGGCATCAAATCGCTTGAAATCTCCACTTGCAAACTCCACAAAAAGAGTGTTTCAAATCTGCTCTGTGTAAAGGGACGTTCCACTCTGTGAGTTGAATACACACAGCACAAAGAAGTTGCTGAGAATTCTTCTGTCTAGCATGAAATGAAGAAATCCCGCTTCCAACGAAGGCCTCAATGCGGTCCATATATCCACTTGCAGACTTTACAAACAGAGTGTTTCCAAACTGCTCTATGAAAAGAAAGGTTAAACTATGTGAGTTGAACGCACACATCACAAAGAATTTTCTGAGAATGATTCTGTCTGGTTTTTATTTGAAGATATTTCCCTTTCTACTGTTGGCATCAAATGGCTAGAAATCTCCACTTGCAAATTCCGCAAAAAGAGTGTTTCAAATCTGCTCTGTCTAAAGGGACGTTCCACTCTGTGAGTTGAATGCACACAACACAAAGAATTTACTGAGAATTCTTCCGTCTAGCATTCAATGAAGAAATCCCGTTTCCAACGAAGGCCTCAAACAGGTCCATATATCCACTTGCAGACTTTACAAACAGTGTGTTTCCAAACTCCTCTATGAAAAGAAAGGTTAAACTCTGTGAGTTGAACGCACACATCACAAAGCACTTTCTGAGAATGATTCTGTCTGGTTATTATACGAAGATATTTCCTTTTCTGCAATTGTCCTCAAATCGCTTGAAATCTCCACCTGAAAATTCCACAGCGAGAGTGTTTCAAATCTGCTCTCTCTAAAGCAAGGTTCAACTCTGTGAGTTGAATACACACAACACAAAAAAGTTACTGAGAACTCTTCTTAGTCTAGCATTAAAGGAAGAAACCCCGTTTGCAACGAAGGCCTCAAAGAGGTCCAAATATCCACTTGCAGACATAACAAGCAGAGTGTTTCTAAGCTGCTCTAAGAAAAGAAAGGTTAAACTCTGTGAGTTGAAGGCACACATCACAAAGTAGTTTCTGAGAATGATTTCTGTCTAGTTTTTATTTGAAGATATTTCCTTTTCTACTGTTGGCATCAAATCGCTTGAAATCTCCACTTGCAAACTCCACAAAAAGAGTGTTTCAAATCTGCTCTGTGCAAAGGGACGTTCCACTCTGTGAGTTGAATACACACAGCACAAAGAAGTTACTGAGAATTCTTCTGTCTAGCATGAAATGAAGAAATCCCGTTTCCAACGAAGGCCTCAATGCGGTCCATAGATCCACTTGCAGACTTTACAAACAGAGTGTTTCCAAACTGCTCTATGAAAAGAAAGGTTAAACTATGTGAGTTGAACGCACACATCACAAAGAATTTTCTGAGAATGATTCTGTCTGGTTTTTATTTGAAGATATTTCCCTTTCTACTGTTGGCATCAAATGGCTAGAAATCTCCACTTGCAAATTCCGCAAAAAGAGTGTTTCAAATCTGCTCTGTCTAAAGGGACGTTCCACTCTGTGAGTTGAATGCACACAACACAAAGAATTTACTGAGAATTCTTCCGTCTAGCATTCAATGAAGAAATCCCGTTTCCAACAAAGGCCTCAAACAGGTCCATATATCCAATTGCAGACTTTACAAACAGTGTGTTTCCAAACTCCTCTATGAAAAGAAAGGTTAAACTCTGTGAGTTGAACGCACACATCACAAAGCACTTTCTGAGAATGATTCTGTCTGGTTATTATACGAAGATATTTCCTTTTCTGCAATTGTCCTCAAATCGCTTGAAATCTCCACCTGAAAATGCCACAGCAAGAGTGTTTCAAATCTGCTCTCTCTAAAGCAAGGTTCAACTCTGTGAGTTGAATACACACAACACAAAAAAGTTACTGAGAACTTTTCTTAGTCTAGCATTAAAGGAAAAAACCCCGTTTGCAACGAAGGCCTCAAAGAGGTGCAAATATCCACTTGCAGACATAACAAGCAGAGTGTTTCTAAACTGCTCTAAGAAAAGAAAGGTTAAACTCTGTGAGTTGAAGGCACACATCACAAAGAATTTTCTGAGAATGATTCTGTCTGGTTTTTATTTGAAGATATTTCCCTTTCTACTGTTGGCATCAAATGGCTAGAAATCTCCACTTGCAAATTCCGCAAAAAGAGTGTTTCAAATCTGCTCTGTGTAAAGGGACGTTCCACTCTGTGAGTTCAATGCACACAACACAAAGAATTTACTGAGAATTCTTCCGTCTAGCATTCAATGAAGAAATCCCGTTTCCAACGGAGGCCTCAAACAGGTCCATATATCCAATTGCAGACTTTACAGTGTGTTTCCAAGCTCCTCTATGAAAAGAAAGGTTAAACTCTGTGAGTTGAACGCACACATCACAAAGCACTTTCTGAGAATGATTCTGTCTGGTTATTATACGAAGATATTTCCTTTTCTGCAATTGTCCTCAAATCGCTTGAAATCTCCACCTGAAAATTCCACAGCAAGAGTGTTTCAAATCTGCTCTCTCTAAAGCAAGGTTCAACTCTTTGAGTTGAATACACACAACACAAAAAAGTTGCTGAGAACTCTTCTTAGTCTAGCATTAAAGGAAGAAACCCCGTTTGCAACGAAGGCCTCAAAGAGGTCCAAATATCCACTTGCAGACATAACAAGCAGAGTGTTTCTAAACTGCTCTAAGAAAAGAAAGGTTAAACTCTGTGAGTTGAAGGCACACATCACAAAGTAGTTTCTGAGAATGATTCTGTCTAGTTTTTATTTGAAGATATTTCCTTTTCTACTGTTGGCATCAAATCGCTTGAAATCTCCACTTGCAAACTCCACAAAAAGAGTGTTTCAAATCTGCTCTGTGCAAAGGGACGTTCCACTCTGTGAGTTGAATACACACAGCACAAAGAAGTTACTGAGAATTCTTCTGTCTAGCATGAAATGAAGAAATCCCGTTTCCAACGAAGGCCTCAATGCGGTCCATATATCCACTTGCAGACTTTACAAACAGAGTGTTTCCAAACTGCTCTATGAAAAGAAAGGTTAAACTATGTGAGTTGAACGCACACATCACAAAGAATTTTCTGAGAATGATTCTGTCTGGTTTTTATTTGAAGATATTTCCCTTTCTACTGTTGGCATCAAATGGCTAGAAATCTCCACTTGCAAATTCCGCAAAAAGAGTGTTTCAAATCTGCTCTGTCTAAAGGGACGTTCCACTCTGTGAGTTGAATGCACACAACACAAAGAATTTACTGAGAATTCTTCCGCCTAGCATTCAATGAAGAAATCCCGTTTCCAACGAAGGCCTCAAAGCGGTCCATATATCCACTTGCAGACTTTACAAACAGTGTGTTTCCAAACTCCTCTATGAAAAGAAAGGTTAAACTCTGTGAGTGGAACGCACACATCACAAAGCACTTTCTGAGAATGATTCGGTCTGGTTATTATACGAAGATATTTCCTTTTCTGCAATTGTCCTCAAATCGCTTGAAATCTCCACCTGAAAATGCCACAGCAAGAGTGTTTCAAATCTGCTCTCTCTAAAGCAAGGTTCAACTCTGTGAGTTGAATACACACAACACAAAAAAGTTACTGAGAACTCTTCTTAGTCTAGCATGAAAGGAAGAAACCCCGTTTGCAACGAAGGCCTCAAAGAGGTCCAAATATCCACTTGCAGACATAACAAGCAGAGTGTTTCTAAACTGCTCTAAGAAAAGAAAGGTTAAACTCTGTGAGTTGAAGGCACACATCACAAAGTAGTTTCTGAGAATGATTCTGTCTAGTTTTTATTTGAAGATATTTCCTTTTCTACTGTTGGCATCAAATCGCTTGAAATCTCCACTTGCAAATTCCACAAAAAGAGTGTTTCAAATCTGCTCTGTGCAAAGGGACGTTCCACTCTGTGAGTTGAATACACACAGCACAAAGAAGTTACTGAGAATTCTTCTGTCTAGCATGAAATGAAGAAATCCCGTTTCCAACGAAGGCCTCAATGCGGTCCATATATCCACTTGCAGACTTTGCAAACAGAGTGTTTCCAAACTGCTCTATGAAAAGAAAGGTTAAACTATGTGATTTGAACGCACACATCACAAAGAATTTTATGAGAATGATTCTGTCTGGTTTTTATTTGAAGATATTTCCCTTTCTACTGTTGGCATCAAATTGCTAGAAATCTCCACTTGCAAATTCCGCAAAAAGAGTGTTTCAAATCTGCTCTGTCTAAAGGGACGTTCCACTCTGTGAGTTGAATGCACACAACACAAAGAATTTACTGAGAATTCTTCCGTCTAGCATTCAATGAAGAAATCCGGTTTCCAACGAAGGCCTCAAACAGGTCCATATATCCACTTGCAGACTTTACAAACAGTGTGTTTCCAAACTCCTCTATGAAAAGAAAGGTTAAACTCTGTGAGTTGAACGCACACATCACAAAGCACTTTCTGAGAATGATCTGTCTGGTTATTATACGAAGATATTTCCTTTTCTGCAATTGTCCTCAAATCGCTTGAAATCTCCACCTGAAAATGCCACAGCAAGAGTGTTTCAAATCTGCTCTCTCTAAAGCAAGGTTCAACTCTGTGAGTTGAATACACACAACACAAAAAAGTTACTGAGAACTCTCTCTTAGTCTAGCATGAAAGGAAGAAACCCCGTTTGCAACGAAGGCCTCAAAGAGGTCCAAATATCCACTTGCAGACATAACAAGCAGAGTGTTTCTAAAGTGCTCTAAGAAAAGAAAGGTTAAACTCTGTGAGTTGAAGGCACACATCACAAAGTAGTTTCTGAGAATGATTCTGTCTAGTTTTTATTTGAAGATATTTCCTTTTCTACTGTTGGCATCAAATCGCTTGAAATCTCCACTTGCAAACTCCACAAAAAGAGTGTTTCAAATCTGCTCTGTGTAAAGGGACGTTCCACTCTGTGAGTTGAATACACACAGCACAAAGAAGTTACTGAGAATTCTTCTGTCTAGCATGAAATGAAGAAATCCCGTTTCCAACGAAGGCCTCAATGCGGTCCATATATCCACTTGCAGACTTTACAAACAGAGTGTTTCCAAACTGCTCTATGAAAAGAAAGGTTAAACTATGTGAGTTGAACGCACACGTCACAAAGAATTTTCTGAGAATGATTCTGTCTGGTTTTTATTTGAAGATATTTCCCTTTCTACTGTTGGCATCAAATGGCTAGAAATCTCCACTTGCAAATTCCGCAAAAAGAGTGTTTCAAATCTGCTCTGTCTAAAGGGACGTTCCACTCTGTGAGTTGAATGCACACAACACAAAGAATTTACTGAGAATTCTTCCGTCTAGCATTCAATGAAGAAATCCCGTTTCCAACGAAGGCCTCAAACAGGTCCATATATCCACTTGCAGACTTTACAAACAGTGTGTTTCCAAACTCCTCTATGAAAAGAAAGGTTAAACTCTGTGAGTGGAACGCACACATCACAAAGCACTTTCTGAGAATGATTCTGTCTGGTTATTATACGAAGATATTTCCTTTTCTGCAATTGTCCTCAAATCGCTTGAAATCTCCACCTGAAAATGCCACAGCAAGAGTGTTTCAAATCTGCTCTCTCTAAAGCAAGGTTCAACTCTGTGAGTTGAATACACACAACACAAAAAAGTTACTGAGAACTCTTCTTAGTCTAGCATGAAAGGAAGAAACCCCGTTTGCAACGAAGGCCTCAAAGAGGTCCAAATATCCACTTGCAGACATAACAAGCAGAGTGTTTCTAAACTGCTCTAAGAAAAGAAAGGTTAAACTCTGTGAGTTGAAGGCACACATCACAAAGTAGTTTCCTGAGAATGATTCTGTCTAGTTTTTATTTGAAGATATTTCCTTTTCTACTGTTGGCATCAAATCGCTTGAAATCTCCACTTGAAACTCCACAAAAAGAGTGTTTCAAATCTGCTCTGTGCAAAGGGACGTTCCACTCTGTGAGTTGAATACACACAGCACAAAGAAGTTACTGAGAATTCTTCTGTCTAGCATGAAATGAAGAAATCCCGTTTCCAACGAAGGCCTCAATGCGGTCCATATATCCACTTGCAGACTTTACAAACAGAGTGTTTCCAAACTGCTCTATGAAAAGAAAGGTTAAACTATGTGAGTTGAACGCACACATCACAAAGAATTTTCTGAGAATGATTCTGTCTGGTTTTTATTTGAAGATATTTCCCTTTCTACTGTTGGCATCAAATGGCTAGAAATCTCCACTTGCAAATTCCGCAAAAAGAGTGTTTCAAATCTGCTCTGTCTAAAGGGACGTTCCACTCTGTGAGTTGAATGCACACAACACAAAGAATTTACTGAGAATTCTTCCGTCTAGCATGCAATGAAGAAATCCCGTTTCCAACGAAGGCCTCAAACAGGTCCATATATCCAATTGCAGACTTTACAAACAGTGTGTTTCCAAACTCCTCTATGAAAAGAAAGGTTAAACTCTGTGAGTTGAACGCACACATCACAAAGCACTTTCTGAGAATGATTCTGTCTGGTTGTTATACGAAGATATTTCCTTTTCTGCAATTGTCCTCAAATCGCTTGAAATCTCCACCTGAAAATGCCACAGCAAGAGTGTTTCAAATCTGCTCTCTCTAAAGCAAGGTTCAACTCTGTGAGTTGAATACACACAACACAAAAAAGTTACTGAGAACTCTTCTTAGTCTAGCATGAAAGGAAGAAACCCCGTTTGCAACGAAGGCCTCAAAGAGGTCCAAATATCCACTTGCAGACATAACAAGCAGAGTGTTTCTAAACTGCTCTAAGAAAAGAAAGGTTAAACTATGTGAGTTGAACGCACACATCACAAAGAATTTTCTGAGAATGATTCTGTCTGGTTTTTATTTGAAGATATTTCCCTTTCTACTGTTGGCATCAAATGGCTAGAAATCTCCACTTGCAAATTCCGCAAAAAGAGTGTTTCAAATCTGCTCTGTCTAAAGGGACGTTCCACTCTGTGAGTTGAATGCACACAACACAAAGAATTTACTGAGAATTCTTCCGTCTAGCATTCAATGAAGAAATCCCGTTTCCAACGAAGGCCTCAAACAGGTCCATATATCCACTTGCAGACTTTACAAACAGTGTGTTTCCAAACTCCTCTATGAAAAGAAAGGTTAAACTCTGTGAGTGGAACGCACACATCACAAAGCACTTTCTGAGAATGATTCTGTCTGGTTGTTATACGAAGATATTTCCTTTTCTGCAATTGTCCTCAAATCGCTTGAAATCTCCACCTGAAAATGCCACAGCAAGAGTGTTTCAAATCTGCTCTCTCTAAAGCAAGGTTCAACTCTGTGAGTTGAATACACACAACACAAAAAAGTTACTGAGAACTCTTCTTAGTCTAGCATGAAAGGAAGAAACCCCGTTTGCAACGAAGGCCTCAAAGAGGTCCAAATATCCACTTGCAGACATAACAAGCAGAGTGTTTCTAAACTGCTCTAAGAAAAGAAAGGTTAAACTCTGTGAGTTGAAGGCACACATCACAAAGTAGTTTCTGAGAATGATTCTGTCTAGTTTTTATTTGAAGATATTTCCTTTTCTACTGTTGGCATCAAATCGCTAGAAATCTCCACTTGCAAATTCCACAAAAAGAGTGTTTCAAATCTGCTCTGTGCAAAGGGACGTTCCACTCTGTGAGTTGAATACACACAGCACAAAGAAGTTACTGAGAATTCTTCTGTCTAGCATGAAATGAAGAAATCTCGTTTCCAACGAAGGCCTCAATGCGGTCCATATATCCACTTGCAGACTTTACAAACAGAGTGTTTCCAAACTGCTCTATGAAAAGAAAGGTTAAACTATGTGAGTTGAACGCACACATCACAAAGAATTTTCTGAGAATGATTCTGTCTGGTTTTTATTTGAAGATATTTCCCTTTCTACTGTTGGCATCAAATGGCTAGAAATCTCCACTTGCAAATTCCGCAAAAAGTGTGTTTCAAATCTGCTCTGTCTAAAGTGACGTTCCACTCTGTGAGTTGAATGCACACAACACAAAGAATTTACTGAGAATTCTTCCGTCTAGCATTCAATGAAGAAATCCCGTTTCCAACGAAGGGCCTCAAACAGGTCCATATATCCAATTGCAGACTTTACAAACAGTGTGTTTCCAAACTCCTCTATGAAAAGAAAGATTAAACTCTGTGAGTTGAACGCACACATCACAAAGCACTTTCTGAGAATGATTCTGTCTGGTTGTTATACGAAGATATTTCCTTTTCTGCAATTGTCCTCAAATCGCTTGAAATCTCCACCTGAAAATGCCACAGCAAGAGTGTTTCAAATCTGCTCTCTCTAAAGCAAGGTTCAACTCTGTGAGTTGAATGCACACAACACAAAAAAGTTACTGAGAACTCTTCTTAGTCTAGCATGAAAGGAAGAAACCCCGTTTGCAACGAAGGCCTCAAAGAGGTCCAAATATCCACTTGCAGACATAACAAGCAGAGTGTTTCTAAACTGCTCTAAGAAAAGAAAGGTTAAACTCTGTGAGTTGAAGGCACACATCACAAAGTAGTTTCTGAGAATGATTCTGTCTAGTTTTTATTTGAAGATATTTCCTTTTCTACTGTTGGCATCAAATCGCTTGAAATCTCCACTTGCAAAGTCCACAAAAAGAGTGTTTCAAATCTGCTCTGTGCAAAGGGACGTTCCACTCTGTGAGTTGAATACACACAGCACAAAGAAGTTACTGAGAATTCTTCTGTCTAGCATGAAATGAAGAAATCTCGTTTCCAACGAAGGCCTCAATGCGGTCCATATATCCACTTGCAGACTTTACAAACAGAGTGTTTCCAAACTGCTCTATGAAAAGAAAGGTTAAACTATGTGAGTTGAACGCACACATCACAAAGAATTTTCTGAGAATGATTCTGTCTGGTTTTTATTTGAAGATATTTCCCTTTCTACTGTTGGCATCAAATGGCTAGAAATCTCCACTTGCAAATTCCGCAAAAAGAGTGTTTCAAATCTGCTCTGTCTAAAGGGACGTTCCACTCTGTGAGTTGAATGCACACAACACAAAGAATTTACTGAGAATTCTTCCGTCTAGCATTCAATGAAGAAATCCCGTTTCCAAAGAAGGCCTCAAAGAGGTCCAAATATCCACTTGCAGACATAACAAGCAGAGTGTTTCTAAACTGCTCTAAGAAAAGAAAGGTTAAACTCTGTGAGTTGAAGGCACACATCACAAAGTAGTTTCTAAATGATTCTGTCTAGTTTTTATTTGAAGATATTTCCTTTTCTACTGTTGGCATCAAATCGCTTGAAATCTCCACTTGCAAATTCCACAAAGAGTGTTTCAAATCTGCTCTGTGCAAAGGGACGTTCCACTCTGTGAGTTGAATACACACAGCACAAAGAAGTTACTGAGAATTCTTCTGTCTAGCATGAAATGAAGAAATCCCGTTTCCAACGAAGGCCTCAATGCGGTCCATATATCCACTTGCAGACTTTACAAACAGAGTGTTTCCAAACTGCTCTATGAAAAGAAAGGTTAAACTATGTGAGTTGAACGCACACATCACAAAGAATTTTCTGAGAATGATTCTGTCTGGTTTTTATTTGAAGATATTTCCCTTTCTACTGTTGGCATCAAATGGCTAGAAATCTCCACTTGCAAATTCCGCAAAAAGAGTGTTTCAAATCTGCTCTGTCTAAAGGGACGTTCCACTCTGTGAGTTGAATGCACACAACACAAAGAATTTACTGAGAATTCTTCCGTCTAGCATTCAATGAAGAAATCCCGTTTCCAACGAAGGCCTCAAACAGGTCCATATATCCACTTGCAGACTTTACAAACAGTGTGTTTCCAAACTCCTCTATGAAAAGAAAGGTTAAACTCTGTGAGTGGAACGCACACATCACAAAGCACTTTCTGAGAATGATTATCTGTCTGGTTATTATACGAAGATATTTCCTTTTCTGCAATTGTCCTCAAATCGCTTGAAATCTCCACCTGAAAATGCCACAGCAAGAGTGTTTCAAATCTGCTCTCTCTAAAGCAAGGTTCAACTCTGTGAGTTGAATACACACAACACAAAAAAGTTACTGAGAACTCTTCTTAGTCTAGCATGAAAGGAAGAAACCCCGTTTGCAACGAAGGCCTCAAAGAGGTCCAAATATCCACTTGCAGACATAACAAGCAGAGTGTTTCTAAACTGCTCTAAGAAAAGAAAGGTTAAACTCTGTGAGTTGAAGGCACACATCACAAAGTAGTTTCTGAGAATGATTCTGTCTAGTTTTTATTTGAAGATATTTCCTTTTCTACTGTTGGCATCAAATCGCTTGAAATCTCCACTTGCAAACTCCACAAAAAGAGTGTTTCAAATCTGCTCTGTGTAAAGGGACGTTCCACTCTGTGAGTTGAATACACACAGCACAAAGAAGTTACTGAGAATTCTTCTGTCTAGCATGAAATGAAGAAATCCCGTTTCCAACGAAGGCCTCAATGCGGTCCATATATCCACTTGCAGACTTTACAAACAGAGTGTTTCCAAACTGCTCTATGAAAAGAAAGGTTAAACTATGTGAGTTGAACGCACACATCACAAAGAATTTTCTGAGAATGATTCTGTCTGGTTTTTATTTGAAGATATTTCCCTTTCTACTGTTGGCATCAAATGGCTAGAAATCTCCACTTGCAAATTCCGCAAAAAGAGTGTTTCAAATCTGCTCTGTCTAAAGGGACGTTCCACTCTGTGAGTTGAATGCACACAACACAAAGAATTTACTGAGAATTCTTCCGTCTAGCATTCAATGAAGAAATCCCGTTTCCAACGAAGGCCTCAAACAGCTCCATATATCCAATTGCAGACTTTACAAACAGTGTGTTTCCAAACTCCTCTATGAAAAGAAAGGTTAAACTCTGTGAGTTGAACGCACACATCACAAAGCACTTTCTGAGAATGATTCTGTCTGGTTATTATACGAAGATATTTCCTTTTCTGCAATTGTCCTCAAATCGCTTGAAATCTCCACCTGAAAATGCCACAGCAAGAGTGTTTCAAATCTGCTCTCTCTAAAGCAAGGTTCAACTCTGTGAGTTGAATACACACAACACAAAAAAGTTACTGAGAACTCTTCTTAGTCTAGCATGAAAGGAAGAAACCCCGTTTGCAACGAAGGCCTCAAAGAGGTCCAAATATCCACTTGCAGACATAACAAGCAGAGTGTTTCTAAACTGCTCTAAGAAAAGAAAGGTTAAACTCTGTGAGTTGAAGGCACACATCACAAAGTAGTTTCTGAGAATGATTCTGTCTAGTTTTTATTTGAAGATATTTCCTTTTCTACTGTTGGCATCAAATCGCTTGAAATCTCCACTTGCAAATTGCACAAAAAGAGTGTTTCAAATCTGCTCTGTGCAAAGGGACGTTCCACTCTGTGAGTTGAATACACACAGCACAAAGAAGTTACTGAGAATTCTTCTGTCTAGCATGAAATGAAGAAATCCCGTTTCCAACGAAGGCCTCAATGCGGTCCATATATCCACTTGCAGACTTTACAAACAGAGTGTTTCCAAACTGCTCTATGAAAAGAAAGGTTAAACTATGTGAGTTGAACGCACACATCACAAAGAATTTTCTGAGAATGATTCTGTCTAGTTTTTATTTGAAGATATTTCCCTTTATACTGTTGGCATCAAATGGCTAGAAATCTCCACTTGCAAATTCCGCAAAAAGAGTGTTTCAAATCTGCTCTGTCTAAAGGGTCGTTCCACTCTGTGAGTTGAATGCACACAACACAAAGAATTTACTGAGAATTCTTCCGTCTAGCATTATATGATAAAATCCCGTTTCCAACGAAGGCCTTAAACAGGTCCATATATCCAATTGCAGACTTTACAAACAGTGTGTTTCCAAACTCCTCTATGAAAAGAAAGGTTAAACTCTGTGAGTTGAACGCACACATCACAAAGCACTTTCTGAGAATGATTCTGTCTAGTTTTTTTTTGCAGATATTTCCTTTTCTACTGTTGGCATCAAATCGCTTGAAATCTCCACTTGCAAATTCCACAAAAAGAGTGTTTCAAATCTGCTCTGTGTAAAGGGACGTTCCACTCTGTGAGTTGAATACACACAGCACAAAGAAGTTACTGAGAATTCTTCTGTCTAGCATGAAATGAAGAAATCCCGTTTCCAACGAAGGCCTCAATGCGGTCTATATATCCACTTGCAGACTTTACAAACAGAGTGTTTCCAAACTGCTCTATGAAAAGAAAGGTTAAACTATGTGAGTTGAACGCACACATCACAAAGAATTTTCTGAGAATGATTCTGTCTGGTTTTTATTTGAAGATATTTCCCTTTCTACTGTTGGCATCAAATGGCTAGAAATCTCCACTTGCAAATTCCGCAAAAAGAGTGTTTCAAATCTGCTCTGTCTAAAGGGACGTTCCACTCTGTGAGTTGAATGCACACAACACAAAGAATTTACTGAGAATTCTTCCGTCTAGCATTCAATGAAGAAATCCCTTTTCCAAAGAAGGCCTCAAACAGGTCCATATATCCAATTGCAGACTTTACAAACAGTGTGTTTCCAAACTCCTCTATGAAAAGAAAGGTTAAACTCTGTGAGTTGAACGCACACATCACAAAGCACTTTCTGAGAATGATTCTGTCTGGTTATTATACGAAGATAGTTCCTTTTCTGCAATTGTCCTCAAATCGCTTGAAATCTCCACCTGAAAATGCCACAGCAAGAGTGTTTCAAATCTGCTCTCTCTAAAGCAAGGTTCAACTCTGTGAGTTGAATACACACAACACAAAAAAGTTACTGAGAACTCTTCTTAGTCTAGCATTAAAGGAAGAAACCCCGTTTGCAACGAAGGCCTCAAAGAGGTCCAAATATCCACTTGCAGACATAACAAGCAGAGTGTTTCTAAACTGCTCTAAGAAAAGAAAGGTTAAACTCTGAGTTGAAGGCACACATCACAAAGTAGTTTCTGAGAATGATTCTGTCTAGTTTTTATTTGAAGATATTTCCTTTTCTACTGTTGGCATCAAATCGCTTGAAATCTCCACTTGCAAACTCCACAAAAAGAGTGTTTCAAATCTGCTCTGTGTAAAGGGACGTTCCACTCTGTGAGTTGAATACACACAGCACAAAGAAGTTACTGAGAATTCTTCTGTCTAGCACGAAATGAAGAAATCCCGTTTCCAACGAAGGCCTCAATGCGGTCTATATATCCACTTGCAGACTTTACAAACAGAGTGTTTCCAAACTGCTCTATGAAAAGAAAGGTTAAACTATGTGAGTTGAACGCACACATCACAAAGAATTTTCTGAGAATGATTCTGTCTGGTTTTTATTTGAAGATATTTCCCTTTCTACTGTTGGCATCAAATGGCTAGAAATCTCCACTTGCAAATTCCGCAAAAAGAGTGTTTCAAATCTGCTCTGTCTAAAGGGACGTTCCACTCTGTGAGTTGAATGCACACAACACGAAGAATTTACTGAGAATTCTTCCGTCTAGCATTCAATGAAGAAATCCCGTTTCCAACGAAGGCCTCAAACAGGTCCATATATCCAATTGCAGACTTTACAAACAGTGTGTTTCCAAACTCCTCTATGAAAAGAAAGATTAAACTCTGTGAGTTGAACGCACACATCACAAAGCACTTTCTGAGAATGATTCTGTCTGGTTATTATACGAAGATATTTCCTTTTCTGCAATTGTCCTCAAATCGCTTGAAATCTCCACCTGAAAATGCCACAGCAAGAGTGTTTCAAATCTGCTCTCTCTAAAGCAAGGTTCAACTCTGTGAGTTGAATACACACAACACAAAAAAGTTACTGAGAACTCTTCTTAGTCTAGCATGAAAGGAAGAAACCCCGTTTGCAACGAAGGCCTCAAAGAGGTCCAAATATCCACTTGCAGACATAACAAGCAGAGTGTTTCTAAACTGCTCTAAGAAAAGAAAGGTTAAACTCTGTGAGTTGAGGGCACACATCACAAAGAAGTTTCTGAGAATGATTCTGTCTAGTTTTTATTTGAAGATAATTCCTTTTCTACTGTTGGCATCAAATCGCTTGAAATCTCCACTTGCAATTTCCACAAAAAGAGTGTTTCAAATCTGCTCTGTGTAAAGGAACGTTCCACTCTGTGAGGTGAATACACACAGCACAAAGTAGTTACTGAGAATTCTTCTGTCTAGCATGAAATGAAGAAATCCCGTTTCCAACGAAGGCCTCAATGCGGTCCATATATCCACTTGCAGACTTTACCAACAGAGTGTTTCCAAACTGCTCTATGAAAAGAAAGGTTAAACTATGTGAGTTGAACGCACACATCACAAAGAATTTTCTGAGGATGATTCTGTCTAGTTTTTATTTGAAGATATTTCCCTTTCTACTGTTGGCATCAAATGGCTAGAAATCTCCACCTGCAAATTCCGCAAAAAGAGTGTTTCAAATCTGCTCTGTCTAAAGGGACGTTCCACTCTGTGAGTTGAATGCACACAACACAAAGAATTTACTGAGAATTCTTCCGTCTAGCATTCAATGAAGAAATCCCGTTTCCAACGAAGGCCTCAAACAGGTCCATATATCCAATTGCAGACTTTACAAACAGTGTGTTTCCAAACTCCTCTATGAAAAGAAAGGTTAAACTCTGTGAGTTGAACGCACACATCACAAAGCACTTTCTGAGAATGATTCTGTCTGGTTATTATACGAAGATATTTCCTTTTCTGCAATTGTCCTCAAATCGCTTGAAATCTCCACCTGAAAATGCCACAGCAAGAGTGTTTCAAATCTGCTCTCTCTAAAGCAAGGTTCAACTCTGTGAGTTGAATACACACAACACAAAAAAGTTACTGAGAACTCTTCTTAGTCTAGCATGAAAGGAAGAAACCCCGTTTGCAACGAAGGCCTCAAAGAGGTCCAAATATCAACTTGCAGACATAACAAGCAGAGTGTTTCTAAGCTGCTCTCAGAAAAGAAAGGTTAAACTCGGTGAGTTGAAGGCACACATCACAAAGTAGTTTCTGAGAATGATTCTGTCTAGTTTTTATTTGAAGATACTTCCTTTTCTACTGTTGGCATCAAATCGCTTGAAATCTCCACTTGCAAACTCCACAAAAAGAGTGTTTCAAATCTGCTCTGTGCAAAGGGACGTTCCACTCTGTGAGTTGAATACACACAGCACAAAGAAGTTACTGAGAATTCTTCTGTCTAGCATGAAATGAAGAAATCCCGTTTCCAACGAAGGCCTCAATGCGGTCCATATATCCACTTGCAGACTTTACAAACAGAGTGTTTCCAAACTGCTCTATGAAAAGAAAGGTTAAACTATGTGAGTTGAACGCACACATCACAAAGAATTTTCTGAGAATGATTCTGTCTAGTTTTTACTTGAAGATATTTCCCTTTCTACTGTTGGCATCAAATGGCTAGAAATCTCCACTTGCAAATTCCGTAAAAAGAGTGTTTCAAATCTGCTCTGTCTAAAGGGACGTTCCACTCTGTGAGTTGAATGCACACAACACAAAGAATTTACTGAGAATTCTTCTGTCTAGCATTCAATGAAGAAATCCCGTTTCCAACGAAGGCCTCAAACAGGTCCATATATCCACTTGCAGACTTTACAAACAGTGTGTTTCCAAACTCCTCTATGAAAAGAAAGGTTAAACTCTGTGAGTTGAACGCACACATCACAAAGCACTTTCTGAGAATGATTCTGTCTGGTTATTATACGAAGATATTTCCTTTTCTGCAATTGTCCTCAAATCGCTTGAAATCTCCACCTGAAAATGCCACAGCAAGAGTGTTTCAAATCTGCTCTCTCTAAAGCAAGGTTCAACTCTGTGAGTTGAATACACACAACACAAAAAAGTTACTGAGAACTCTTCTTAGTCTAGCATGAAAGGAAGAAACCCCGTTTGCAACGAAGGCCTCAAAGAGGTCCAAATATCCACTTGCAGACATAACAAGCAGAGTGTTTCTAAACTGCTCTAAGAAAAGAAAGGTTAAACTCTGTGAGTTGAAGGCACACATCACAAAGTAGTTTCTGAGAATGATTCTGTCTAGTTTTTATTTGAAGATATTTCCTTTTCTACTGTTGGCATCAAATCGCTTGAAATCTCCACTTGCAAATTCCACAAAAAGAGTGTTTCAAATCTGCTCTGTGCAAAGGGACGTTCCACTCTGTGAGTTGAATACACACAGCACAAAGAAGTTACTGAGAATTCTTCTGTCTAGCATGAAATGAAGAAATCCCGTTTCCAACGAAGGCCTCAATGCGGTCCATATATCCACTTGCAGACTTTACAAACAGAGTGTTTCCAAACTGCTCTATGAAAAGAAAGGTTAAACTATGTGAGTTGAACGCACACATCACAAAGAATTTTCTGAGAATGAATTCTGTCTGGTTTTTATTTGAAGATATTTCCCTTTCTACTGTTGGCATCAAATGGCTAGAAATCTCCACTTGCAAATTCCGCAAAAAGAGTGTTTCAAATCTGCTCTGTCTAAAGGGACGTTCCACTCTGTGAGTTGAATGCACACAACACAAAGAATTTACTGAGAATTCTTCCGTCTAGCATTATATGATAAAATCCCGTTTCCAACGAAGGCATCAAACAGGTCCATATATCCACTTGCAGACTTTACAAACAGTGTGTTTCCAAACTCCTCTATGAAAAGAAAGGTTGAACTCTGTGAGTTGAACGCACACATCACAAAGCACTTTCTGAGAATGATTCTCTCTGGTTATTATACGAAGATATTTCCTTTTCTGCAATTGTCCTCAAATCGCTTGAAATCTCCACCTGAAAATGCCACAGCAAGAGTGTTTCAAATCTGCTCTCTCTAAAGCAAGGTTCAACTCTGTGAGTTGAATACACACAACACAAAAAAGTTACTGAGAACTCTTCTTAGTCTAGCATTAAAGGAAGAAATCCCGTTTGCAACGAAGGCCTCAAAGAGGTCCAAATATCCACTTGCAGACATAAGAAGCAGAGTGTTTCTAAACTGCTCTAAGAAAAGAAAGGTTAAACTCTGTGAGTTGAAGGCACACATCACAAAGTAGTTTCTGAGAATGATTCTGTCTAGTTTTTATTTGAAGATATTTCCTTTTCTACTGCTGGCATCAAATCGCTTGAAATCTCCACTTGCAAATTCCACAAAAAGAGTGTTTCAAATCTGCTCTGTCTAAAGGGACGTTCCACACTGTGAGTTGAATACACACAACACAAAGGAGTTACTGAGAATTCTTCTGTCTAGCATGAAATGAAGAAATCCCGTTTCCAACGAAGGCCTCAAAGCGGTCCATATATCTACTTGCAGACTTTACAAACAGAGTGTTTCCAAACTGCTCTATGAAAAGAAAGGTTAAACTATGTGAGTTGAACGCACACATCACAAAGAATTTTCTGAGAATGATTCTGTCTAGTTTTTATTTGAAGATATTTCCCTTTCTATTGTTGGCATCAAATGGCTTGAAATCTCCACTTCCAAATTTCGCAAAAAGACTGTTTCAAATCTGCTCTGTCTAAAGGGACGTTCCACTCGGTGAGTTGAATGCACACAACACAAAGAATTTACTGAGAATTCTTCTGTCTAGCATTCAATGAAGAAATCCCGTTTCCAAGGAATGCCTCAAAGCGGTACATATATCCACTTGCAGATTTTACAAACAGTGTGTTTCGAAACTGCTCTATGAAAAGAAAGGTTAAACTATGTGAGCTGAACGCACACATCACAAAGAATTTTCTGAGAATGATTCTGTCTAATTTTTATTTGAAGATATTTCCTTTCCAACTTTTGGCATCAAATCGCTTGAATTCTCCACTTTTAAATTCCACAAAAAGAGTGTTTCAAAACTGCTCTGTGTAATGGGACATTCCAATCTGTCAGTTGAATACACACAACACAAAGAAGTTACTGAGAATTCTTCTGTCTAGCATGAAATTAAGAAATTCCGTTTCCAACGAAGTCCTCAAAGCGGTCCATATATCCACTTGCAGACATTACCAACAGAGTGTTTCCAAACTGGTCTATGAAAAGAAAGGTTAAACTATGTGAGTTGAACGCACACATCACAAAGAATTTTCTGAGGATGATTCTGTCTAGTTTTTATTTGAAGATATTTCCCTTTCTACCGTTGGCATCAAATGGCTAGAAATCTCCAATTGCAAATTCCGCAAAAAGAGTGTTTCAAATCTGCTCTGTCTAAAGGGACGTTCCACTCTGTGAGTTGAATGCACACAACACAAAGAATTTACTGAGAATTCTTCCGTCTAGCATTCAATGAAGAAATCCCGTTTCCAACGAAGGCCTCAAACAGGTCCATATATCCACTTGCAGACTTTACAAACAGTGTGTTTCCAAACTCCTCTATGAAAAGAAAGGTTAAACTCTGTGAGTTGAACGCACACATCACAAAGCACTTTCTGAGAATGATTCTGTCTGGTTATTATACGAAGATATTTCCTTTTCTGCAATTGTCCTCAAAACGCTTGAAATCTCCACCTGAAAATGCCACAGCAAGAGTGTTTCAAATCTGCTCTCTCTAAAGCAAGGTTCAACTCTGTGAGTTGAATACACACAACACAAAAAAGTTACTGAGAACTCTTCTTAGTCTAGCATGAAAGGAAGAAACCCCGTTTGCAACGAAGGCCTCAAAGAGGTCCAAATATCCACTTGCAGACATAACAAGCAGAGTGTTTCTAAACTGCTCTAAGAAAAGAAAGGTTAAACTCTGTGAGTTGAAGGCACACATCACAAAGTAGTTTCTGAGAATGATTCTGTCTAGTTTTTATTTGAAGATATTTCCTTTTCTACTGTTGGCATCAAATCGCTTGAAATCTCCACTTGCAAACTCCACAAAAAGAGTGTTTCAAATCTGCTCTGTGCAAAGGGACGTTCCACTCTGTGAGTTGAATACACACAGCACAAAGAAGTTACTGAGAATTCTTCTGTCTAGCATGAAATGAAGAAATCCCGTTTCCAACGAAGGCCTCAATGCGGTCCATATATCCACTTGCAGACTTTACAAACAGAGTGTTTCCAAACTGCTCTATGAAAAGAAAGGTTAAACTATGTGAGTTGAACGCACACATCACAAAGAATTTTCTGAGAATGATTCTGTCTGGTTTTTATTTGAAGATATTTCCCTTTCTACTGTTGGCATCAAATGGCTAGAAATCTCCACTTGCAAATTCCGCAAAAAGAGTGTTTCAAATCTGCTCTGTCTAAAGGGACGTTCCACTCTGTGAGTTGAATGCACACAACACAAAGAATTTACTGAGAATTCTTCCGTCTAGCATTCAATGAAGAAATCCCGTTTCCAACGAAGGCCTCAAAGAGGTCCATATATCCACTTGCAGACTTTACAAACAGTGTGTTTCCAAACTCCTCTATGAAAAGAAAGGTTAAACTCTGTGAGTTGAACGCACACATCACAAAGCACATTCTGAGAATGATTCTGTCTGGTTATTATACGAAGATATTTCCTTTTCTGCAATTGTCCTCAAATCGCTTGAAATCTCCACCTGAAAATGCCACAGCAAGAGTGTTTCAAATCTGCTCTCTCTAAAGCAAGGTTCAACTCTGTGAGTTGAATACACACAACACAAAAAAGTTACTGAGAACTCTTCTTAGTCTAGCATTAAAGGAAGAAACCCCGTTTGCAACGAAGGCCTCAAAGAGGTCCAAATATCCACTTGCAGACATAACAAGCAGAGTGTTTCTAAACTGCTCTAAGAAAAGAAAGGTTAAATTCTGTGAGTTGAAGGCACACATCACAAAGTAGTTTCAGAGAATGATTCTGTCTAGTTTTTATTTGAAGATATTTCCTTTTCTACTGTTGGCATCAAATCGCTTGAAATCTCCACCTGCAAATTCCACAAAAAGAGTGTTTCAAATCTGCTCTGTGCAAAGGGACGTTCCACTCTGTGAGTTGAATACACACAGCACAAAGAAGTTACTGAGAATTCTTCTGTCTAGCATGAAATGAAGAAATCCCGTTTCCAACGAAGGCCTCAATGCGGTCCATATATCCACTTGCAGACTTTACAAACAGAGTGTTTCCAAACTGCTCTATGAAAAGAAAGGTTAAACTATGTGAGTTGAACGCACACATCACAAAGAATTTTCTGAGAATGATTCTGTCTGGTTTTTATTTGAAGATATTTCCCTTTCTACTGTTGGCATCAAATGGCTAGAAATCTCCACTTGCAAATTCCGCAAAAAGAGTGTTTCAAATCTGCTCTGTCTAAAGGGACGTTCCACTCTGTGAGTTGAATGCACACAACACAAAGAATTTACTGAGAATTCTTCCGTATAGCATTCAATGAAGAAATCCCGTTTCCAACGAAGGCCTCAAACAGGTCCATATATCCACTTGCAGACTTTACAAACAGTGTGTTTCCAAACTCCTCTATGAAAAGAAAGGTTAAACTCTGTGAGTTGAACGCACACATCACAAAGCACTTTCTGAGAATGATTCTTTCTGGTTATTATACGAAGATATTTCCTTTTCTGCAATTGTCCTCAAATCGCTTGAAATCTCCACCTGAAAATGCCACAGCAAGAGTGTTTCAAATCTGCTCTCTCTAAAGCAAGGTTCAACTCTGTGAGTTGAATACACACAACACAAAAAAGTTACTGAGAACTCTTCTTAGTCTAGCATTAAAGGAAGAAACCCCGTTTGCAACGAAGGCCTCAAAGAGGTCCAAATATCCACTTGCAGACATAACAAGCAGAGTGTTTCTAAACTGCTCTAAGAAAAGAAAGGTTAAACTCTGTGAGTTGAAGGCACACATCACAAAGTAGTTTCTGAGAATGATTCTGTCTAGTTTTTATTTGAAGATATTTCCTTTTCTACTGTTGGCATCAAATCGCTTGAAATCTCCACTTGCAAACTCCACAAAAAGAGTGTTTCAAATCTGCTCTGTGTAAAGGGACGTTCCACTCTGTGAGTTGAATACACACAGCACAAAGAAGTTACTGAGAATTCTTCTGTCTAGCATGAAATGAAGAAATCCCGTTTCCAACGAAGGCCTCAATGCGGTCCATATATCCACTTGCAGACTTTACAAACAGAGTGTTTCCAAACTGCTCTATGAAAAGAAAGGTTAAACTATGTGAGTTGAACGCGCACATCACAAAGAATTTTCTGAGAATGATTCTGTCTGGTTTTTATTTGAAGATATTTCCCTTTCTACTGTTGGCATCAAATGGCTAGAAATCTCCACTTGCAAATTCCGCAAAAAGAGTGTTTCAAATCTGCTCTGTTTTAAGGGACGTTCCACTCTGTCAGTTGAATGCACACAACACAAAGAATTTACTGAGAATTCTTCCGTCTAGCATTCAATGAAGAAATCCCGTTTCCAACGAAGGCCTCAAACAGGTCCATATATCCAATTGCAGACTTTACAAACAGTGTGTTTCCAAACTCCTCTATGAAAAGAAAGGTTAAACTCTGTGAGTTGAACGCACACATCACAAAGCACTTTCTGAGAATGATTCTGTCTAGTTTTTATTTGAAGATATTTCCCTTTCTACTGTTGGCATCAAATGGCTAGAAATCTCCACTTGCAACTTCCGCAAAAAGAGTGTTTCAAATCTGCTCTGTCTAAAGGGACGTTCCACTGTGTGAGTTGAATGCACACAACACAAAGAATTTACTGAGAATTCTTCCGTCTAGCATTCAATGAAGAAATCCCGTTTCCAACGAAGGCCTCAAACAGGTCCATATATCCACTTGCAGACGTTACAAACAGTGTGTTTCCAAACTCCTCTATGAAAAGAAAGGTTAAACTCTGTGAGTTGAACGCACACATCACAAAGCACTTTCTGAGAATGATTCTGTCTGGTTATTATACGAAGATATTTCCTTTTCTGCAATTGTCCTCAAATCGCTTGAAATCTCCACCTGAAAATGCCACAGCAAGAGTGTTTCAAATCTGCTCTCTCTAAAGCAAGGTTCAACTCTGTGAGTTGAATACACACAACACAAAAAAGTTACTGAGAACTCTTCTTAGTCTAGCATGAAAGGAAGAAACCCCGTTTGCAACGAAGGCCTCAAAGAGGTCCAAATATCCACTTGCAGACATAACAAGCAGAGTGTTTCTAAACTGCTCTAAGAAAAGAAAGGTTAAACTCTGTGAGTTGAAGGCACACATCACAAAGTAGTTTCTGAGAATTATTCTGTCTAGTTTTTATTTGAAGATATTTCCTTTTCTACTGTTGGCATCAAATCGCTTGAAATCTCCACTTGCAAATTCCACAAAAAGAGTGTTTCAAATCTGCTCTGTGCAAAGGGACGTTCCACTCTGTGAGTTGAATACACACAGCACAAAGAAGTTACTGAGAATTCTTCTGTCTAGCATGAAATGAAGAAATCCCGTTTCCAACGAAGGCCTCAATGCGGTCCATATATCCACTTGCAGACTTTACAAACAGAGTGTTTCCAAACTGCTCTATGAAAAGAAAGGTTAAACTATGTGAGTGTGAACGCACACATCACAAAGAATTTTCTGAGAATGATTCTGTCTGGTTTTGATTTGAAGATATTCCCTTTCTACTGTTGACATCAAATGGCTAGAAATCTCCACTTGCAAATTCCGCAAAAAGAGTGTTTCAAATCTGCTCTGTCTAAAGGGACGTTCCACTCTGTGAGTTGAATGCACACAACACAAAGAATTTACTGAGAATTCTTCCGTCTAGCATTCAATGAAGAAATCCCGTTTCCAACGAAGGCCTCAAACAGGTCCATATATCCAATTACAGACTTTACACACAGTGTGTTTCCAAACTCCTCTATGAAAAGAAAGGTTAAACTCTGTGAGTTGAATGCACACATCACAAAGCACTTTCTGAGAATGATTCTGTCTAGTTTTTGTTTGCAGATATTTCCTTTTCTACTGTTGGCATCAAATCGCTTGAAATCTCCACTTGCAAATTCCACAAAAAGAGTGTTTCAAATCTGCTCTGTGTAAAGGGACGTTCCAATCTGTGAGTTGAATACACACAGTACAAAGAAGTTACTGAGAATTCTTCTGTCTAGCATTATATGATAAAATCCCGTTTCCAACGAAGGCCTCAAACAGGTCCTTATATCCACTTGCAGACTTTACAAACAGTGTGTTTCCAAACTCCTCTATGAAAAGAAAGCTTAAACTCTGTGAGTTGAACGAACACATCACAAAGCACTTTCTGAGAATGATTCTGTCTAGTTTTTATTTGAAGATATTTGCTTTTCTACTGTTGGCGTCAAATCGCTTGAAATCTCCACTTGCAAATTCCACAAAAAGAGTGTTTCAAATCTGCTCTGTGCAAAGGGACGTTCCACTCTGTGAGTTGAATACACACAGCACAAAGAAGTTACTGAGAATTCTTCTGTCTAGCATGAAATGAAGAAATCCCGTTTCCAACGAAGGCCTCAATGCGGTCCATATATCCACTTGCAGACTTTACAAACAGAGTGTTTCCAAACTGCTCTATGAAAAGAAAGGTTAAACTATGTGAGTTGAAAGCACACATCACATAGAATTTTCTGAGAATGATTCTGTCTGGTTTTTATTTGAAGATATTTCCCTTTCTACTGTTGGCATCAAATGGCTAGAAATCTCCACTTGCAAATTCCGCAAAAAGAGTGTTTCAAATCTGCTCTGTCTAAAGGGACGTTCCACTCTGTGAGTTGAATGCACACAACACAAAGAATTTACTGAGAATTCTTCCGTCTAGCATTCAATGAAGAAATCCCGTTTCCAACGAAGGCCTCAAACAGGTCCCTATATCCAATTGCAGACTTTACAAACAGTGTGTTTCCAAACTCCTCTATGAAAAGAAAGGTTAAACTCTGTGAGTGGAACGCAAACATCACAAAGCACTTTCTGAGAATGATTCTGTCTGGTTGTTATACGAAGATATTTCCTTTTCTGCAATTGTCCTCAAATCGCTTGAAATCTCCACCTGAAAATGCCACAGCAAGAGTGTTTCAAATCTGCTCTCTCTAAAGCAAGGTTCAACTCTGTGAGTTGAATACACACAACACAAAAAAGTTACTGAGAACTCTTCTTAGTCTAGCATGAAAGGAAGAAACCCCGTTTGCAACGAAGGCCTCAAAGAGGTAAAAATATCCACTTGCAGACATAACAAGCAGAGTGTTTCTAAACTGCTCTATGAAAAGAAAGGTTAAACTCTGTGAGTTGAAGGCACACATCACAAAGTAGTTTCTGAGAATGATTCTGTCTAGTTTTTATTTGAAGATATTTCCTTTTCTACTGTTGGCATCAAATCGCTTGAAATCTCCACTTGCAAACTCCACAAAAAGAGTGTTTCAAATCTGCTCTGTGTAAAGGGACGTTCCACTCTGTGAGTTGAATACACACAGCACAAAGAAGTTACTGAGAATTCTTCTGTCTAGCATGAAATGAAGAAATCCCGTTTCCAACGAAGGCCTCAATGCGGTCCATATATCCACTTGCAGACTTTACAAACAGAGTGTTTCCAAACTGCTCTATGAAAAGAAAGGTTAAACTATGTGAGTTGAACGCACACATCACAAAGAATTTTCTGAGAATGATTCTGTCTGGTTTTTATTTGAAGATATTTCCCTTTCTACTGTTGGCATCAAATGGCTAGAAATCTCCACTTGCAAATTCCGCAAAAAGAGTGTTTCAAATCTGCTCTGTCTAAAGGGACGTTCCACTCTGTGAGTTGAATGCACACAACACAAAGAATTTACTGAGAATTCTTCCGTCTAGCATTCAATGAAGAAATCCCGTTTCCAACGAAGGCCTCAAACAGGTCCATATATCCAATTGCAGACTTTACAAACAGTGTGTTTCCAAACTCCTCTATGAAAAGAAAGGTTAAACTCTGTGAGTTGAACGCACACATCACAAAGCACTTTCTGAGAATGATTCTGTCTGGTTGTTATACGAAGATATTTCCTTTTCTGCAATTGTCCTCAAATCGCTTGAAATCTCCACCTGAAAATGCCACAGCAAGAGTGTTTCAAATCTGCTCTCTCTAAAGCAACGTTCAACTCTGTGAGTTGAATACACACAACACAAAAAAGTTACTGAGAACTCTTCTTAGTCTAGCATGAAAGGAAGAAACCCCGTTTGCAACGAAGGCCTCAAAGAGGTCCAAATATCCACTTGCAGACATAACAAGCAGAGTGTTTCTAAACTGCTCTAAGAAAAGAAAGGTTAAACTCTGTGAGTTGAAGGCACACATCACAAAGTAGTTTCTGAGAATGATTCTGTCTAGTTTTTATTTGAAGATATTTCCTTTTCTACTGTTGGCATCAAATCGCTTGAAATCTCCACTTGCAAATTCCACAAAAAGAGTGTTTCAAATCTGCTCTGTGCAAAGGGACGTTCCACTCTGTGAGTTGAATACACACAGCACAAAGAAGTTACTGAGAATTCTTCTGTCTAGCATGAAATGAAGAAATCCCGTTTCCAACGAAGGCCTCAATGCGGTCCATATATCCACTTGCAGACTTTACAAACAGAGTGTTTCCAAACTGCTCTATGAAAAGAAAGGTTAAACTATGTGAGTTGAACGCACACATCACAAAGAATTTTCTGAGAATGATTCTGTCTGGTTTTTATTTGAAGATATTTCCCTTTCTACTGTTGGCATCAAATGGCTAGAAATCTCCACTTGCAAATTCCGCAAAAAGAGTGTTTCAAATCTGCTCTGTCTAAAGGGATGTTCCACTCTGTCAGTTGAATGCACACAACACAAAGAATTTACTGAGAATTCTTCCGTCTAGCATTCAATGAAGAAATCCCGTTTCCAACGAAGGCCTCAAACAGGTCCATATATCCACTTGCAGACTTTACAAACAGTGTGTTTCCAAACTCCTCTATGAAAAGAAAGGTTAAACTCTGTGAGTGGAACGCACACATCACAAAGCACTTTCTGAGAATGATTCTGTCTGGTTGTTATACGAAGATATTTCCTTTTCTGCAATTGTCCTCAAATCGCTTGAAATCTCCACCTGAAAATGCCACAGCAAGAGTGTTTCAAATCTGCTCTCTCTAAAGCAAGGTTCAACTCTGTGAGTTGAATACACACAACACAAAAAAGTTACTGAGAACTCTTCTTAGTCTAGCATGAAAGGAAGAAACCCCGTTTGCAACGAAGGCCTCAAAGAGGTCCAAATATCCACTTGCAGACATAACAAGCAGAGTGTTTCTAAACTGCTCTAAGAAAAGAAAGGTTAAACTCTGTGAGTTGAAGGCACACATCACAAAGTAGTTTCTGAGAATGATTCTGTCTAGTTTTTATTTGAAGATATTTCCTTTTCTACTGTTGGCATTAAATCGCTTGAAATCTCCACTTGCAAACTCCACAAAAAGAGTGTTTCAAATCTGCTCTGTGCAAAGGGACGTTCCAATCTGTGAGTTGAATACACACAGCACAAAGAAGTTACTGAGAATTCTTCTGTCTAGCATGAAATGAAGAAATCCCGTTTCCAACGAAGGCCTCAATGCGGTCCATATATCCACTTGCAGACTTTACAAACAGAGTGTTTCCAAACTGCTCTATGAAAAGAAAGGTTAAACTATGTGAGTTGAACGCACACATCACAAAGAATTTTCTGAGAATGATTCTGTCTGGTTTTTATTTGAAGATATTTCCCTTTCTACTGTTGGCATCAAATGGCTAGAAATCTCCACTTGCAAATTCCGCAAAAAGAGTGTTTCAAATCTGCTCTGTCTAAAGGGACGTTCCACTCTGTGAGTTGAATGCACACAACACAAAGAATTTACTGAGAATTCTTCCGTCTAGCATTCAATGAAGAAATCCCGTTTCCAACGAAGGCCTCAAACAGGTCCATATATCCACTTGCAGACTTTACAAACAGTGTGTTTCCAAACTCCTCTATGAAAAGAAAGGTTAAACTCTGTGAGTGGAACGCACACATCACAAAGCACTTTCTGAGAATGATTCTGTCTGGTTTTTATACGAAGATATTTCCTTTTCTGCAATTGTCCTCAAATCGCTTGAAATCTCCACCTGAAAATGCCACAGCAAGAGTGTTTCAAATCTGCTCTCTCTAAAGCAAGGTTCAACTCTGTGAGTTGAATACACACAACACAAAAAAGTTACTGAGAACTCTTCTTAGTCTAGCATGAAAGGAAGAAACCCCGTTTGCAACGAAGGCCTCAAAGAGGTCCAAATATCCACTTGCAGACATAACAAGCAGAGTGTTTCTAAACTGCTCTAAGAAAAGAAAGGTTAAACTCTGTGAGTTGAAGGCACACATCACAAAGTAGTTTCTGAGAATGATTCTGTCTAGTTTTTATTTGAAGATATTTCCTTTTCTACTGTTGGCATCAAATCGCTTGAAATCTCCACTTGCAAACTCCACAAAAAGAGTGTTTCAAATCTGCTCTGTGTAAAGGGACGTTCCACTCTGTGAGTTGAATACACACAGCACAAAGAAGTTACTGAGAATTCTTCTGTCTAGCATGAAATGAAGAAATCCCGTTTCCAACGAAGGCCTCAATGCGGTCCATATATCCACTTGCAGACTTTACAAACAGAGTGTTTCCAAACTGCTCTATGAAAAGAAAGGTTAAACTATGTGAGTTGAACGCACACATCACAAAGAATTTTCTGAGAATGATTCTGTCTGGTTTTTATTTGAAGATATTTCCCTTTCTACTGTTGGCATCAAATGGCTAGAAATCTCCACTTGCAAATTCCGCAAAAAGAGTGTTTCAAATCTGCTCTGTCTAAAGGGACGTTCCACTCTGTGAGTTGAATGCACACAACACAAAGAATTTACTGAGAATTCTTCCGTCTAGCATTCAATGAAGAAATCCCGTTTCCAACGAAGGCCTCAAACAGGTCCATATATCCACTTGCAGACTTTACAAACAGTGTGTTTCCAAACTCCTCTATGAAAAGAAAGGTTAAACTCTGTGAGTGGAACGCACACATCACAAAGCACTTTCTGAGAATGATTCTGTCTGGTTATTATACGAAGATATTTCTTTTTCTGCAATTGTCCTCAAATCGCTTGAAATCTCCACCTGAAAATGCCACAGCAAGAGTGTTTCAAATCTGCTCTCTCTAAAGCAAGGTTCAACTCTGTGAGTTGAATACACAGAACACAAAAAAGTTACTGAGAACTCTTCTTAGTCTAGCATGAAAGGAAGAAACCCCGTTTGCAACGAAGGCCTCAAAGAGGTCCAAATATCCACTTGCAGACATAACAACCAGAGTGTTTCTAAACTGCTCTAAGAAAAGAAAGGTTAAACTCTGTGAGTTGAAGGCACACATCACAAAGTAGTTTCTGAGAATGATTCTGTCTAGTTTTTATTTGAAGATATTTCCTTTTCTACTGTTGGCATCAAATCGCTTGAAATCTCCACTTGCAAACTCCACAAAAAGAGTGTTTCAAATCTGCTCTGTGTAAAGGGACGTTCCACTCTGTGAGTTGAATACACACAGCACAAAGAAGTTACTGAGAATTCTTCTGTCTAGCATGAAATGAAGAAATCCCGTTTCCAACGAAGGCCTCAATGCGGTCCATATATCCACTTGCAGACTTTACAAACAGAGTGTTTCCAAACTGCTCTATGAAAAGAAAGGTTAAACTATGTGAGTTGAACGCACACATCACAAAGAATTTTCTGAGAATGATTCTGTCTGGTTTTTATTTGAAGATATTTCCCTTTCTACTGTTGGCATCAAATGGCTAGAAATCTCCACTTGCAAATTCCGCAAAAAGAGTGTTTCAAATCTGCTCTGCCTAAAGGGACGTTCCACTCTGTGAGTTGAATGCACACAACACAAAGAATTTACTGAGAATTCTTCCGTCTAGCATTCAATAAAGAAATCCCGTTTCCAACGAAGGCCTCAAACAGGTCCATATATCCACTTGCAGAGTTTACAAACAGTTTGTTTCCAAACTCCTCTATGAAAAGAAAGGTTAAACTCTGTGAGTGGAACGCACACATCACAAAGCACTTTCTGAGAATGATTCTGTCTGGTTATTATACGAAGATATTTCCTTTTCTGCAATTGTCCTCAAATCGCTTGAAATCTCCACCTGAAAATGCCACAGCAAGAGTGTTTCAAATCTGCTCTCTCTAAAGCAAGGTTCAACTCTGTGAGTTGAATACACACAACACAAAAAAGTTACTGAGAACTCTTCTTAGTCTAGCATTAAAGGAAGAAACCCCGTTTGCAACGAAGGCCTCAAAGAGGTCCAAATATCCACTTGCAGACATAACAAGCAGAGTGTTTCTCAACTGCTCTAAGAAAAGAAAGGTTAAACTCTGTGAGTTGAAGGCACACATCACAAAGTAGTTTCTGAGAATGATTCTGTCTAGTTTTTATTTGAAGATATTTCCTTTTCTACTGTTGGCATCAAATCGCTTGAAATCTCCACTTGCAAACTCCACAAAAAGAGTGTTTCAAATCTGCTCTGTGTAAAGGGACGTTCCACTCTGTGAGTTGAATACACACAGCACAAAGAAGTTACTGAGAATTCTTCTGTCTAGCATGAAATGAAGAAATCCCGTTTCCAACGAAGGCCTCAATGCGGTCCATATATCCACTTGCAGACTTTACAAACAGAGTGTTTCCAAACTGCTCTATGAAAAGAAAGGTTAAACTATGTGAGTTGAACGCACACATCACAAAGAATTTTCTGAGAATGATTCTGTCTGGTTTTTATTTGAAGATATTTCCCTTTCTACTGTTGGCATCAAATGGCTAGAAATCTCCACTTGCAAATTCCGCAAAAAGAGTGTTTCAAATCTGCTCTGTCTAAAGGGACGTTCCACTCTGTGAGTTGAATGCACACAACACAAAGAATTTACTGAGAATTCTTCCGTCTAGCATTCAATGAAGAAATCCCGTTTCCAACGAAGGCCTCAAACAGGTCCATATATCCACTTGCAGACTTTACAAACAGTGTGTTTCCAAACTCCTCTATGAAAAGAAAGGTTAAACTCTGTGAGTGGAACGCACACATCACAAAGCACTTTCTGAGAATGATTCTGTCTGGTTATTATACGAAGATATTTCCTTTTCTGCAATTGTCCTCAAATCGCTTGAAATCTCCACCTGAAAATGCCACAGCAAGAGTGTTTCAAATCTGCTCTCTCTAAAGCAAGGTTCAACTCTGTGAGTTGAATACACACAACACAAAAAAGTTACTGAGAACTCTTCTTAGTCTAGCATGAAAGGAAGAAACCCCGTTTGCAACGAAGGCCTCAAAGAGGTCCAAATACCCACTTGCAGACATAACAAGCAGAGTGTTTCTAAACTGCTCTAAGAAAAGAAAGGTTAAACTCTGTGAGTTGAAGGCACACATCACAAAGTAGTTTCTGAGAATGATTCTGTCTAGTTTTTATTTGAAGATATTTCCTTTTCTACTGTTGGCATGAAATCGCTTGAAATCTCCACTTGCAAACTCCACAAAAAGAGTGTTTCAAATCTGCTCTGTGCAAAGGGACGTTCCACTCTGTGAGTTGAATACACACAGCACAAAGAAGTTACTGAGAATTCTTCTGTCTAGCATGAAATGAAGAAATCCCGTTTCCAACGAAGGCCTCAATGCGGTCCATATATCCACTTGCAGACTTTACAAACAGAGTGTTTCCAAACTGCTCTATGAAAAGAAAGGTTAAACTATGTGAGTTGAACGCACACATCACAAAGAATTTTCTGAGAATGATTCTGTCTGGTTTTTATTTGAAGATATTTCCCTTTCTACTGTTGGCATCAAATGGCTAGAAATCTCCACTTGCAAATTCCGCAAAAAGAGTGTTTCAAATCTGCTCTGTCTAAAGGGACGTTCCACTCTGTGAGTTGAATGCACACAACACAAAGAATTTACTGAGAATTCTTCCGTCTAGCATGCAATGAAGAAATCCCGTTTCCAACGAAGGCCTCAAACAGGTCCATATATCCAATTGCAGACTTTACAAACAGTGTGTTTCCAAACTCCTCTATGAAAAGAAAGGTTAAACTCTGTGAGTTGAACGCACACATCACAAAGCACTTTCTGAGAATGATTCTGTCTGGTTATTATACGAAGATATTTCCTTTTCTGCAATTGTCCTCAAAACGCTTGAAATCTCCACCTGAAAATGCCACAGCAAGAGTGTTTCAAATCTGCTCTCTCTAAAGCAAGGTTCAACTCTGTGAGTTGAATACACACAACACAAAAAAGTTACTGAGAACTCTTCTTAGTCTAGCATGAAAGGAAGAAACCCCGTTTGCAACGAAGGCCTCAAAGAGGTCCAAATATCCACTTGCAGACATAACAAGCAGAGTGTTTCTAAACTGCTCTAAGAAAAGAAAGGTTAAACTCTGTGAGTTGAAGGCACACATCACAAAGTAGTTTCTGAGAATGATTCTGTCTAGTTTTTATTTGAAGATATTTCCTTTTCTACTGTTGGCATCAAATCGCTTGAAATCTCCACTTGCAAATTCCACAAAAAGAGTGTTTCAAATCTGCTCTGTGCAAAGGGACGTTCCACTCTGTGAGTTGAATACACACAGCACAAAGAAGTTACTGAGAATTCCTTCTGTCTAGCATGAAATGAAGAAATCCCGTTTCCAACGAAGCCTCAATGCGGTCCATATATCCACTTGCAGACTTTACAAACAGAGTGTTTCCAAACTGCTCTATGAAAAGAAAGGTTAAACTATGTGAGTTGAACGCACACATCACAAAGAATTTTCTGAGAATGATTCTGTCTGGTTTTTATTTGAAGATATTTCCCTTTCTACTGTTGGCATCAAATGGCTAGAAATCTCCACTTGCAAATTCCGCAAAAAGAGTGTTTCAAATCTGCTCTGTCTAAAGGGACGTTCCACTCTGTGAGTTGAATGCACACAACACAAAGAATTTACTGAGAATTCTTCCGTCTAGCATTCAATGAAGAAATCCCGTTTCCAACGAAGGCCTCAAACAGGTCCATATATCCACTTGCAGACTTTACAAACAGTGTGTTTCCAAACTCCTCTATGAAAAGAAAGGTTAAACTCTGTGAGTGGAACGCACACATCACAAAGCACTTTCTGAGAATGATTCTGTCTGGTTGTTATACGAAGATATTTCCTTTTCTGCAATTGTCCTCAAATCGCTTGAAATCTCCACCTGAAAATGCCACAGCAAGAGTGTTTCAAATCTGCTCTCTCTAAAGCAAGGTTCTACTCTGTGAGTTGAATACACACAACACAAAAAAGTTACTGAGAACTCTTCTTAGTCTAGCATGAAAGGAAGAAACCCCGTTTGCAACGAAGGCCTCAAAGAGGTCCAAATATCCACTTGCAGACATAACAAGCAGAGTGTTTCTAAACTGCTCTAAGAAAAGAAAGGTTAAACTCTGTGAGTTGAAAGCACACATCACAAAGTAGTTTCTGAGAATGATTCTGTCTAGTTTTTATTTGAAGATATTTCCTTTTCTACTGTTGGCATCTAATCGCTTGAAATCTCCACTTGCAAACTCCACAAAAAGAGTGTTTCAAATCTGCTCTGTGTAAAGGGACGTTCCACTCTGTGAGTTGAATACACACAGCACAAAGAAGTTACTGAGAATTCTTCTGTCTAGCATGAAATGAAGAAATCCCGTTTCCAACGAAGGCCTCAATGCGGTCCATATATCCACTTGCAGACTTTACAAACAGAGTGTTTCCAAACTGCTCTATGAAAAGAAAGGTTAAACTATGTGAGTTGAACGCACACATCACAAAGAATTTTCTGAGAATGATTCTGTCTGGTTTTTATTTGAAGATATTTCCCTTTCTACTGTTGGCATCAAATGGCTAGAAATCTCCACTTGCAAATTCCGCAAAAAGAGTGTTTCAAATCTGCTCTGTCTAAAGGGACGTTCCACTCTGTGAGTTGAATGCACACAACACAAAGAATTTACTGAGAATTCTTCCGTCTAGCATTCAATGAAGAAATCCCGTTTCCAAAGAAGGCCTCAAACAGGTCCATATATCCAATTGCAGACTTTACAAACAGTGTGTTTCCAAACTCCTCTATGAAAAGAAAGGTTAAACTCTGTGAGTTGAACGCACACATCACAAAGCACTTTCTGAGAATGATTCTGTCTGGTTATTATACGAAGATATTTCCTTTTCTGCAATTGTCCTCAAATCGCTTGAAATCTCCACCTGAAAATGCCACAGCAAGAGTGTTTCAAATCTGCTCTCTCTAAAGCAAGGTTCAACTCTGTGAGTTGAATACACACAACACAAAAAAGTTACTGAGAACTCTTCTTAGTCTAGCATGAAAGGAAGAAACCCCGTTTGCAACGAAGGCCTCAAAGAGGTCCAAATATCCACTTGCAGACATAACAAGCAGAGTGTTTCTAAACTGCTCTAAAAAAAGAAAGGTTAAACTCTGTGAGTTGAAGGCACACATCACAAAGTAGTTTCTGAGAATGATTCTGTCTAGTTTTTATTTGAAGATATTTCCTTTTCTACTGTTGGCATCAAATCGCTTGAAATCTCCACTTGCAAACTCCACAAAAAGAGTGTTTCAAATCTGCTCTGTGCAAAGGGACGTTCCACTCTGTGAGTTGAATACACACAGCACAAAGAAGTTACTGAGAATTCTTCTGTCTAGCATGAAATGAAGAAATCCCGTTTCCAACGAAGGCCTCAATGCGGTCCATATATCCACTTGCAGACTTTACAAACAGAGTGTTTCCAAACTGCTCTATGAAAAGAAAGGTTAAACTATGTGAGTTGAACGCACACATCACAAAGAATTTTCTGAGAATGATTCTGTCTGGTTTTTATTTGAAGATATTTCCCTTTCTACTGTTGGCATCAAATGGCTAGAAATCTCCACTTGCAAATTCCGCAAAAAGAGTGTTTCAAATCTGCTCTGTCTAAAGGGACGTTCCACTCTGTGAGTTGAATGCACACCACACAAAGAATTTACTGAGAATTCTTCCGTCTAGCAGTCAATGAAGAAATCCCGTTTCCAACGAAGGCCTCAAACAGGTCCATATATCCACTTGCAGACTTTACAAACAGTGTGTTTCCAAACTCCTCTATGAAAAGAAAGGTTAAACTCTGTGAGTGGAACGCACACATCACAAAGCACTTTCTGAGAATGATTCTGTCTGGTTGTTATACGAAGATATTTCCTTTTCTGCAATTGTCCTCAAATCGCTTGAAATCTCCACCTGAAAATGCCACAGCAAGAGTGTTTCAAATCTGCTCTCTCTAAAGCAAGGTTCAGCTCTGTGAGTTGAATACACACAACACAAAAAAGTTACTGAGAACTCTTCTTAGTCTAGCATTAAAGGAAGAAACCCCGTTTGCAACGAAGGCCTCAAAGAGGTCCAAATATCCACTTGCAGACATAACAAGCAGAGTGTTTCTAAACTGCTCTAAGAAAAGAAAGGTTAAACTCTGTGAGTTGAAGGCACACATCACAAAGTAGTTTCTGAGAATGATTCTGTCTAGTTTTTATTTGAAGATATTTCCTTTTCTACTGTTGGCATCAAATCGCTTGAAATCTCCACTTGCAAACTCCACAAAAAGAGTGTTTCAAATCTGCTCTGTGCAAAGGGACGTTCCACTCTGTGAGTTGAATACACCCAGCACAAAGAAGATACTGAGAATTCTTCTGTCTAGCATGAAATGAAGAAATCCCGTTTCCAACGAAGGCCTCAATGCGGTCCATATATCCACTTGCAGACTTTACAAACAGAGTGTTTCCAAACTGCTCTATGAAAAGAAAGGTTAAACTATGTGAGTTGAACGCACACATCCCAAAGAATTTTCTGAGAATGATTCTGTCTGGTTTTTATTTGAAGATATTTCCCTTTCTACTGTTGGCATCAAATGGCTAGAAATCTCCACTTGCAAATTCCGCAAAAAGAGTGTTTCAAATCTGCTCTGTCTAAAGGGACGTTCCACTCTGTGAGTTGAATGCACACAACACAAAGAATTTACTGAGAATTCTTCCGTCTAGCATGCAATGAAGAAATCCCGTTTCCAACGAAGGCCTCAAACAGGTCCATATATCCAATTGCAGACTTTACAAACAGTGTGTTTCCAAACTCCTCTATGAAAAGAAAGGTTAAACTCTGTGAGTTGAACGCACACATCACAAAGCACTTTCTGAGAATGATTCTGTCTGGTTATTATACGAAGATATTTCCTTTTCTGCAATTGTCCTCAAATCGCTTGAAATCTCCACCTGAAAATGCCACAGCAAGAGTGTTTCAAATCTGCTCTCTCTAAAGCAAGGTTCAACTCTGTGAGTTGAATACACACAACACAAAAAAGTTACTGAGAACTCTTCTTAGTCTAGCATGAAAGGAAGAAACCCCGTTTGCAACGAAGGCCTCAAAGAGGTCCAAATATCCACTTGCAGACATAACAAGCAGAGTGTTTCTAAACTGCTCTAAGAAAAGAAAGGTTAAACTCTGTGAGTTGAAGGCACACATCACAAAGTAGTTTCTGAGAATGATTCTGTCTAGTTTTTATTTGAAGATATTTCCTTTTCTACTGTTGGCATCAAATCGCTTGAAATCTCCACTTGCAAATTCCACAAAAAGAGTGTTTCAAATCTGCTCTGTGCAAAGGGACGTTCCACTCTGTGAGTTGAATACACACAGCACAAAGAAGTTACTGAGAATTCTTCTGTCTAGCATGAAATGAAGAAATCCCATTTCCAACGAAGGCCTCAATGCGGTCCATATATCCACTTGCAGACTTTACAAACAGAGTGTTTCCAAACTGCTCTATGAAAAGAAAGGTTAAACTATGTGAGTTGAACGCACACATCACAAAGAATTTTCTGAGAATGATTCTGTCTGGTTTTTATTTGAAGATATTTCCCTTTCTACTGTTGGCATCAAATGGCTAGAAATCTCCACTTGCAAATTCCGCAAAAAGAGTGTTTCAAATCTGCTCTGTCTAAAGGGACGTTCCACTCTGTGAGTTGAATGCACACAACACAAAGAATTTACTGAGAATTCTTCCGTCTAGCATTCAATGAAGAAATCCCGTTTCCAACGAAGGCCTCAAACAGGTCCATATATCCAATTGCAGACTTTACAAACAGTGTGTTTCCAAACTCCTCTATGAAAAGAAAGGTTAAACTCTGTGAGTTGAACGCACACATCACAAAGCACTTTCTGAGAATGATTCTGTCTGGTTGTTATACGAAGATATTTCCTTTTCTGCAATTGTCCTCAAATCGCTTGAAATCTCCACCTGAAAATGCCACAGCAAGAGTGTTTCAAATCTGCTCTCTCTAAAGCAAGGTTCAACTCTGTGAGTTGAATACACACAACACAAAAAAGTTACTGAGAACTCTTCTTAGTCTAGCATTAAAGGAAGAAACCCCGTTTGCAACGAAGGCCTCAAAGAGGTCCAAATATCCACTTGCAGACATAACAAGCAGAGTGTTTCTAAACTGCTCTAAGAAAAGAAAGGTTAAACTTTGTGAGTTGAAGGCACACATCACAAAGTAGTTTCTGAGAATGATTCTGTCTAGTTTTTATTTGAAGATATTTCCTTTTCTACTGTTGGCATCAAATCGCTTGAAATCTCCACTTGCAAATTCCACAAAAAGAGTGTTTCAAATCTGCTCTGTGTAAAGGGACGTTCCACTCTGTGAGTTGAATACACACAGCACAAAGAAGTTACTGAGAATTCTTCTGTCTAGCATGAAATGAAGAAATCCCGTTTCCAACGAAGGCCTCAATGCGGTCCATATATCCACTTGCAGACTTTACAAACAGAGTGTTTCCAAACTGCTCTATGAAAAGAAAGGTTAAACTATGTGAGTTGAACGCACACATCACAAAGAATTTTCTGAGAATGATTCTGTCTGGTTTTTATTTGAAGATATTTCCCTTTCTACTGTTGGCATCAAATGGCTAGAAATCTCCACTTGCAAATTCCGCAAAAAGAGTGTTTCAAATCTGCTCTGTCTAAAGGGACGTTCCACTCTGTGAGTTGAATGCACACAACACAAAGAATTTACTGAGAATTCTTCCGTCTAGCATTCAATGAAGAAATCCCGTTTCCAACGAAGGCCTCAAACAGGTCCATATATCCACTTGCAGACATTACAAACAGTGTGTTTCCAAACTCCTCTATGAAAAGAAAGGTTAAACTCTGTGAGTTGAACGCACACATCACAAAGCACTTTCTGAGAATGATTCTGTCTGGTTATTATACGAAGATATTTCCTTTTCTGCAATTGTCCTCAAATCGCTTGAAATCTCCACCTGAAAATGCCACAGCAAGAGTGTTTCAAATCTGCTCTCTCTAAAGCAAGGTTCAACTCTGTGAGTTGAATACACACAACACAAAAAAGTTACTGAGAACTCTTCTTAGTCTAGCATGAAAGGAAGAAACCCCGTTTGCAACGAAGGCCTCAAAGAGGTCCAAATATCCACTTGCAGACATAACAAGCAGAGCGTTTCTAAACTGCTCTAAGAAAAGAAAGGTTAAACTCTGTGAGTTGAAGGCACACATCACAAAGTAGTTTCTGAGAATGATTCTGTCTAGTTTTTATTTGAAGATATTTCCTTTTCTACTGCTGGCATCAAATCGCTTGAAATCTCCACTTGCAAACTCCACAAAAAGAGTGTTTCAAATCTGCTCTGTGTAAAGGGACGTTCCACTCTGTGAGTTGAATACACACAGCACAAAGAAGTTACTGAGAATTCTTCTGTCTAGCATGAAATGAAGAAATCCCGTTTCCAACGAAGGCCTCAATGCGGTCCATATATCCACTTGCAGACTTTACAAACAGAGTGTTTCCAAACTGCTCTATGAAAAGAAAGGTTAAACTATGTGAGTTGAACGCACACATCACAAAGAATTTTCTGAGAATGATTCTGTCTGGTTTTTATTTGAAGATATTTCCCTTTCTACTGTTGGCATCAAATGGCTAGAAATCTCCACTTGCAAATTCCGCAAAAAGAGTGTTTCAAATCTGCTCTGCCTAAAGGGACGTTCCACTCTGTGAGTTGAATGCACACAACACAAAGAATTTACTGAGAATTCTTCCGTCTAGCATTCAATGAAGAAATCCCGTTTCCAACGAAGGCCTCAAACAGGTCCATATATCCACTTGCAGACTTTACAAACAGTGTGTTTCCAAACTCCTCTATGAAAAGAAAGGTTAAACTCTGTGAGTGGAACGCACACATCACAAAGCACTTTCTGAGAATGATTCTGTCTGGTTGTTATACGAAGATATTTCCTTTTCTGCAATTGTCCTCAAATCGCTTGAAATCTCCACCTGAAAATACCACAGCAAGAGTGTTTCAAATCTGCTCTCTCTAAAGCAAGGTTCAACTCTGTGAGTTGAATACACACAACACAAAAAAGTTACTGAGAACTCTTCTTAGTCTAGCATGAAAGGAAGAAACCCCGTTTGCAACGAAGGCCTCAAAGAGGTCCAAATATCCACTTGCAGACATAACAAGCAGAGTGTTTCTAAACTGCTCTAAGAAAAGAAAGGTTAAACTATGTGAGTTGAACGCACACATCACAAAGAATTTTCTGAGAATGATTCTGTCTGGTTTTTATTTGAAGATATTTCCCTTTCTACTGTTGGCATCAAATGGCTAGAAATCTCCACTTGCAAATTCCGCAAAAAGAGTGTTTCAAATCTGCTCTGTGTAAAGGGACGTTCCACTCTGTGAGTTGAATGCACACAACACAAAGAATTTACTGAGAATTCTTCCGTCTAGCATTCAATGAAGAAATCCCGTTTCCAACGAAGGCCTCAAACAGGTCCATATATCCAATTGCAGACTTTACAAACAGTGTGTTTCCAAACTCCTCTATGAAAAGAAAGGTTAAACTCTGTGAGTTGAACGCACACATCACAAAGCACTTTCTGAGAATGATTCTGTCTGGTTATTATACGAAGATATTTCCTTTTCTGCAATTGTCCTCAAATCGCTTGAAATCTCCACCTGAAAATGCCACAGCAAGAGTGTTTCAAATCTGCTCTCTCTAAAGCAAGGTTCAACTCTGTGAGTTGAATACACACAACACAAAAAAGTTACTGAGAACTCTTCTTAGTCTAGCATGAAAGGAAGAAACCCCGTTTGCAACGAAGGCCTCAAAGAGGTCCAAATATCCACTTGCAGACATAACAAGCAGAGTGTTTCTAAACTGCTCTAAGAAAAGAAAGGTTAAACTCTGTGAGTTGAAGGCACACATCACAAAGCACTTTCTGAGAATGATTCTGTCTAGTTTTTATTTGAAGATATTTCCTTTTCTACTGTTGGCATCAAATCGCTTGAAATCTCCACTTGCAAACTCCACAAAAAGAGTGTTTCAAATCTGCTCTGTGTAAAGGGACGTTCCACTCTGTGAGTTGAATACACACAGCACAAAGAAGTTACTGAGAATTCTTCTGTCTAGCATGAAATGAAGAAATCCCGTTTCCAACGAAGGCCTCAATGCGGTCCATATATCCACTTGCAGACTTTACAAACAGAGTGTTTCCAAACTGCTCTATGAAAAGAAAGGTTAAACTATGTGAGTTGAACGCACACATCACAAAGAATTTTCTGAGAATGATTGTCTGTCTGGCTTTTATTTGAAGATATTTCCCTTTCTACTGTTGGCATCAAATGGCTAGAAATCTCCACTTGCAAATTCCGCAAAAAGAGTGTTTCAAATCTGCTCTGTCTAAAGGGACGTTCCACTCTGTGAGTTGAATGCACACAACACAAAGAATTTACTGAGAATTCTTCCGTCTAGCATTCAATGAAGAAATCCCGTTTCCAACGAAGGCCTCAAACAGGTCCATATATCCACTTGCAGACTTTACAAACAGTGTGTTTCCAAACTCCTCTATGAAAAGAAAGGTTAAACTCTGTGAGTTGAACGCACACATCACAAAGCACTTTCTGAGAATGATTCTGTCTGGTTATTATACGAAGATATTTCCTTTTCTGCAATTGTCCTCAAATCGCTTGAAATCTCCACCTGAAAATGCCACAGCAAGAGTGTTTCAAATCTGCTCTCTCTAAAGCAAGGTTCAACTCTGTGAGTTGAATACACACAACACAAAAAAGTTACTGAGAACTCTTCTTAGTCTAGCATGAAAGGAAGAAACCCCGTTTGCAACGAAGGCCTCAAAGAGGTCCAAATATCCACTTGCAGACATAACAAGCAGAGTGTTTCTAAACTGCTCTAAGAAAAGAAAGGTTAAACTCTGTGAGTTGAAGGCACACATCACAAAGTAGTTTCTGAGAATGATTCTGTCTAGTTTTTATTTGAAGATATTTCCTTTTCTACTGTTGGCATCAAATCGCTTGAAATCTCCACTTGCAAACTCCACAAAAAGAGTGTTTCAAATCTGCTCTGTGCAAAGGGACGTTCCACTCTGTGAGTTGAATACACACAGCACAAAGAAGTTACTGAGAATTCTTCTGTCTAGCATGAAATGAAGAAATCCCGTTTCCAACGAAGGCCTCAATGCGGTCCATATATCCACTTGCAGACTTTACAAACAGAGTGTTTCCAAACTGCTCTATGAAAAGAAAGGTTAAACTATGTGAGTTGAACGCACACATCACAAAGAATTTTCTGAGAATGATTCTGTCTGGTTTTTATTTGAAGATATTTCCCTTTCTACTGTTGGCATCAAATGGCTAGAAATCTCCACTTGCAAATTCCGCAAAAAGAGTGTTTCAAATCTGCTCTGTCTAAAGGGACGTTCCACTCTGTGAGTTGAATGCACACAACACAAAGAATTTACTGAGAATTCTTCCGTCTAGCAGTCAATGAAGAAATCCCGTTTCCAACGAAGGTCTCAAACAGGTCCATATATCCACTTGCAGACTTTACAAACAGTGTGTTTCCAAACTCCTCTATGAAAAGAAAGGTTAAACTCTGTGAGTGGAACGCACACATCACAAAGCACTTTCTGAGAATGATTCTGTCTGGTTGTTATACGAAGATATTTCCTTTTCTGCAATTGTCCTCAAATCGCTTGAAATCTCCACCTGAAAATGCCACAGCAAGAGTGTTTCAAATCTGCTCTCTCTAAAGCAAGGTTCAACTCTGTGAGTTGAATACACACAACACAAAAAAGTTACTGAGAACTCTTCTTAGTCTAGCATGAAAGGAAGAAACCCCGTTTGCAACGAAGGCCTCAAAGAGGTCCAAATATCCACTTGCAGTCATAACAAGCAGAGTGTTTCTAAACTGCTCTAAGAAAAGAAAGGTTAAACTCTGTGAGTTGAAGGCACACATCACAAAGTAGTTTCTGAGAATGATTCTGTCTAGTTTTTATTTGAAGATATTTCCTTTTCTACTGTTGGCATCAAATCGCTTGAAATCTCCACTTGCAAACTCCACAAAAAGAGTGTTTCAAATCTGCTCTGTGCAAAGGGACGTTCCACTCTGTGAGTTGAATACACACAGCACAAAGAAGTTACTGAGAATTCTTCTGTCTAGCATGAAATGAAGAAATCCCGTTTCCAACGAAGGCCTCAATGCGGTCCATAGATCCACTTGCAGACTTTACAAACAGAGTGTTTCCAAACTGCTCTATGAAAAGAAAGGTTAAACTATGTGAGTTGAACGCACACATCACAAAGAATTTTCTGAGAATGATTCTGTCTGGTTTTTATTTGAAGATATTTCCCTTTCTACTGTTGGCATCAAATGGCTAGAAATCTCCACTTGCAAATTCCGCAAAAAGAGTGTTTCAAATCTGCTCTGTCTAAAGGGACGTTCCACTCTGTGAGTTGAATGCACACAACACAAAGAATTTACTGAGAATTCTTCCGCCTAGCATTCAATGAAGAAATCCCGTTTCCAAGGAAGGCCTCAAACAGGTCCATATATCCAATTGCAGACTTTACAAACAGTGTGTTTCCAAACTCCTCTATGAAAAGAAAGGTTAAACTCTGTGAGTTGAACGCACACATCACAAAGCACTTTCTGAGAATGATTCTGTCTGGTTATTATACGAAGATATTTCCTTTTCTGCAATTGTCCTCAAATCGCTTGAAATCTCCACCTGAAAATGCCACAGCAAGAGTGTTTCAAATCTGCTCTCTCTAAAGCAAGGTTCAACTCTGTGAGTTGAATACACACAACACAAAAAAAGTTACTGAGAACTCTTCTTAGTCTAGCATGAAAGGAAGAAACCCCGTTTGCAACGAAGGCCTCAAAGAGGTCCAAATATCCACTTGCAGACATAACAAGCAGAGTGTTTCTAAACTGCTCTAAGAAAAGAAAGGTTAAACTCTGTGAGTTGAAGGCACACATCACAAAGTAGTTTCTGAGAATGATTCTGTCTAGTTTTTATTTGAAGATATTTCCTTTTCTACTGTTGGCATCAAATCGCTTGAAATCTCCACTTGCAAATTCCACAAAAAGAGTGTTTCAAATCTGCTCTGTGCAAAGGGACGTTCCACTCTGTGAGTTGAATACACACAGCACAAAGAAGTTACTGAGAATTCTTCTGTCTAGCATGAAATGAAGAAATCCCGTTTCCAACGAAGGCCTCAATGCGGTCCATATATCCACTTGCAGACTTTACAAACAGAGTGTTTCCAAACTGCTCTATGAAAAGAAAGGTTAAACTATGTGAGTTGAACGCACACATCACAAAGAATTTTCTGAGAATGATTCTGTCTGGTTTTTATTTGAAGATATTTCCTTTTCTACTGTTGGCATCAAATCGCTTGAAATCTCCACTTGCAAACTCCACAAAAAGAGTGTTTCAAATCTGCTCTGTGCAAAGGGACGTTCCACTCTGTGAGTTGAATACACACAGCACAAAGAAGTTACTGAGAATTCTTCTGTCTAGCATGAAATGAAGAAATCCCGTTTCCAACGAAGGCCTCAATGCGGTCCATATATCCACTTGCAGACTTTACAAACAGAGTGTTTCCAAACTGCTCTATGAAAAGAAAGGTTAAACTATGTGAGTTGAACGCACACATCACAAAGAATTTTCTGAGAATGATTCTGCCTGGTTTTTATTTGAAGATATTTCCCTTTCTACTGTTGGCATCAAATGGCTAGAAATCTCCACTTGCAAATTCCGCAAAAAGAGTGTTTCAAATCTGCTCTGTCTAAAGGGACGTTCCACTCTGTGAGTTGAATGCACACAACACAAAGAATTTACTGAGAATTCTTCCGTCTAGCATTCAATGAAGAAATCCCGTTTCCAACGAAGGCCTCAAACAGGTCCATATATCCACTTGCAGACTTTACAAACAGTGTGTTTCCAAACTCCTCTATGAAAAGAAAGGTTAAACTCTGTGAGTGGAACGCACACATCACAAAGCACTTTCTGAGAATGATTCTGTCTGGTTATTATACGAAGATATTTCCTTTTCTGCAATTGTCCTCAAATCGCTTGAAATCTCCACCTGAAAATGCCACAGCAAGAGTGTTTCAAATCTGCTCTCTCTAAAGCAAGGTTCAACTCTGTGAGTTGAATACACACAACACAAAAAAGTTACTGAGAACTCTTCTTAGTCTAGCATGAAAGGAAGAAACCCCGTTTGCAACGAAGGCCTCAAAGAGGTCCAAATATCCACTTGCAGACATAACAAGCAGAGTGTTTCTAAAGTGCTCTAAGAAAAGAAAGGTTAAACTCTGTGAGTTGAAGGCACACATCACAAAGTAGTTTCTGAGAATGATTCTGTCTAGTTTTTATTTGAAGATATTTCCTTTTCTACTGTTGGCATCAAATCGCTTGAAATCTCCACTTGCAAACTCCACAAAAAGAGTGTTTCAAATCTGCTCTGTGTAAAGGGACGTTCCACTCTGTGAGTTGAATACACACAGCACAAAGAAGTTACTGAGAATTCTTCTGTCTAGCATGAAATGAAGAAATCCCGTTTCCAACGAAGGCCTCAATGCGGTCCATAGATCCACTTGCAGACTTTACAAACAGAGTGTTTCCAAACTGCTCTATGAAAAGAAAGGTTAAACTATGTGAGTTGAACGCACACATCACAAAGAATTTTCTGAGAATGATTCTGTCTGGTTTTTATTTGAAGATATTTCCCTTTCTACTGTTGGCATCAAATGGCTAGAAATCTCCACTTGCAAATTCCGCAAAAAGAGTGTTTCAAATCTGCTCTGTCTAAAGGGACGTTCCACTCTGTCAGTTGAATGCACACAACACAAAGAATTTACTGAGAATTCTTCCGCCTAGCATTCAATGAAGAAATCCCGTTTCCAACGAAGGCCTCAAACAGGTCCATATATCCAATTGCAGACTTTACAAACAGTGTGTTTCCAAACTCCTCTATGAAAAGAAAGGTTAAACTCTGTGAGTTGAACGCACACATCACAAAGCACTTTCTGAGAATGATTCTGTCTGGTTATTATACGAAGATATTTCCTTTTCTGCAATTGTCCTCAAATCGCTTGAAATCTCCACCTGAAAATGCCACAGCAAGAGTGTTTCAAATCTGCTCTCTCTAAAGCAAGGTTCAACTCTGTGAGTTGAATACACACAACACAAAAAAGTTACTGAGAACTCTTCTTAGTCTAGCATGAAAGGAAGAAACCCCGTTTGCAACGAAGGCCTCAAAGAGGTCCAAATATCCACTTGCAGACATAACAAGCAGAGTGTTTCTAAACTGCTCTAAGAAAAGAAAGGTTAAACTCTGTGAGTTGAAGGCACACATCACAAAGTAGTTTCTGAGAATGATTCTGTCTAGTTTTTATTTGAAGATATTTCCTTTTCTACTGTTGGCATCAAATCGCTTGAAATCTCCACTTGCAAACTCCACAAAAAGAGTGTTTCAAATCTGCTCTGTGTAAAGGGACGTTCCACTCTGTGAGTTGAATACACACAGCACAAAGAAGTTACTGAGAATTCTTCTGTCTAGCATGAAATGAAGAAATCCCGTTTCCAACGAAGGCCTCAATGCGGTCCATATATCCACTTGCAGACTTTACAAACAGAGTGTTTCCAAACTGCTCTATGAAAAGAAAGGTTAAACTATGTGAGTTGAACGCACACATCACAAAGAATTTTCTGAGAATGATTCTGTCTGGTTTTTATTTGAAGATATTTCCCTTTCTACTGTTGGCATCAAATGGCTAGAAATCTCCACTTGCAAATTCCGCAAAAAGAGTGTTTCAAATCTGCTCTGTCTAAAGGGACGTTCCACTCTGTGAGTTGAATGCACACAACACAAAGAATTTACTGAGAATTCTTCCGTCTAGCATTCAATGAAGAAATCCCGTTTCCAACGAAGGCCTCAAACAGGTCCATATATCCAATTGCAGACTTTACAAACAGTGTGTTTCCAAACTCCTCTATGAAAAGAAAGGTTAAACTCTGTGAGTTGAACGCACACATCACAAAGCACTTTCTGAGAATGATTCTGTCTGGTTATTATACGAAGATATTTCCTTTTCTGCAATTGTCCTCAAATCGCTTGAAATCTCCACCTGCAAATGCCACAGCAAGAGTGTTTCAAATCTGCTCTCTCTAAAGCAAGGTTCAACTCTGTGAGTTGAATACACACAACACAAAAAAGTTACTGAGAACTCTTCTTAGTCTAGCATTAAAGGAAGAAACCCCGTTTGCAACGAAGGCCTCAAAGAGGTCCAAATATCCACTTGCAGACATAACAAGCAGAGTGTTTCTAAACTGCTCTAAGAAAAGAAAGGTTAAACTCTGTGAGTTGAAGGCACACATCACAAAGTAGTTTCTGAGAATGATTTCTGTCTAGTTTTTATTTGAAGATATTTCCTTTTCTACTGTTGGCATCAAATCGCTTGAAATCTCCACTTGCAAACTCCACAAAAAGAGTGTTTCAAATCTGCTCTGTGCAAAGGGACGTTCCACTCTGTGAGTTGAATACACACAGCACAAAGAAGTTACTGAGAATTCTTCTGTCTAGCATGAAATGAAGAAATCCCGTTTCCAACGAAGGCCTCAATGCGGTCCATATATCCACTTGCAGACTTTACAAACAGAGTGTTTCCAAACTGCTCTATGAAAAGAAAGGTTAAACTATGTGAGTTGAACGCACACATCACAAAGAATTTTCTGAGAATGATTCTGTCTGGTTTTTATTTGAAGATATTTCCCTTTCTACTGTTGGCATCAAATGGCTAGAAATCTCCACTTGCAAATTCCGCAAAAAGAGTGTTTCAAATCTGCTCTGTCTAAAGGGACAGTTCCACTCTGTCAGTTGAATGCACACAACACAAAGAATTTACTGAGAATTCTTCCGTCTAGCATTCAATGAAGAAATCCCGTTTCCAAAGAAGGCCTCAAACAGGTCCATATATCCAATTGCAGACTTTACAAACAGTGTGTTTCCAAACTCCTCTATGAAAAGAAAGGTTAAACTCTGTGAGTTGAACGCACACATCACAAAGCACTTTCTGAGAATGATTCTGTCTGGTTATTATACGAAGATATTTCCTTTTCTGCAATTGTCCTCAAATCGCTTGAAATCTCCACCTGAAAATGCCACAGCAAGAGTGTTTCAAATCTGCTCTCTCTAAAGCAAGGTTCAACTCTGTGAGTTGAATACACACAACACAAAAAAGTTACTGAGAACTCTTCTTAGTCTAGCATGAAAGGAAGAAACCCCGTTTGCAACGAAGGCCTCAAAGAGGTCCAAATATCCACTTGCAGACATAACAAGCAGAGTGTTTCTAAACTACTCTAAGAAAAGAAAGGTTAAACTCTGTGAGTTGAAGGCACACATCACAAAGTAGTTTCTGAGAATGATTCTGTCTAGTTTTTATTTGAAGATATTTCCTTTTCTACTGCTGGCATCAAATCGCTTGAAATCTCCACTTGCAAACTCCACAAAAAGAGTGTTTCAAATCTGCTCTGTGTAAAGGGACGTTCCACTCTGTGAGTTGAATACACACAGCACAAAGAAGTTACTGAGAATTCTTCTGTCTCGCATGAAATGAAGAAATCCCGTTTCCAACGAAGGCCTCAATGCGGTCCATATATCCACTTGCAGACTTTACAAACAGAGTGTTTCCAAACTGCTCTATGAAAAGAAAGGTTAAACTATGTGAGTTGAACGCACACATCACAAAGAATTTTCTGAGAATGATTCTGTCTGGTTTTTATTTGAAGATATTTCCCTTTCTACTGTTGGCATCAAATGGCTAGAAATCTCCACTTGCAAATTCCGCAAAAAGAGTGTTTCAAATCTGCTCTGTCTAAAGGGACGTTCCACTCTGTCAGTTGAATGCACACAACACAAAGAATTTACTGAGAATTCTTCCGTCTAGCATTCAATGAAGAAATCCCGTTTCCAACGAAGGCCTCAAACAGGTCCATATATCCAATTGCAGACTTTACAAACAGTGTGTTTCCAAACTCCTCTATGAAAAGAAAGGTTAAACTCTGTGAGTTGAACGCACACATCACAAAGCACTTTCTGAGAATGATTCTGTCTGGTTATTATACGAAGATATTTCCTTTTCTGCAATTGTCCTCAAATCGCTTGAAATCTCCACCTGAAAATGCCACAGCAAGAGTGTTTCAAATCTGCTCTCTCTAAAGCAAGGTTCAACTCTGTGAGTTGAATACACACAACACAAAAAAGTTACTGAGAACTCTTCTTAGTCTAGCATGAAAGGAAGAAACCCCGTTTGCAACGAAGGCCTCAAAGAGGTCCAAATATCCACTTGCAGACATAACAAGCAGAGTGTTTCTAAAGTGCTCTAAGAAAAGAAAGGTTAAACTCTGTGAGTTGAAGGCACACATCACAAAGTAGTTTCTGAGAATGATTCTGTCTAGTTTTTATTTGAAGATATTTCCTTTTCTACTGTTGGCATCAAATCGCTTGAAATCTCCACTTGCAAACTCCCCAAAAAGAGTGTTTCAAATCTGCTCTGTGTAAAGGGACGTTCCACTCTGTGAGTTGAATACACACAGCACAAAGAAGTTACTGAGAATTTTTCTGTCTAGCATGAAATGAAGAAATCCCGTTTCCAACGAAGGCCTCAATGCGGTCCATATATCCACTTGCAGACTTTACAAACAGAGTGTTTCCAAACTGCTCTATGAAAAGAAAGGTTAAACTATGTGAGTTGAACGCACACATCACAAAGAATTTTCTGAGAATGATTCTGTCTGGTTTTTATTTGAAGATATTTCCCTTTCTACTGTTGGCATCAAATGGCTAGAAATCTCCACTTGCAAATTCCGCAAAAAGAGTGTTTCAAATCTGCTCTGTCTAAAGGGACGTTCCACTCTGTGAGTTGAATGCACACAACACAAAGAATTTACTGAGAATTCTTCCGTCTAGCATTCAATGAAGAAATCCCGTTTCCAACGAAGGCCTCAAACAGGTCCATATATCCACTTGCAGTCTTTACAAACAGTGTGTTTCCAAACTCCTCTATGAAAAGAAAGGTTAAACTCTGTGAGTTGAACGCACACATCACAAAGCACTTTCTGAGAATGATTCTGTCTGGTTGTTATACGAAGATATTTCCTTTTCTGCAATTGTCCTCAAATCGCTTGAAATCTCCACCTGAAAATGCCACAGCAAGAGTGTTTCAAATCTGCTCTCTCTAAAGCAAGGTTCAACTCTGTGAGTTGAATACACACAACACAAAAATGTTACTGAGAACTCTTCTTAGTCTAGCATGAAAGGAAGAAACCCCGTTTGCAACGAAGGCCTCAAAGAGGTCCAAATATCCACTTGCAGACATAACAAGCAGAGTGTTTCTAAACTGCTCTAAGAAAAGAAAGGTTAAACTCTGTGAGTTGAAGGCACACATCACAAAGTAGTTTCTGAGAATGATTCTGTCTAGTTTTTATTTGAAGATATTTCCTTTTCTACTGTTGGCATCAAATCGCTTGAAATCTCCACTTGCAAACTCCACAAAAAGAGTGTTTCAAATCTGCTCTGTGTAAAGGGACGTTCCACTCTGTGAGTTGAATACACACAGCACAAAGAAGTTACTGAGAATTCTTCTGTCTAGCATGAAATGAAGAAATCCCGTTTCCAACGAAGGCCTCAATGCGGTCCATATATCCACTTGCAGACTTTACAAACAGAGTGTTTCCAAACTGCTCTATGAAAAGAAAGGTTAAACTATGTGAGTTGAACGCACACATCACAAAGAATTTTCTGAGAATGATTCTGTCTGGTTTTTATTTGAAGATATTTCCCTTTCTACTGTTGGCATCAAATGGCTAGAAATCTCCACTTGCAAATTCCGCAAAAAGAGTGTTTCAAATCTGCTCTGTCTAAAGGGACGTTCCACTCTGTCAGTTGAATGCACACAACACAAAGAATTTACTGAGAATTCTTCCGTCTAGCATTCAATGAAGAAATCCCGTTTCCAACGAAGGGCTCAAACAGGTCCATATATCCACTTGCAGACTTTACAAACAGTGTGTTTCCAAACTCCTCTATGAAAAGAAAGGTTAAACTCTGTGAGTTGAACGCACACATCACAAAGCACTTCCTGAGAATGATTCTGTCTGGTTATTATACGAAGATATTTCCTTTTCTGCAATTGTCCTCAAATCGCTTGAAATCTCCACCTGAAAATGCCACAGCAGGAGTGTTTCAAATCTGCTCTCTCTAAAGCAAGGTTCAACTCTGTGAGTTGAATACACACAACACAAAAAAGTTACTGAGAACTCTTCTTAGTCTAGCATGAAAGGAAGAAACCCCGTTTGCAACGAAGGCCTCAAAGAGGTCCAAATATCCACTTGCAGACATAACAAGCAGAGTGTTTCTAAACTGCTCTAAGAAAAGAAAGGTTAAACTCTGTGAGTTGAAGGCACACATCACAAAGTAGTTTCTGAGAATGATTCTGTCTAGTTTTTATTTGAAGATATTTCCTTTTCTACTGTTGGCATCAAATCGCTTGAAATCTCCACTTGCAAACTCCACAAAAAGAGTGTTTCAAATCTGCTCTGTGTAAAGGGACGTTCCACTCTGTGAGTTGAATACACACAGCACAAAGAAGTTACTGAGAATTCTTCTGTCTAGCATGAAATGAAGAAATCCCGTTTCCAACGAAAGCCTCAATGCGGTCCATATATCCACTTGCAGACTTTACAAACAGAGTGTTTCCAAACTGCTCTATGAAAAGAAAGGTTAAACTATGTGAGTTGAACGCACACATCACAAAGAATTTTCTGAGAATGATTCTGTCTGGTTTTTATTTGAAGATATTTCCCTTTCTACTGTTGGCATCAAATGGCTAGAAATCTCCACTTGCAAATTCCGCAAAAAGAGTGTTTCAAATCTGCTCTGTCTAAAGGGACGTTCCACTCTGTCAGTTGAATGCACACAACACAAAGAATTTACTGAGAATTCTTCCGTCTAGCATTCAATGAAGAAATCCCGTTTCCAACGAAGGCCTCAAACAGGTCCATATATCCACTTGCAGACTTTACAAACAGTGTGTTTCCAAACTCCTCTATGAAAAGAAAGGTTAAACTCTGTGAGTTGAACGCACACATCACAAAGCACTTTCTGAGAATGATTCTGTCTGGTTGTTATACGAAGATATTTCCTTTTCTGCAATTGTCCTCAAATCGCTTGAAATCTCCACCTGAAAATGCCACAGCAAGAGTGTTTCAAATCTGCTCTCTCTAAAGCAAGGTTCAACTCTGTGAGTTGAATACACACAACACAAAAAAGTTACTGAGAACTCTTCTTAGTCTAGCATTAAAGGAAGAAACCCCGTTTGCAACGAAGGCCTCAAAGAGGTCCAAATATCCACTTGCAGACATAACAAGCAGAGTGTTTCTAAACTGCTCTAAGAAAAGAAAGGTTAAACTCTGTGAGTTGAAGGCACACATCACAAAGTAGTTTCTGAGAATGATTCTGTCTAGTTTTTATTTGAAGATATTTCCTTTTCTACTGTTGGCATCAAATCGGCTTGAAATCTCCACTTGCAAACTCCACAAAAAGAGTGTTTCAAATCTGCTCTGTGTAAAGGGACGTTCCACTCTGTGAGTTGAATACACACAGCACAAAGAAGTTACTGAGAATTCTTCTGTCTAGCATGAAATGAAGAAATCCCGTTTCCAACGAAGGCCTCAATGCGGTCCATATATCCACTTGCAGACTTTACAAACAGAGTGTTTCCAAACTGCTCTATGAAAAGAAAGGTTAAACTATGTGAGTTGAACGCACACATCACAAAGAATTTTCTGAGAATGATTCTGTCTGGTTTTTATTTGAAGATATTTCCCTTTCTACTGTTGGCATCAAATGGCTAGTAAATCTCCACTTGCAAATTCCGCAAAAAGAGTGTTTCAAATCTGCTCTGTCTAAAGGGACGTTCCACTCTGTGAGTTGAATGCACACCACACAAAGAATTTACTGAGAATTCTTCCGTCTAGCATTCAATGAAGAAATCCCGTTTCCAACGAAGGCCTCAAACAGGTCCATATATCCACTTGCAGAGTTTACAAACAGTGTGTTTCCAAACTCCTCTATGAAAAGAAAGGTTAAACTCTGTGAGTGGAACGCACACATCACAAAGCACTTTCTCAGAATGATTCTGTCTGGTTATTATACGAAGATATTTCCTTTTCTGCAATTGTCCTCAAAACGCTTGAAATCTCCACCTGAAAATGCCACAGCAAGAGTGTTTCAAATCTGCTCTCTCTAAAGCAAGGTTCAACTCTGTGAGTTGAATACACACAACACAAAAAAGTTACTGAGAACTCTTCTTAGTCTAGCATGTAAAGGAAGAAACCCCGTTTGCAACGAAGGCCTCAAAGAGGTCCAAATATCCACTTGCAGACATAACAAGCAGAGTGTTTCTAAAGTGCTCTAAGAAAAGAAAGGTTAAACTCTGTGAGTTGAAGGCACACATCACAAAGTAGTTTCTGAGAATGATTCTGTCTAGTTTTTATTTGAAGATATTTCCTTTTCTACTGTTGGAATCAAATCGCTTGAAATCTCCACTTGCAAATTCCACAAAAAGAGTGTTTCAAATCTGCTCTGTGCAAAGGGACGTTCCACTCTGTGAGTTGAATACACACAGCACAAAGAAGTTACTGAGAATTCTTCTGTCTAGCATGAAATGAAGAAATCCCGTTTCCAACGAAGGCCTCAATGCGGTCCATATATCCACTTGCAGACTTTACAAACAGAGTGTTTCCAAACTGCTCTATGAAAAGAAAGGTTAAACTATGTGAGTTGAACGCACACATCACAAAGAATTTTCTGAGAATGATTCTGTCTGGTTTTTATTTGAAGATATTTCCCTTTCTACTGTTGGCATCAAATGGCTAGAAATCTCCACTTGCAAATTCCGCAAAAAGAGTGTTTCAAATCTGCTCTGTCTAAAGGGACGTTCCACTCTGTGAGTTGAATGCACACAACACAAAGAATTTACTGAGAATTCTTCTGTCTAGCATTCAATGAAGAAATCCCGTTTCCAACGAAGGCCTCAAACAGGTCCATATATCCACTTGCAGACTTTACAAACAGTGTGTTTCCAAACTCCTCTATGAAAAGAAAGGTTAAACTCTGTGAGTTGAACGCACACATCACAAAGCACTTTCTGAGAATGATTCTGTCTGGTTATTATACGAAGATATTTCCTTTTCTGCAATTGTCCTCAAATCGCTTGAAATCTCCACCTGAAAATGCCACAGCAAGAGTGTTTCAAATCTGCTCTCTCTAAAGCAAGGTTCAACTCTGTGAGTTGAATACACACAACACAAAAAAGTTACTGAGAACTCTTCTTAGTCTAGCATGAAAGGAAGAAACCCCGTTTGCAACGAAGGCCTCAAAGAGGTCCAAATATCCACTTGCAGACATAACAAGCAGAGTGTTTCTAAACTGCTCTAAGAAAAGAAAGGTTAAACTCTGTGAGTTGAAGGCACACATCACAAAGTAGTTTCTGAGAATGGTTCTGTCTAGTTTTTATTTGAAGATATTTCCTTTTCTACTGTTGGCATCAAATCGCTTGAAATCTCCACTTGCAAACTCCACAAAAAGAGTGTTTCAAATCTGCTCTGTGCAAACGGACGTTCCAGTCTGTGAGTTGAATACACACAGCACAGAGAAGTTACTGAGAATTCTTCTGTCTAGCATGAAATGAAGAAATCCCGTTTCCAACGAAGGCCTCAATGCGGTCCATATATCCACTTGCAGACTTTACAAACAGAGTGTTTCCAAACTGCTCTATGAAAAGAAAGGTTAAACTATGTGAGTTGAACGCACACATCACAAAGAATTTTCTGAGAATGATTCTGTCTGGTTTTTATTTGAAGATATTTCCCTTTCTACTGTTGACATCAAATGGCTAGAAATCTCCACTGGCAAATTCCGCAAAAAGAGTGTTTCAAATCTGCTCTGTCTAAAGGGACGTTCCACTCTGTGAGTTCAATGCACACAACACAAAGAATTTACTGAGAATTCTTCCGTCTAGCATTCAATGAAGAAATCCCGTTTCCAACGGAGGCCTCAAACAGGTCCATATATCCAATTGCAGACTTTACAAACAGTGTGTTTCCAAGCTCCTCTATGAAAAGAATGGTTAAACTCTGTGAGTTGAACGCACACATCACAAAGCACTTTCTGAGAATGATTCTGTCTGGTTATTATACGAAGATATTTCCTTTTCTGCAATTGTCCTCAAATCGCTTGAAATCTCCACCTGAAAATTCCACAGCGAGAGTGTTTCAAATCTGCTCTCTCTAAAGCAAGGTTCAACTCTGTGAGTTGAATACACACAACACAAAAAAGTTACTGAGAACTCTTCTTAGTCTAGCATTAAAGGAAGAAACCCCGTTTGCAACGAAGGCCTCAAAGAGGTCCAAATATCCACTTGCAGACATAACAAGCAGAGTGTTTCTAAACTGCTCTAAGAAAAGAAAGGTTAAACTCTGTGAGTTGAAGGCACACATCACAAAGTAGTTTCTGAGAATGATTCTGTCTAGTTTTTATTTGAAGATATTTCCTTTTCTACTGTTGGCATCAAATCGCTTGAAATCTCCACTTGCAAACTCCACAAAAAGAGTGTTTCAAATCTGCTCTCTGTAAAGGGACGTTCCACTCTGTGAGTTGAATACAGACAGCACAAAGAAGTTACTGAGAATTCTTCTGTCTAGCATGAAATGAAGAAATCCCGTTTCCAACGAAGGCCTCAATGCGGTCCATATATCCACTTGCAGACTTTACAAACAGAGTGTTTCCAAACTGCTCTATGAAAAGAAAGGTTAAACTATGTGAGTTGAACGCACACATCACAAAGAATTTTCTGAGAATGATTCTGCCTGGTTTTTATTTGAAGTATATTTCCCTTTCTACTGTTGGCATCAAATGGCTAGAAATCTCCACTTGCAAATTCCGCAAAAAGAGTGTTTCAAATCTGCTCTGTCTAAAGGGACGTTCCACTCTGTGAGTTGAATGCACACAACACAAAGAATTTACTGAGAATTCTTCCGTCTAGCATTCAATGAAGAAATCCCGTTTCCAACGAAGGCCTCAAACAGGTCCATATATCCACTTGCAGACTTTACAAACAGTGTGTTTCCAAACTCCTCTATGAAAAGAAAGGTTAAACTCTGTGAGTGGAACGCACACATCACAAAGCGCTTTCTGAGAATGATTCTGTCTGGTTATTATACGAAGATATTTCCTTTTCTGCAATTGTCCTCAAAACGCTTGAAATCTCCACCTGAAAATGCCACAGCAAGAGTGTTTCAAATCTGCTCTCTCTAAAGCAAGGTTCAACTCTGTGAGTTGAATACACACAACACAAAAAAGTTACTGAGAACTCTTCTTAGTCTAGCATTAAAGGAAGAAACCCCGTTTGCAACGAAGGCCTCAAAGAGGTCCAAATATCCACTTGCAGACATAACAAGCAGAGTGTTTGTAAACTGCTCTAAGAAAAGAAAGGTTAAACTCTGTGAGTTGAAGGCACACATCACAAAGTAGTTTCTGAGAATGATTCTGTCTAGTTTTTATTTGAAGATATTTCCTTTTCTAATGTTGGCATCAAATCGCTTGAAATCTCCACTTGCAAACTCCACAAAAAGAGTGTTTCAAATGTGCTCTGTGTAAAGGGACGTTCCACTCTGTGAGTTGAATACACACAGCACAAAGAAGTTACTGAGAATTCTTCTGTCTAGCATGGAATGAAGAAATCCCGTTTCCAACGAAGGCCTCAATGCGGTCCATATATCCACTTGCAGACTTTACAAACAGAGTGTTTCCAAACTGCTCTATGAAAAGAAAGGTTAAACTATGTGAGTTGAACGCACACATCACAAAGAATTTTCTGAGAATGATTCTGTCTGGTTTTTATTTGAAGATATTTCCCTTTCTACTGTTGGCATCAAATGGCTAGAAATCTCCACTTGCAAATTCCGCAAAAAGAGTGTTTCAAATCTGCTCTGTCTAAAGGGACGTTCCACTCTGTGAGTTGAATGCACACAACACAAAGAATTTACTGAGAATTCTTCCGTCTAGCATTCAATGAAGAAATCCCGTTTCCAACGAAGGCCTCAAACAGGTCCATATATCCACTTGCAGACTTTACAAACAGTGTGTTTCCAAACTCCTCTATGAAAAGAAAGGTTAAACTCTGTGAGTTGAACGCACACATCACAAAGCACTTTCTGAGAATGATTCTGTCTGGTTATTATACGAAGATATTTCCTTTTCTGCAATTGTCCTCAAATCGCTTGAAATCTCCACCTGAAAATGCCACAGCAGGAGTGTTTCAAATCTGCTCTCTCTAAAGCAAGGTTCAACTCTGTGAGTTGAATACACACAACACAAAAAAGTTACTGAGAACTCTTCTTAGTCTAGCATGAAAGGAAGAAACCCCGTTTGCAACGAAGGCCTCAAAGAGGTCCAAATATCCACTTGCAGACATAACAAGCAGAGTGTTTCTAAACTGCTCTAAGAAAAGAAAGGTTAAACTCTGTGAGTTGAAGGCACACATCACAAAGTAGTTTCTGAGAATGATTCTGTCTAGTTTTTATTTGAAGATATTTCCTTTTCTACTGTTGGCATCAAATCGCTTGAAATCTCCACTTGCAAACTCCACAAAAAGAGTGTTTCAAATCTGCTCTGTGCAAAGGGACGTTCCACTCTGTGAGTTGAATACACACAGCACAAAGAAGTTACTGAGAATTCTTCTGTCTAGCATGAAATGAAGAAATCCCGTTTCCAACGAAGGCCTCAATGCGGTCCATATATCCACTTGCAGACTTTACAAACAGAGTGTTTCCAAACTGCTCTATGAAAAGAAAGGTTAAACTATGTGAGTTGAACGCACACATCACAAAGAATTTTCTGAGAATGATTCTGTCTGGTTTTTATTTGAAGATATTTCCCTTTCTACTGTTGGCATCAAATGGCTAGAAATCTCCACTTGCAAATTCCGCAAAAAGAGTGTTTCAAATCTGCTCTGTCTAAAGGGACGTTCCACTCTGTGAGTTGAATGCACACAACACAAAGAATTTACTGAGAATTCTTCCTTCTAGCATTCAATGAAGAAATCCCGTTTCCAACGAAGGCCTCAAACAGGTCCATATATCCACTTGCAGACTTTACAAACAGTGTGTTTCCAAACTCCTCTATGAAAAGAAAGGTTAAACTCTGTGAGTTGAACACACACATCACAAAGCACTTTCTGAGAATGATTCTGTCTGGTTATTATACGAAGATATTTCCTTTTCTGCAATTGTCCTCAAATCGCTTGAAATCTCCACCTGAAAATGCCACAGCAAGAGTGTTTCAAATCTGCTCTCCCTAAAGCAAGGTTCAACTCTGTGAGTTGAATACACACAACACAAAAAAGTTACTGAGAACTCTTCTTAGTCTAGCATTAAAGGAAGAAACCCCGTTTGCAACGAAGGCCTCAAAAAGGTCCAAATATCCACTTGCAGACATAACAAGCAGAGTGTTTCTAAACTGCTCTAAGAAAAGAAAGGTTAAACTCTGTGAGTTGAAGGGACACATCACAAAGTAGTTTCTGAGAATGATTCTGTCTAGTTTTTATTTGAAGATATTTCCTTTTCTACTGTTGGCATCAAATCGCTTGAAATCTCCACTTGCAAACTCCACAAAAAGAGTGTTTCAAATCTGCTCTGTGCAAAGGGACGTTCCACTCTGTGAGTTGAATACACACAGCACAAAGAAGTTACTGAGAATTCTTCTGTCTAGCATGAAATGAAGAAATCCCGTTTCCAACGAAGGCCTCAATGCGGTCCATATATCCACTTGCAGACTTTACAAACAGAGTGTTTCCAAACTGCTCTATGAAAAGAAAGGTTAAACTATGTGAGTTGAACGCACACATCACAAAGAATTTTCTGAGAATGATTCTGTCTGGTTTTTATTTGAAGATATTTCCCTTTCTACTGTTGGCATCAAATGGCTAGAAATCTCCACTTGCAAATTCCGCAAAAAGAGTGTTTCAAATCTGCTCTGTCTAAAGGGACGTTCCACTCTGTGAGTTGAATGCACACAACACAAAGAATTTACTGAGAATTCTTCCGTCTAGCATGCAATGAAGAAATCCCGTTTCCAACGAAGGCCTCAAACAGGTCCATATATCCAATTGCAGACTTTACAAACAGTGTGTTTCCAAACTCCTCTATGAAAAGAAAGGTTAAACTCTGTGAGTTGAACGCACACATCACAAAGCACTTTCTGAGAATGATTCTGTCTGGTTATTATACGAAGATATTTCCTTTTCTGCAATTGTCCTCAAATCGCTTGAAATCTCCACCTGAAAATGCCACAGCAAGAGTGTTTCAAATCTGCTCTCTCTAAAGCAAGGTTCAACTCTGTGAGTTGAATACACACAACACAAAAAAGTTACTGAGAACTCTTCTTAGTCTAGCATGAAAGGAAGAAACCCCGTTTGCAACGAAGGCCTCAAAGAGGTCCAAATATCCACTTGCAGACATAACAAGCAGAGTGTTTCTAAACTGCTCTAAGAAAAGAAAGGTTAAACTCTGTGAGTTGAAGGCACACATCACAAAGTAGTTTCTGAGAATGATTCTGTCTAGTTTTTATTTGAAGATATTTCCTTTTCTACTGTTGGCATCAAATCGCTTGAAATCTCCACTTGCAAACTCCACCAAAAAAGAGTGTTTCAAATCTGCTCTGTGCAAAGGGACGTTCCACTCTGTGAGTTGAATACACACAGCACAAAGAAGTTACTGAGAATTCTTCTGTCTAGCATGAAATGAAGAAATCCCGTTTCCAACGAAGGCCTCAATGCGGTCCATATATCCACTTGCAGACTTTACAAACAGAGTGTTTCCAAACTGCTCTATGAAAAGAAAGGTTAAACTATGTGAGTTGAACGCACACATCACAAAGAATTTTCTGAGAATGATTCTGTCTGGTTTTTATTTGAAGATATTTCCCTTTCTACTGTTGGCATCAAATGGCTAGAAATCTCCACTTGCAAATTCCGCAAAAAGAGTGTTTCAAATCTGCTCTGTCTAAAGGGACGTTCCACTCTGTGAGTTGAATGCACACCACACAAAGAATTTACTGAGAATTCTTCCGTCTAGCATTCAATGAAAAAATCCCCTTTCCAACGAAGGCCTCAAACAGGTCCATATATCCACTTGCAGACTTTACAAACAGTGTGTTTCCAAACTCCTGTATGAAAAGAAAGGTTAAACTCTGTGAGTGGAACGCACACATCACAAAGCACTTTCTGAGAATGATTCTGTCTGGTTATTATACGAAGATATTTCTTTTTCTGCAATTGTCCTCAAATCGCTTGAAATCTCCACCTGAAAATGCCACAGCAAGAGTGTTTCAAATCTGCTCTCTCTAAAGCAAGGTTCAACTCTGTGAGTTGAATACACACAACACAAAAAAGTTACTGAGAACTCTTCTTAGTCTAGCATTAAAGGAAGAAACCCCGTTTGCAACGAAGGCCTCAAAGAGGTCCAAATATCCACTTGCAGACATAACAAGCAGAGTGTTTCTAAACTGCTCTAAGAAAAGAAAGGTTAAACTCTGTGAGTTGAAGGCACACATCACAAAGTAGTTCCTGAGAATGATTCTGTCTAGTTTTTATTTGAAGATATTTCCTTTTCTACTGTTGGCATCAAATCGCTTGAAATCTCCACTTGCAAACTCCACAAAAAGAGTGTTTCAAATCTGCTCTGTGCAAAGGGACGTTCCACTCTGTGAGTTGAATACACACAGCACAAAGAAGTTACTGAGAATTCTTCTGTCTAGCATGAAATGAAGAAATCCCGTTTCCAACGAAGGCCTCAATGCGGTCCATATATCCACTTGCAGACTTTACAAACAGAGTGTTTCCAAACTGCTCTATGAAAAGAAAGGTTAAACTATGTGAGTTGAACGCACACATCACAAAGAATTTTCTGAGAATGATTCTGTCTGGTTTTTATTTGAAGATATTTCCCTTTCTACTGTTGGCATCAAATGGCTAGAAATCTACACTTGCAAATTCCGCAAAAAGAGTGTTTCAAATCTGCTCTCTCTAAAGGGACGTTCCACTCTGTCAGTTGAATGCACACAACACAAAGAATTTACTGAGAATTCTTCCGTCTAGCATTCAATGAAGAAATCCCGTTTCCAACGAAGGCCTCAAACAGGTCCATATATCCAATTGCAGACTTTACAAACAGTGTGTTTCCAAACTCCTCTATGAAAAGAAAGGTTAAACTCTGTGAGTTGAACGCACACATCACAAAGCACTTTCTGAGAATGATTCTGTCTGGTTATTATACGAAGATATTTCCTTTTCTGCAATTGTCCTCAAATCGCTTGAAATCTCCACCTGAAAATGCCACAGCAAGAGTGTTTCAAATCTGCTCTCTCTAAAGCAAGGTTCAACTCTGTGAGTTGAATACACACAACACAAAAAAGTTACTGAGAACTCTTCTTAGTCTAGCATGAAAGGAAGAAACGCCGTTTGCAACGAAGGCCTCAAAGAGGTCCAAATATCCACTTGCAGACATAACAAGCAGAGTGTTTCTAAACTGCTCTAAGAAAAGAAAGGTTAAACACTGTGAGTTGAAGGCACACATCACAAAGTAGTTTCCTGAGAATGATTCTGTCTAGTTTTTATTTGAAGATATGTCCTTTTCTACTGTTGGCATCAAATCGCTTGAAATCTCCATTTGCAAATTCCAGAAAAAGAAAGTTTCAAATCTACTCTGTCTAAAGGGCCGTTCCACTCTGTGAGTTGAATGCACACAACACAAAGAATTTCCTGAGAATTCTTCTGTCTAGCATGAAATGAAGAAATCCCGTTTCCAACGAAGGCCTCAATGCGGTCCATAGATCCACTTGCAGACTTTACAAACAGAGTGTTTCCAAACTGCTCTATGAAAAGAAAGGTTAAACTATGTGAGTTGAACGCACACATCACAAAGAATTTTCTGAGAATGATTCTGTCTGGTTTTTATTTGAAGATATTTCCCTTTCTACTGTTTGCATCAATTGGCTAGAAATCTCCACTTGCAAATTCCGCAAAAAAGAGTGTTTCAAATCTGCTCTGTCTAAAGGGACGTTCCACTCTGTGAGTTGAAGGCACACAGCACAAAGAATTTACTGAGAATTCTTCCGTCTAGCATTATATGATAAAATCCCCTTTCCAACGAAGGCCTCAAACAGGTCCATATATCCAGTTGCAGACTTTACAAACAGTGTGTTTCCAAACTCCTCTATGAAAAGAAAGGTTAAACTCTGTGAGTTGAACGCACACATCACAAAGCACTTTCTGAGAATGATTCTGTCTGGTTATTATACGAAGATATTTCCTTTTCTGCAATTGTCCTCAAATCGCTTGAAATCTCCACCTGAAAATGCCACAGCAAGAGTGTTTCAAATCTGCTCTCTCTAAAGCAAGGTTCAACTCTGTGAGTTGAATACACACAACACAAAAAAGTTACTGAGAACTCTTTCTTAGTCTAGCATGAAAGGAAGAAACCCCGTTTGCAACGAAGGCCTCAAAGAGGTCCAAATATCCACTTGCAGACATAACAAGCAGAGTGTTTCTAAACTGCTCTAAGAAAAGAAAGGTTAAACTCTGTGAGTTGAAGGCACACATCACAAAGTAGTTTCTGAGAATGATTCTGTCTAGTTTTTATTTGAAGATATTTCCTTTTCTACTGTTGGCATCAAATCGCTTGAAATCTCCACTTGCAAACTCCACAAAAAGAGTGTTTCAAATCTGCTCTGTGCAAAGGGACGTTCCACTCTGTGAGTTGAATACACACAGCACAAAGAAGTTACTGAGAATTCTTCTGTCTAGCATGAAATGAAGAAATCCCGTTTCCAACGAAGGCCTCAATGCGGTCCATATATCCACTTGCAGACTTTACAAACAGAGTGTTTCCAAACTGCTCTATGAAAAGAAAGGTTAAACTATGTGAGTTGAACGCACACATCACAAAGAATTTTCTGAGAATGATTCTGTCTGGTTTTTATTTGAAGATATTTCCCTTTCTACTGTTGGCATCAAATGGCTAGAAATCTCCACTTGCAAATTCCGCAAAAAGAGTGTTTCAAATCTGCTCTGTCTAAAGGGACGTTCCACTCTGTGAGTTGAATGCACACAACACAAAGAATTTACTGAGAATTCTTCCGTCTAGCATGCAATGAAGAAATCCCGTTTCCAACGAAGGCCTCAAACAGGTCCATATATCCAATTGCAGACTTTACAAACAGTGTGTTTCCAAACTCCTCTATGAAAAGAAAGGTTAAACTCTGTGAGTTGAACGCACACATCACAAAGCACTTTCTGAGAATGATTCTGTCTGGTTATTATACGAAGATATTTCCTTTTCTGCAATTGTCCTCAAATCGCTTGAAATCTCCACCTGAAAATGCCACAGCAAGAGTGTTTCAAATCTGCTCTCTCTAAAGCAAGGTTCAACTCTGTGAGTTGAATACACACAACACAAAAAAGTTACTGAGAACTCTTCTTAGTCTAGCATGAAAGGAAGAAACCCCGTTTGCAACGAAGGCCTCAAAGAGGTCCAAATATCCACTTGCAGACATAACAAGCAGAGTGTTTCTAAACTGCTCTAAGAAAAGAAAGGTTAAACTCTGTGAGTTGAAGGCACACATCACAAAGTAGTTTCTGAGAATGATTCTGTCTAGTTTTTATTTGAAGATATTTCCTTTTCTACTGTTGGCATCAAATCGCTTGAAATCTCCACTTGCAAATTCCACAAAAAGAGTGTTTCAAATCTGCTCTGTGCAAAGGGACGTTCCACTCTGTGAGTTGAATACACACAGCACAAAGAAGTTACTGAGAATTCTTCTGTCTAGCATGAAATGAAGAAATCCCGTTTCCAACGAAGGCCTCAATACGGTCCATATATCCACTTGCAGACTTTACAAACAGAGTGTTTCCAAACTGCTCTATGAAAAGAAAGGTTAAACTATGTGAGTTGAACGCACACATCACAAAGAATTTTCTGAGAATGATTCTGTCTGGTTTTTATTTGAAGATATTTCCCTTTCTACTGTTGGCATCAAATGGCTAGAAATCTCCACTTGCAAATTCCGCAAAAAGAGTGTTTCAAATCTGGTCTGTCTAAAGGGACGTTCCACTCTGTGAGTTGAATGCACACAACACAAGGAATTTACTGAGAATCCTTCCGTCTAGCATTCAATGAAGAAATCCCGTTTCCAACGAAGGCCTCAAACAGGTCCATATATCCAATTGCAGACTTTACAAACAGTGTGTTTCCAAACTCCTCTATGAAAAGAAAGGTTAAACTCTGTGAGTTGAACGCACACATCACAAAGCACTTTCTGAGAATGATTCTGTCTGGTTATTATACGAAGATATTTCCTTTTCTGCAATTGTCCTCAAATCGCTTGAAATCTCCACCTGAAAATGCCACAGCAAGAGTGTTTCAAATCTGCTCTCTCTAAAGCAAGGTTCAACTCTGTGAGTTGAATACACACAACACAAAAAAGTTACTGAGAACTCTTCTTAGTCTAGCATTAAAGGAAGAAACCCCGTTTGCAACGAAGGCCTCAAAGAGGTCCAAATATCCACTTGCAGACATAACAAGCAGAGTGTTTCTAAACTGCTCTAAGAAAAGAAAGGTTAAACTCTGTGAGTTGAAGGCACACATCACAAAGTAGTTTCTGAGAATGATTCTGTCTAGTTTTTATTTGAAGATATTTCATTTTCTACTGTTGGCATCAAATCGCTTGAAATCTCCACTTGCAAACTCCACAAAAAGAGTGTTTCAAATCTGCTCTGTGTAAAGGGACGTTCCACTCTGTGAGTTGAATACACACAGCACAAAGAAGTTACTGAGAATTCTTCTGTCTAGCATGAAATGAAGAAATCCCGTTTCCAACGAAGGCCTCAATGCGGTCCATAGATCCACTTGCAGACTTTACAAACAGAGTGTTTCCAAACTGCTCTATGAAAAGAAAGGTTAAACTATGTGAGTTGAACGCACACATCACAAAGAATTTTCTGAGAATGATTCTGTCTGGTTTTTATTTGAAGATATTTCCCTTTCTACTGTTGGCATCAAATGGCTAGAAATCTCCACTTGCAAATTCCGCAAAAAGAGTGTTTCAAATCTGCTCTGTCTAAAGGGACGTTCCACTCTGTGAGTTGAATGCACACAACACAAAGAATTTACTGAGAATTCTTCCGTCTAGCATTCAATGAAGAAATCCCGTTTCCAACGAAGGCCTCAAACAGGTCCATATATCCAATTGCAGACTTTACAAACAGTGTGTTTCCAAACTCCTCTATGAAAAGAAAGGTTAAACTCTGTGAGTTGAACGCACACATCACAAAGCACTTTCTGAGAATGATTCTGTCTGGTTGTTATACGAAGATATTTCCTTTTCTGCAATTGTCCTCAAATCGCTTGAAATCTCCACCTGAAAATGCCACAGCAAGAGTGTTTCAAATCTGCTCTCTCTAAAGCAAGGTTCAACTCTGTGAGTTGAATACACACAACACAAAAATGTTACTGAGAACTCTTCTTAGTCTAGCATTAAAGGAAGAAACCCCGTTTGCAACGAAGGCCTCAAAGAGGTCCAAATATCCACTTGCAGACATAACAAGCAGAGTGTTTCTAAACTGCTCTAAGAAAAGAAAGGTTAAACTCTGTGAGTTGAAGGCACACATCACAAAGTAGTTTCTGAGAATGATTCTGTCTAGTTTTTATTTGAAGATATTTCCTTTTCTACTGTTGGCATCAAATCGCTTGAAATCTCCACTTGCAAACTGCACAAAAAGAGTGTTTCAAATCTGCTCTGTGCAAAGGGACGTTCCACTCTGTGAGTTGAATACACACAGCACAAAGAAGTTACTGAGAATTCTTCTGTCTAGCATGAAATGAAGAAATCCCGTTTCCAACGAAGGCCTCAATGCGGTCCATATATCCACTTGCAGACTTTACAAACAGAGTGTTTCCAAACTGCTCTATGAAAAGAAAGGTTAAACTATGTGAGTTGAACGCACACATCACAAAGAATTTTCTGAGAATGATTCTGTCTGGTTTTTATTTGAAGATATTTCCCTTTCTACTGTTGGCATCAAATGGCTAGAAATCTCCACTTGCAAATTCCGCAAAAAGAGTGTTTCAAATCTGCTCTGTCTAAAGGGACGTTCCACTCTGTCAGTTGAATGCACACAACACAAAGAATTTACTGAGAATTCTTCCGTCTAGCATTCAATGAAGAAATCCCGTTTCCAACGAAGGCCTCAAACAGGTCCATATATCCAATTGCAGACTTTACAAACAGTGTGTTTCCAAACTCCTCTATGAAAAGAAAGGTTAAACTCTGTGAGTGGAACGCACACATCACAAAGCACTTTCTGAGAATGATTCTGTCTGGTTATTATACGAAGATATTTCCTTTTCTGCAATTGTCCTCAAATCGCTTGAAATCTCCACCTGAAAATGCCACAGCAAGAGTGTTTCAAATCTGCTCTCTCTAAAGCAAGGTTCAACTCTGTGAGTTGAATACACACAACACAAAAAAGTTACTGAGAACTCTTCTTAGTCTAGCATGAAAGGAAGAAACCCCGTTTGCAACGAAGGCCTCAAAGAGGTCCAAATATCCACTTGCAGACATAACAAGCAGAGTGTTTCTAAACTGCTCTAAGAAAAGAAAGGTTAAACTCTGTGAGTTGAAGGCACACATCACAAAGTAGTTTCTGAGAATGATTCTGTCTAGTTTTTATTTGAAGATATTTCCTTTTCTACTGTTGGCATCAAATCGCTTGAAATCTCCACTTGCAAACTCCACAAATAGAGTGTTTCAAATCTGCTCTGTGTAAAGGGACGTTCCACTCTGTGAGTTGAATACACACAGCACAAAGAAGTTACTGAGAATTCTTCTGTCTAGCATGAAATGAAGAAATCCCGTTTCCAACGAAGGCCTCAATGCGGTCCATATATCCACTTGCAGACTTTACAAACAGAGTGTTTCCAAACTGCTCTATGAAAAGAAAGGTTAAACTATGTGAGTTGAACGCACACATCACAAAGAATTTTCTGAGAATGATTCTGTCTGGTTTTTATTTGAAGATATTTCCCTTTCTACTGTTGGCATCAAATGGCTAGAAATCTCCACTTGCAAATTCCGCAAAAAGAGTTTTTCAAATCTGCTCTGTCTAAAGGGACGTTCCACTCTGTGAGTTGAATGCACACAACACAAAGAATTTACTGAAAATTTTTCTGTCTAGCATTCAATGAAGAAATCCCGTTTCCAACGAAGGCCTCAAACAGGTCCATATATCCAATTGCAGACTTTACAAACAGTGTGTTTCCAAACTCCTCTATGAAAGGAAAGGTTAAACTCTGTGAGTTGAACGCACACATCACAAAGCACTTTCTGAGAATGATTCTGTCTGGTTATTATACGAAGATATTTCCTTTTCTGCAATTGTCCTCAAATCGCTTGAAATCTCCACCTGAAAATGCCACAGCAAGAGTGTCTCAAATCTGCTCTCTCTAAAGCAAGGTTCAACTCTGTGAGTTGAATACACACAACACAAGAAAGTTACTGAGAATTCTTCTTAGTCTAGCATTAAAGGAAGAAACCCCGTTTGCAACGAAGGCCTCAAAGAGGTCCAAATATCCACTTGCAGACATAACAAGCAGAGTGTTTCTAAACTGCTCTAAGAAAAGAAAGGTTAAACTCTGTGAGTTGAAGGCACACATCACAAAGTAGTTTCTGAGAATGATTCTGTCTAGTTTTTATTTGAAGATATTTCCTTTTCTACTGTTGGCATCAAATCGCTTGAAATCTCCACTTGCAAATTCCACAAAAAGAGTGTTTCAAATCTGCTCTGTGTAAAGGGACGTTCCACTCTGTGAGTTGAATACACACAGCACAAAGAAGTTACTGAGAATTCTTCTGTCTAGCATGAAATGAAGAAATCCCGTTTCCAACGAAGGCCTCAATGCGGTCCATATATCCACTTGCAGACTTTACAAACAGAGTGTTTCCAAACTGCTCTATGAAAAGAAAGGTTAAACTATGTGAGTTGAACGCACACATCACAAAGAATTTTCTGAGAATGATTCTGTCTGGTTTTTATTTGAAGATATTTCCCTTTCTACTGTTGGCATCAAATGGCTAGAAATCTCCACTTGCAAATTCCGCAAAAAGAGTGTTTCAAATCTGCTCTGTCTAAAGGGACGTTCCACTCTGTGAGTTGAATGCACACAACACAAAGAACTTACTGAGAATTCTTCTGTCTAGCAGTCAATGAAGAAATCCCGTTTCCAACGAAGGCCTCAAACAGGTCCATATATCCAATTGCAGACTTTACAAACAGTGTGTTTCCAAACTCCTCTATGAAAAGAAAGGTTAAACTCGGTGAGTTGAACCCACACATCACAAAGCACTTTCTGAGAATGATTCTGTCTGGTTGTTATACGAAGATATTTCCTTTTCTGCAATTGTCCTCAAATCGCTTGAAATCTCCACCTGAAAATGCCACAGCAAGAGTGTTTCTAATCTGCTCTCTCTAAAGCAAGGTTCAACTCTGTGAGTTGAATACACACAACACAAAAAAGTTACTGAGAACTCTTCTTAGTCTAGCATGAAAGGAAGAAACCCCGTTTGCAACGAAGGCCTCAAAGAGGTCCAAATATCCACTTGCAGACATAACAAGCAGAGTGTTTCTAAACTGCTCTAAGAAAAGAAAGGTTAAACTCTGTGAGTTGAAGGCACACATCACAAAGTAGTTTCTGAGAATGATTCTGTCTAGTTTTTATTTGAAGATATTTCCTTTTCTACTGCTGGCATCAAATCGCTTGAAATCTCCACTTGCAAACTCCACAAAAAGAGTGTTTCAAATCTGCTCTGTGTAAAGGGACGTTCCACTCTGTGAGTTGAATACACACAGCACAAAGAAGTTACTGAGAATTCTTCTGTCTAGCATGAAATGAAGAAATCCCGTTTCCAACGAAGGCCTCAATGCGGTCCATAGATCCACTTGCAGACTTTACAAACAGAGTGTTTCCAAACTGCTCTATGAAAAGAAAGGTTAAACTATGTGAGTTGAACGCACACATCACAAAGAATTTTCTGAGAATGATTCTGTCTGGTTTTTATTTAAAGATATTTCCCTTTCTACTGTTGGCATCAAATGGCTAGAAATCTCCACTTGCAAATTCCGCAAAAAGAGTGTTTCAAATCTGCTCTGTCTAAAGGGACGTTCCACTCTGTCAGTTGAATGCACACAACACAAAGAATTTACTGAGAATTCTTCCGTCTAGCATTCAATGAAGAAATCCCGTTTCCAACGAAGGCCTCAAACAGGTCCATATATCCACTTGCAGACTTTACAAACAGTGTGTTTCCAAACTCCTCTATGAAAAGAAAGGTTAAACTCTGTGAGTTGAACGCACACATCACAAAGCACTTTCTGAGAATGATTCTGTCTGGTTATTATACGAAGATATTTCCTTTTCTGCAATTGTCCTCAAATCGCTTGAAATCTCCACCTGAAAATTCCACAGCAAGAGTGTTTCAAATCTGCTCTCTCTAAAGCAAGGTTCAACTCTGTGAGTTTAATACACACAACACAAAAAAGTTACTGAGAACTCTCTTAGTCTAGCATGAAAGGAAGAAACCCCGTTTGCAACGAAGGCCTCAAAGAGGTCCAAATATCCACTTGCAGACATAACAAGCAGAGTGTTTCTAACCTGCTCTAAGAAAAGAAAGGTTAAACTCTGTGAGTTGAAGGCACACATCACAAAGTAGTTTCTGAGAATGATTCTGTCTAGTTTTTATTTGAAGATATTTCCTTTTCTACTGTTGGCATCAAATCGCTTGAAATCTCCACTTGCAAACTCCACAAAAAGAGTGTTTCAAATCTGCTCTGTGCAAAGGGACGTTCCACTCTGTGAGTTGAATACACACAGCACAAAGAAGTTACTGAGAATTCTTCTGTCTAGCATGAAATGAAGAAATCCCGTTTCCAACGAAGGCCTCAATGCGGTCCATATATCCACTTGCAGACTTTACAAACAGAGTGTTTCCAAACTGCTCTATGAAAAGAAAGGTTAAACTATGTGAGTTGAACGCACACATCACAAAGAATTTTCTGAGAATGATTCTGTCTGGTTTTTATTTGAAGATATTTCCCTTTCTACTGTTGGCATCAAATGGCTAGAAATCTCCACTTGCAAATTCCGCAAAAAGAGTGTTTCAAATCTGCTCTGTCTAAAGGGACGTTCCACTCTGTGAGTTGAATGCACACAACACAAAGAATTTACTGAGAATTCTTCCGTCTAGCATTCAATGAAGAAATCCCGTTTCCAACGAAGGCCTCAAACAGGTCCATATATCCACTTGCAGACTTTACAAACAGTGTGTTTCCAAACTCCTCTATGAAAAGAAAGGTTAAACTCTGTGAGTGGAACGCACACATCACAAAGCACTTTCTGAGAATGATTCTGTCTGGTTATTATACGAAGATATTTCCTTTTCTGCAATTGTCCTCAAATCGCTTGAAATCTCCACCTGAAAATGCCACAGCAAGAGTGTTTCAAATCTGCTCTCTCTAAAGCAAGGTTCAACTCTGTGAGTTGAATACACACAACACAAAAAAGTTACTGAGAACTCTTCTTAGTCTAGCATGAAAGGAAGAAACCCCGTTTGCAACGAAGGCCTCAAAGAGGTCCAAATATCCACTCGCAGACATAACAAGCAGAGTGTTTCTAAACTGCTCTAAGAAAAGAAAGGTTAAACTCTGTGAGTTGAAGGCACACATCACAAAGTAGTTTCTTAGAATGATTCTGTCTAGTTTTTATTTGAAGATATTTCCTTTTCTACTGTTGACATCAAATCGTTTGAAATCTTCACTTGCAAACTCCACAAAAAGAGTGTTTCAAATCTGCTCTGTGTAAAGGGACGTTCCACTCTGTGAGTTGAATACACACAGCACAAAGAAGTTGCTGAGAATTCTTCTGTCTAGCATGAAATGAAGAAATCCCGTTTCCAACGAAGGCCTCAATGCGGTCCATATATCCACTTGCAGACTTTACAAACAGAGTGTTTCCAAACTGCTCTATGAAAAGAAAGGTTAAACTATGTGAGTTGAACGCACACATCACAAAGAATTTTCTGAGAATGATTCTGTCTGGTTTTTATTTGAAGATGTTTCCCTTTCTACTGTTGGCATCAAATGGCTAGAAATCTCCACTTGCAAATTCCGCAAAAAGAGTGTTTCAAATCTGCTCTGTCTAAAGGGACGTTCCACTCTGTGAGTTGAATGCACACAACACAAAGAATTTACTGAGAATTCTTCCGTCTAGCATTCAATGAAGAAATCCCTTTTCCAACGAAGGCCTCAAACAGGTCCATATATCCAATTGCAGACTTTACAAACAGTGTGTTTCCAAACTCCTCTATGGAAAGAAAGGTTAAACTCTGTGAGTTGAACGCACACATCACAAAGCACTTTCTGAGAATGATTCTGTCTGGTTATTATACGAAGATATTTCCTTTTCTGCAATTGTCCTCAAATCGCTTGAAATCTCCACCTGAAAATGCCACAGCAAGAGTGTTTCATATCTGCTCTCTCTAAAGCAAGGTTCAACTCTGTTAGTTGAATACACACAACACAAAAAAGTTACTGAGAACTCTTCTTAGTCTAGCATTAAAGGAAGAAACCCCGTTTGCAACGAAGGCCTCAAAGAGGTCCAAATATCCACTTGCAGACATAACAAGCAGAGTGTTTCTAAACTGCTCTAAGAAAAGAAAGGTTAAACTCTGTGTGTTGAAGGCACACATCACAAAGTAGTTTCTGAGAATGATTCTGTCTAGTTTTTATTTGAAGATATTTCCTTTTCTACTGTTGGCATCAAATCGCTTGAAATCTCCACTTGCAAACTCCACAAAAAGAGTGTTTCAAATCTGCTCTGTGTAAAGGGACGTTCCACTCTGTGAGTTGAATACACACAGCACAAAGAAGTTACTGAGAATTCTTCTGTCTAGCATGAAATGAAGAAATCCCGTTTCCAACGAAGGCCTCAATGCGGTCCATATATCCACTTGCAGACTTTACAAACAGAGTGTTTCCAAACTGCTCTATGAAAAGAAAGGTTAAACTATGTGAGTTGAACGCACACATCACAAAGAATTTTCTGAGAATGATTCTGTCTGGTTTTTATTTGAAGATATTTCCCTTTCTACTGTTGGCATCAAATGGCTAGAAATCTCCACTTGCAAATTCCGCAAAAAGAGTGTTTCAAATCTGCTCTGTCTAAAGGGACGTTCCACTCTGTGAGTTGAATGCACACAACACAAAGAATTTACTGAGAATTCTTCCGTCTAGCATTCAATGAAGAAATCCCGTTTCCAACGAAGGCCTCAAACAGGTCCATATATCCACTTGCAGACTTTACAAACAGTGTGTTTCCAAACTCCTCTATGGAAAGAAAAGTTAAACTCTGTGAGTTGAACGCACACATCACAAAGCACTTTCTGAGAATGATTCTGTCTGGTTATTATACGAAGATATTTCCTTTTCTGCAATTGTCCTCAAATCGCTTGAAATCTCCACCTGAAAATGCCACAGCAAGAGTGTTTCAAATCTGCTCTCTCTAAAGCAAGGTTCAACTCTGTGAGTTGAATACACACAACACAAAAAAGTTACTGAGAACTCTTTTCTTAGTCTAGCATGAAAGGAAGAAACCCCGTTTGCAACGAAGGCCTCAAAGAGGTCCAAATATCCACTTGCAGACATAACAAGCAGAGTGTTTCTAAACTGCTCTAAGAAAAGAAAGGTTAAACTCTGTGAGTTGAAGGCACACATCACAAAGTAGTTTCTGAGAATGATTCTGTCTAGTTTTTATTTGAAGATATTTCCTTTTCTACTGTTGGCATCAAATCGCTTGAAATCTCCACTTGCAAACTCCACAAAAAGAGTGTTTCAAATCTGCTCTGTGCAAAGGGACGTTCCACTATGTGAGTTGAATACACACAGCACAAAGAAGTTACTGAGAATTCTTCTGTCTAGCATGAAATGAAGAAATCCCGTTTCCAACGAAGGCCTCAATGCGGTCCATATATCCACTTGCAGACTTTACAAACAGAGTGTTTCCAAACTGCTCTATGAAAAGAAAGGTTAAACTATGTGAGTTGAACGCACACATCACAAAGAATTTTCTGAGAATGATTCTGTCTGGTTTTTATTTGAAGATATTTCCCTTTCTACTGTTGGCATCAAATGGCTAGAAATCTCCACTTGCAAATTCCGCAAAAAGAGTGTTTCAAATCTGCTCTGTCTAAAGGGACGTTCCACTCTGTGAGTTGAATGCACACCACACAAAGAATTTACTGAGAATTCTACCGTCTAGCATTCAATGAAGAAATCCCGTTTCCAACGAAGGCCTCAAACAGGTCCATATATCCAATTGCAGACTTTACAAACAGTGTGTTTCCAAACTCCTCTATGAAAAGGTTAAACTCTGTGAGTTGAACGCACACATCACAAAGCACTTTCTGAGAATGATTCTGTCTGGTTATTATACGAAGATATTTCCTTTTCTGCAATTGTCCTCAAATCGTTTGAAATCTCCACCTGAAAATGCCACAGCAAGAGTGTTTCAAATCTGCTCTCTCTAAAGCAAGGTTCAACTCTGTGAGTTGAATACACACAACACAAAAAAGTTACTGAGAACTCTTCTTAGTCTAGCATGAAAGGAAGAAACCCCGTTTGCAACGAAGGCCTCAAAGAGGTCCAAATATCCACTTGCAGACATAACAAGCAGAGTGTTTCTAAACTGCTCTAAGAAAAGAAAGGTTAAACTCTGTGAGTTGAAGGCACACATCACAAAGTAGTTTCTGAGAATGATTCTGTCTAGTTTTTATTTGAAGATATTTCCTTTTCTACTGTTGGCATCAAATCGCTTGAAATCTCCACTTGCAAACTCCACAAAAAGAGTGTTTCAAATCTGCTCTGTGTAAAGGGACGTTCCACTCTGTGAGTTGAATACACACAGCACAAAGAAGTTACTGAGAATTCTTCTGTCTAGCATGAAATGAAGAAATCCCGTTTCCAACGAAGGCCTCAATGCGGTCCATATATCCACTTGCAGACTTTACAAACAGAGTGTTTCCAAACTGCTCTATGAAAAGAAAGGTTAAACTATGTGAGTTGAACGCACACATCACAAAGAATTTTCTGAGAATGATTCTGTCTGGTTTTTATTTGAAGATATTTCCCTTTCTACTGTTGGCATCAAATGGCTAGAAATCTCCACTTGCAAATTCCGCAAAAAGAGTGTTTCAAATCTGCTCTGTCTAAAGGGACGTTCCACTCTGTGAGTTGAATGCACACAACACAAAGAATTTACTGAGAATTCTTCCGTCTAGCATTCAATGAAGAAATCCCGTTTCCAACGAAGGCCTCAAACAGGTCCATATATCCAATTGCAGACTTTACAAACAGTGTGTTTCCAAACTCCTCTATGAAAAGAAAGGTTAAACTCTGTGAGTTGAACGCACACATCACAAAGCACTTTCTGAGAATGATTCTGTCTGGTTATTATACGAAGATATTTCCTTTTCTGCAATTGTCCTCAAATCGCTTGAAATCTCCACGTGAAAATGCCACAGCAAGAGTGTTTCAAATCTGCTCTCTCTAAAGCAAGGTTCAACTCTGTGAGTTGAATACACACAACACAAAAAAGTTACTGAGAACTCTTCTTAGTCTAGCATGAAAGGAAGAAACCCCGTTTGCAACGAAGGCCTCAAAGAGGTCCAAATATCCACTTGCAGACATAACAAGCAGAGTGTTTCTAAACTGCTCTAAGAAAAGAAAGGTTAAACTCTGTGAGTTGAAGGCACACATCACAAAGTAGTTTCTGAGAATGATTCTGTCTAGTTTTTATTTGAAGATATTTCCTTTTCTACTGTTGGCATCAAATCGCTTGAAATCTCCACTTGCAAATTCCACAAAAAGAGTGTTTCAAATCTGTTCTGTGTAAAGGAACGTTCCACTCTGTGAGTTGAATACACACAGCACAAAGAAGTTACTGAGAATTCTTCTGTCTAGCATGAAATGAAGAAATCCCGTTTCCAACGAAGGCCTCAATGCGGTCCATATATCCACTTGCAGACTTTACAAACAGAGTGTTTCCAAACTGCTCTATGAAAAGAAAGGTTAAACTATGTGAGTTGAACGCACACATCACAAAGAATTTTCTGAGAATGATTCTGTCTGGTTTTTATTTGAAGATATTTCCCTTTCTACTGTTGGCATCAAATGGCTAGAAATCTCCACTTGCAAATTCCGCAAAAAGAGTGTTTCAAATCTGCTCTGTCTTAAGGGACGTTCCACTCTGTCAGTTGAATGCACACAACACAAAGAATTTACTGAGAATTCTTCCGTCTAGCATTCAATGAAGAAATCCCGTTTCCAACGAAGGCCTCAAACAGGTCCATATATCCAATTGCAGACTTTACAAACAGTGTGTTTCCAAACTCCTCAATGAAAAGAAAGGTTAAACTCTGTGAGTTGAACGCACACATCACAAAGCACTTTCTGAGAATGATTCTGTCTGCTTATTATACGAAGATATTTCCTTTTCTGCAATTGTCCTCAAATCGCTTGAAATCTCCACCTGAAAATGCCACAGCAAGAGTGTTTCAAATCTGCTCTCTCTAAAGCAAGGTTCAACTCTGTGAGTTGAATAAACACAACACAAAAAAGTTACTGAGAACTCTTCTTAGTCTAGCATTAAATGAAGAATCCCCGTTTGCAACGAAGGCCTCAAAGGGGTCCAAATATCCACTTGCAGACATAACAAGCAGAGTGTTTCTAAACTGCTCTAAGAAAAGAAAGGTTAAACTCTGTGAGTTGAAGGCACACATCACAAAGTAGTTTCTGAGAATGATTCTGTCTAGTTTTTATTTGAAGATATTTCCTTTTCTACTGCAGGCATCAAATTGCTTGAAATCTCCACTTGCAAATTCCACAAAAGGAGTGTTTCAAATCTGCTCTGTCTAAAGGGAGGTTCCACTCTGTGAGTTGAATACACACAACACAAAGAAGTTACTGAGAATTCTTCTGTCTAGTATGAAATGAAGAAATCCCGTTTCCAACGAAGGCCTCAATGCGGTCCATATATCCACTTGCAGACTTTACAAACAGAGTGTTTCCAAACTGCTCCATGAAAAGAAAGGTTAAACTATGTGAGTTGAACGCACACATCACAAAGAATTTTCTGAGAATGATTCTGTCTGGTTTTTATTTGAAGATATTTCCCTTTGTACTGTTGGCATCAAATGGCTAGAAATCTCCACTTGCAAATTCCGCAAAAAGAGTGTTTCAAATGTGCTCTGTCTAAAGGGACGTTCCACTCTGTGAGTTGAATGCACACAACACAAAGAATTTACTGAGAATTCTTCCGTCTAGCATTCAATGAAGAAATCCCGTTTCCAACGAAGGTCTCAAACAGGTCCATATATCCAATTGCAGACTTTACAAACAGTGTGTTTCCAAACTCCTCTATGAAAAGAAAGGTTAAACTCTGTGAGTTGAACGCACACATCACAAAGCACTTTCTGAGAATGATTCTGTCTAGTTTTTATTTGCAGATATTTCCTTTTCTACTGTTGGCATCTAATCGCTTGAAATCTCCACTAGCAAATTCCACAAAAAGAGTGTTTCAAATCTGCTCTGTGTAAAGGGACGTTCCAATCTGTGAGTTGAATACACACACCACAAAGAAGTTACTGAGAATTCTTCTGTCTAGCATGAAATGAAGAAATCCCGTTTCCAACGAAGGCCTCAATGCGGTCCATATATCCACTTGCAGACATTACCAACAGAGTGTTTCCAAACTGCTCTATGAAAAGAAAGGTTAAACTATGTGAGTTGAACGCACACATCACAAAGAATTTTCTGAGGATGATTCTGTCTAGTTTTTATTTGAAGATATTTCCTTTTCTACTGTTGGCATCAAATCGCTTGAAATCTCCACTTGCAAACTCCACAAAAAGAGTGTTTCAAATCTGCTCTGTGCAAAGGGACGTTCCACTCTGTGAGTTGAATACACACAGCACAAAGAAGTTACTGAGAATTCTTCTGTCTAGCATGAAATGAAGAAATCCCGTTTCCAACGAAGGCCTCAATGCGGTCCATATATCCACTTGCAGACTTTACAAACAGAGTGTTTCCAAACTGCTCTATGAAAAGAAAGGTTAAACTATGTGAGTTGAACGCACACATCACAAAGAATTTTCTGAGAATGATTCTGTCTGGTTTTTATTTGAAGATATTTCCCTTTCTACTGTTGGCATCAAATGGCTAGAAATCTCCACTTGCAAATTCCGCAAAAAGAGTGTTTCAAATCTGCTCTGCCTAAAGGGACGTTCCACTCTGTGAGTTGAATGCACACAACACAAAGAATTTACTGAGAATTCTTCCGTCTAGCATTCAATGAAGAAATCCCGTTTCCAACGAAGGCCTCAAACAGGTCCATATATCCACTTGCAGAGTTTACAAACAGTGTGTTTCCAAACTCCTCTATGAAAAGAAAGGTTAAACTCTGTGAGTGGAACGCACACATCACAAAGCACTTTCTGAGAATGATTCTGTCTGGTTATTATACGAAGATATTTCCTTTTCTGCAATTGTCCTCAAATCGCTTGAAATCTCCACCTGAAAATGCCACAGCAAGAGTGTTTCAAATCTGCTCTCTCTAAAGCAAGGTTCAACTCTGTGAGTTGAATACACACAACACAAAAAAGTTACTGAGAACTCTTCTTAGTCTAGCATGAAAGGAAGAAACCCCGTTTGCAACGAAGGCCTCAAAGAGGTCCAAATATCCACTTGCAGACATAATAAGCAGAGTGTTTCTAAACTGCTCTAAGAAAAGAAAGGTTAAACTTTGTGAGTTGAAGGCACACATCACAAAGAAGTTTCTGAGAATGATTCTGTCTAGTTTTTATTTGAAGATATTTCCTTTTCTACTGTTGGCATCAAATCGCTTGAAATCTCCACTTGCAAATTCCACAAAAAGAGTGTTTCAAATCTGCTCTGTGCAAAGGGACGTTCCACTCTGTGAGTTGAATACACACAGCACAAAGAAGTTACTGAGAATTCTTCTGTCTAGCATGAAATGAAGAAATCCCGTTTCCAACGAAGGCCTCAATGCGGTCCATATATCCACTTGCAGACTTTACAAACAGAGTGTTTCCAAACTGCTCTATGAAAAGAAAGGTTAAACTATGTGAGCTGAACGCACACATCACAAAGAATTTTCTGAGAATGATTCTGTCTGGTTTTTATTTGAAGATATTTCCCTTTCTACTGTTGGCATCAAATGGCTAGAAATCTCCACTTGCAAATTCCGCAAAAAGAGTGTTTCAAATCTGCTCTGTCTAAAGGGACGTTCCACTCTGTGAGTTGAATGCACACAACACAAAGAATTTACTGAGAATTCTTCCATCTAGCATTCAATGAAGAAATCCCGTTTCCAACGAAGGCCTCAAACAGGTCCATATATCCACTTGCAGACTTTACAAACAGTGTGTTTCCAAACTCCTCTATGAAAAAAAAGGTTAAACTCTGTGAGTTGAACGCACACATCACAAAGCACTTTCTGAGAATGATTCTGTCTGGTTGTTATACGAAGCTATTTCCTTTTCTGTAATTGTCCTCAAATCGCTTGAAATCTCCACCTGAAAATGCCACAGCAAGAGTGTTTCAAATCTGCTCTCTCTAAAGCAAGGTTCAACTCTGTGAGTTGAATACACACAACACAAAAAAGTTACTGAGAACTCTTCTTAGTCTAGCATTAAAGGAAGAAACCCCGTTTGCAACGAAGGCCTCAAAGAGGTCCAAATATCCACTTGCAGACATAACAAGCAGAGTGTTTCTAAACTGCTCTAAGAAAAGAAAGGTTAAACTCTGTGAGTTGAAGGCACACATCACAAAGTAGTTTCTAAATGATTCTGTCTAGTTTTTATTTGAAGATATTTCCTTTTCTACTGTTGGCATCAAATCGCTTGAAATCTCCACTTGCAAATTCCACAAAGAGTGTTTCAAATCTGCTCTGTGCAAAGGGACGTTCCACTCTGTGAGTTGAATACACACAGCACAAAGAAGTTACTGAGAATTCTTCTGTCTAGCATGAAATGAAGAAATCCCGTTTCCAACGAAGGCCTCAATGCGGTCCATATATCCACTTGCAGACTTTACAAACAGAGTGTTTCCAAACTGCTCTATGAAAAGAAAGGTTAAACTATGTGAGTTGAACGCACACATCACAAAGAATTTTCTGAGAATGATTCTGTCTGGTTTTTATTTGAAGATATTTCCCTTTCTACTGTTGGCATCAAATGGCTAGAAATCTCCACTTGCAAATTCCGCAAAAAGAGTGTTTCAAATCTGCTCTGTCTAAAGGGACGTTCCACTCTGTGAGTTGAATGCACACAACACAAAGAATTTACTGAGAATTCTTCCGTCTAGCATTCAATGAAGAAATCCCGTTTCCAACGGAGGCCTCAAACAGGTCCATATATCCAATTGCAGACTTTACAAACAGTGTGTTTCCAAACTCCTCTATGAAAAGAAAGGTTAAACTCTGTGAGTTGAACGCACACATCACAAAGCACTTTCTGAGAATGATTCTGTCTGGTTATTATACGAAGATATTTCCTTTTCTGCAATTGTCCTCAAATCGCTTGAAATCTCCACCTGAAAATGCCACAGCGAGAGTGTTTCAAATCTGCTCTCTCTAAAGCAAGGTTCAACTCTGTGAGTTGAATACACACAACACAAAAAAGTTACTGAGAACTCTTCTTAGTCTAGCATGAAAGGAAGAAACCCCGTTTGCAACGAAGGCCTCAAAGAGGTCCAAATATCCACTTGCAGACATAACAAGCAGAGTGTTTCTAAACTGCTCTAAGAAAAGAAAGGTTAAACTCTGTGAGTTGAAGGCACACATCACAAAGTAGTTTCTGAGAATGATTCCTGTCTAGTTTTTATTTGAAGATATTTCCTTTTCTACTGTTGGCATCAAATCGCTTGAAATCTCCAATTGCAAACTCCACAAAAAGAGTGTTTCAAATCTGCTCTGTGCAAAGGGACGTTCCACTCTGTGAGTTGAATACACACAGCACAAAGAAGTTACTGAGAATTCTTCTGTCTAGCATGAAATGAAGAAATCCCGTTTCCAACGAAGGCCTCAATGCGGTCCATATATCCACTTGCAGACTTTACAAACAGAGTGTTTCCAAACTGCTCTATGAAAAGAAAGGTTAAACTATGTGAGTTGAACGCACACATCACAAAGAATTTTCTGAGAATGATTCTGTCTGGTTTTTATTTGAAGATATTTCCCTTTCTACTGTTGGCATCAAATGGCTAGAAATCTCCACTTGCAAATTCCGCAAAAAGAGTGTTTCAAATCTGCTCTGTCTAAAGGGACGTTCCACTCTGTGAGTTGAATGCACACAACACAAAGAATTTACTGAGAATTCTTCTGTCTAGCATTCAATGAAGAAATCCCGTTCCCAACGAATGCCTCAAAGCGGTCCATATATCCAATTGCAGACTTTACAAACAGTGTGTTTCCAAACTCCTCTATGAAAAGAAAGGTTATACTCTCTGAGTTGAACGCACACATCACAAAGCACTTTCTGAGTATGATTCTGTCTGGTTATTATACGAAGATATTTCCTTTTCTGCAATTGTCCTCAAATCGCTTGAAATCTCCACCTGAAAATGCCACAGCCAGAGTGTTTCAAATCTGCTCTCTCTAAAGCAAGGTTCAACTCTGTGAGTTGAATACACACAACACAAAAAAGTTACTGAGAACTCTTCTTAGTCTAGCATTAAAGGAAGAAACCCCGTTTGCAACGAAGGCCTCAAAGTAGGTCCAAATATCCACTTGCAGACATAACAAGCAGAGTGTTTCTAAACTGCTCTAAGAAAAGAAAGGTTAAACTCTGTGAGTTGAAGGCACACATCACAAAGTAGTTTCTGAGAATGATTCTGTCTAGTTTTTATTTGAAGATATTTCCTTTTCTACTGTTGGCATCAAATCGCTTGAAATCTCCACTTGCAAATTCCACAAAAAGAGTGTTTCAAATCTGCTCTGTGCAAAGGGACGTTCCACTCTGTGAGTTGAATACACACAGCACAAAGAAGTTACTGAGAATTCTTCTGTCTAGCATGAAATGAAGAAATCCCGTTTCCAACGAAGGCCTCAATGCGGTCCATATATCCACTTGCAGACTTTACAAACAGAGTGTTTCCAAACTGCTCTATGAAAAGAAAGGTTAAACTATGTGAGTTGAACGCACACATCACAAAGAATTTTCTGAGAATGATTCTGTCTGGTTTTTATTTGAAGATATTTCCCTTTCTACTGTTGGCATCAAATGGCTAGAAATCTCCACTTGCAAATTCCGCAAAAAGAGTGTTTCAAATCTGCTCTGTCTAAAGGGACGTTCCACTCTGTGAGTTGAATGCACACCACACAAAGAATTTACTGAGAATTCTTCCGTCTAGCATTCAATGAAGAAATCCCGTTTCCAACGAAGGCCTCAAACAGGTCCATATATCCACTTGCAGACTTTACAAACAGTGTGTTTCCAAACTCCTCTATGGAAAGAAAAGTTAAACTCTGTGAGTTGAACGCACACATCACAAAGCACTTTCTGAGAATGATTCTGTCTGGTTATTATACGAAGATATTTCCTTTTCTGCAATTGTCCTCAAGTCGCTTGAAATCTCCACCTGAAAATGCCACAGCAAGAGTGTTTCAAATCTGCTCTCTCTAAAGCAAGGTTCAACTCTGTGAGTTGAATACACACAACACAAAAAAGTTACTGAGAACTCTTCTTTGTCTAGCATGAAAGGAAGAAACCCCGTTTGCAACGAAGGCCTCAAAGAGGTCCAAATATCCACTTGCAGACATAACAAGCAGAGTGTTTCTAAACTGCTCTAAGAAAAGAAAGGTTAAACTCTGTGAGTTGAAGGCACACATCACAAAGTAGTTTCTGAGAATGATTCTGTCTAGTTTTTATTTGAAGATATTTCCTTTTCTACTGTTGGCATCAAATCGCTTGAAATCTCCACTTGCAAACTCCACAAAAAGAGTGTTTCAAATCTGCTCTGTGCAAAGGGACGTTCCACTCTGTGAGTTGAATACACACAGCACAAAGAAGTTACTGAGAATTCTTCTTTCTAGCACGAAATGAAGAAATCCCGTTTCCAACGAAGGCCTCAATGCGGTCTATATATCCACTTGCAGACTTTACAAACAGAGTGTTTCCAAACTGCTCTATGAAAAGAAAGGTTAAACTATGTGAGTTGAACGCACACATCACAAAGAATTTTCTGAGAATGATTCTGTCTGGTTTTTATTTGAAGATATTTCCCTTTCTACTGTTGGCATCAAATGGCTAGAAATCTCCACTTGCAAATTCCGCAAAAAGAGTGTTTCAAATCTGCTCTGTCTAAAGGGACGTTCCACTCTGTGAGTTGAATGCACACAACACGAAGAATTTACTGAGAATTCTTCCGTCTAGCATTCAATGAAGAAATCCCGTTTCCAACGAAGGCCTCAAACAGGTCCATATATCCACTTGCAGACTTTACAAACAGTGTGTTTCCAAACTCCTCTATGAAAAGAAAGATTAAACTCTGTGAGTTGAACGCACACATCACAAAGCACTTTCTCAGAATGATTCTGTCTGGTTGTTATACGAAGATATTTCCTTTTCTGCAATTGTCCTCAAATCGCTTGAAATCTCCACCTGAAAATGCCACAGCAAGAGTGTTTCAAATCTGCTCTCTCTAAAGCAAGGTTCAACTCTGTGAGTTGAATACACACAACACAAAAAAGTTACTGAGAACTCTTCTTAGTCTAGCATGAAAGGAAGAAACCCCGTTTGCAACGAAGGCCTCAAAGAGGTCCAAATATCCACTTGCAGACATAACAAGCAGAGTGTTTCTAAACTGCTCTAAGAAAAGAAAGGTTAAACTCTGTGAGTTGAAGGCACACATCACAAAGTAGTTTCTGAGAATGATTCTGTCTAGTTTTTATTTGAAGATATTTCCTTTTCTACTGTTGGCATCAAATCGCTTGAAATCTCCACTTGCAAACTCCACAAAAAGAGTGTTTCAAATCTGCTCTGTGCAAAGGGACGTTCCACTCTGTGAGTTGAATACACACAGCACAAAGAAGTTACTGAGAATTCTTCTGTCTAGCATGAAATGAAGAAATCCCGTTTCCAACGAAGGCCTCAATGCGGTCCATATATCCACTTGCAGACTTTACAAACAGAGTGTTTCCAAACTGCTCTATGAAAAGAAAGGTTAAACTATGTGAGTTGAATGCACACATCACAAAGAATTTTCTGAGAATGATTCTGTCTGGTTTTTATTTGAAGATATTTCCCTTTCTACTGTTGGCATCAAATGGCTAGAAATCTCCACTTGCAAATTCCGCAAAAAGAGTGTTTCAAATCTGCTCTGTCTAAAGGGACCGTTCCACTCTGTGAGTTGAATGCACACAACACAAAGAATTTACTGAGAATTCTTCCGTCTAGCATTCAATGAAGAAATCCCGTTTCCAACGAAGGCCTCAAAGAGGTCCATATATCCACTTGCAGACTTTACAAACAGTGTGTTTCCAAACTCCTCTATGAAAAGAAAGGTTAAACTCTGTGAGTGGAACGCACACATCACAAAGCACTTTCTGAGAATGATTCTGTCTGGTTGTTATACGAAGATATTTCCTTTTCTGCAATTGTCCTCAAATCGCTTGAAATCTCCACCTGAAAATGCCACAGCAAGAGTGTTTCAAATCTGCTCTCTCTAAAGCAAGGTTCAGCTCTGTGAGTTGAATACACACAACACAAAAAAGTTACTGAGAACTCTTCTTAGTCTAGCATTAAAGGAAGAAACCCCGTTTGCAACGAAGGCCTCAAAGAGGTCCAAGTATCCACTTGCAGACATAACAAGCAGAGTGTTTCTAAACTGCTCTAAGAAAAGAAAGGTTAAACTCTGTGAGTTGAAGGCACACATCACAAAGTAGTTTCTGAGAATGATTCTGTCTAGTTTTTATTTGAAGATATTTCCTTTTCTACTGTTGGCATCAAATCGCTTGAAATCTCCACTTGCAAATTCCACAAAAAGAGTGTTTCAAATCTGCTCTGTGCAAAGGGACGTTCCACTCTGTGAGTTGAATACACACAGCACAAAGAAGTTACTGAGAATTCTTCTGTCTAGCATGAAATGAAGAAATCCCGTTTCCAACGAAGGCCTCAATGCGGTCCATATATCCACTTGCAGACTTTACAAACAGAGTGTTTCCAAACTGCTCTATGAAAAGAAAGGTTAAACTATGTGAGTTGAACGCACACATCACAAAGAATTTTCTGAGAATGATTCTGTCTGGTTTTTATTTGAAGATATTTCCCTTTCTACTGTTGGCATCAAATGGCTAGAAATCTCCACTTGCAAATTCCGCAAAAAGAGTGTTTCAAATCTGCTCTGTCTAAAGGGACGTTCCACTCTGTGAGTTGAATGCACACAACACAAAGAATTTACTGAGAATTCTTCCGTCTAGCATTCAATGAAGAAATCCCGTTTCCAACGAAGGCCTCAAACAGGTCCATATATCCAATTGCAGACTTTACAAACAGTGTGTTTCCAAACTCCTCTATGAAAAGAAAGGTTAAACTCTGTGAGTTGAACGCACACATCACAAAGCACTTTCTGAGAATGATTCTGTCTGGTTATTATACGAAGATATTTCCTTTTCTGCAATTGTCCTCAAATCGCTTGAAATCTCCACCTGAAAATGCCACAGCAAGAGTGTTTCAAATCTGCTCTCTCTAAAGCAAGGTTCAACTCTGTGAGTTGAATACACACAACACAAAAAAGTTACTGAGAACTCTTCTTAGTCTAGCATGAAAGGAAGAAACCCCGTTTGCAACGAAGGCCTCAAAGAGGTCCAAATATCCACTTGCAGACATAACAAGCAGAGTGTTTCTAAACTGCTCTAAGAAAAGAAAGGTTAAACTCTGTGAGTTGAAGGCACACATCACAAAGTAGTTTCTGAGAATGATTCCTGTCTAGTTTTTATTTGAAGATATTTCCTTTTCTACTGTTGGCATCAAATCGCTTGAAATCTCCAATTGCAAACTCCACAAAAAGAGTGTTTCAAATCTGCTCTGTGCAAAGGGACGTTCCACTCTGTGAGTTGAATACACACAGCACAAAGAAGTTACTGAGAATTCTTCTGTCTAGTATGAAATGAAGAAATCCCGTTTCCAACGAAGGCCTCAATGCGGTCCATATATCCACTTGCAGACTTTACAAACAGAGTGTTTCCAAACTGCTCTATGAAAAGAAAGGTTAAACTATGTGAGTTGAACGCACACATCACAAAGAATTTGCTGAGAATGATTCTGTCTGGTTTTTATTTGAAGATATTTCCCTTTCTACTGTTGGCATCAAATGGCTAGAAATCTCCACTTGCAAATTCCGCAAAAAGAGTGTTTCAAATCTGCTCTGTCTAAAGGGACGTTCCACTCTGTGAGTTGAATGCACACAACACAAAGAATTTACTGAGAATTCTTCCGTCTAGCATTCAATGAAGAAATCCCGTTTCCAACGAAGGCCTCAAACAGGTCCATATATCCAATTGCAGACTTTACAAACAGTGTGTTTCCAAACTCCTCTATGAAAAGAAAGGTTAAACTCTGTGAGTTGAACGCACACATCACAAAGCACTTTCTGAGAATGATTCTGTCTGGTTATTATACGAAGATATTTCCTTTTCTGCAATTGTCCTCAAATCGCTTGAAATCTCCACCTGAAAATGCCACAGCAAGAGTGTTTCAAATCTGCTCTCTCTAAAGCAAGGTTCAACTCTGTGAGTTGAATACACACAACACAAAAAAGTTACTGAGAACTCTTCTTAGTCTAGCATGAAAGGAAGAAACCCCGTTTGCAACGAAGGCCTCAAAGAGGTCCAAATATCCACTTGCAGACATAACAAGCAGAGTGTTTCTAAACTGCTCTAAGAAAAGAAAGGTTAAACTCTGTGAGTTAAAGGCACACATCACAAAGTAGTTTCTGAGAATGATTCTGTCTAGTTTTTATTTGAAGATATTTCCTTTTCTACTGTTGGCATCAAATCGCTTGAAATCTCCACTTGCAAACTCCACAAAAAGAGTGTTTCAAATCTGCTCTGTGTAAAGGGACGTTCCACTCTGTGAGTTGAATACACACAGCACAAAGAAGTTACTGAGAATTCTTCTGTCTAGCATGAAATGAAGAAATCCCGTTTCCAACGAAGGCCTCAATGCGGTCCATATATCCACTTGCAGACTTTACAAACAGAGTGTTTCCAAACTGCTCTATGAAAAGAAAGGTTAAACTATGTGAGTTGAAGGCACACATCACAAAGAATTTTCTGAGAATGATTCTGTCTGGTTTTTATTTGAAGATATTTCCCTTTCTACTGTTGGCATCAAATGGCTAGAAATCTCCACTTGCAAATTCCGCAAAAAGAGTGTTTCAAATCTGCTCTGTCTAAAGGGACGTTCCACTCTGTCAGTTGAATGCACACAACACAAAGAATTTACTGAGAATTCTTCCGTCTAGCAGTCAATGAAGAAATCCAGTTTCCAACGAAGGCCTCAAACAGGTCCATATATCCACTTGCAGACTTTACAAACAGTGTGTTTCCAAACTCCTCTATGAAAAGAAAGGTTAAACTCTGTGAGTTGAACGCACACATCACAAAGCACTCTCTGAGAATGATTCTGTCTGGTTGTTATACGAAGATATTTCCTTTTCTGCAATTGTCCTCAAATCGCTTGAAATCTCCACCTGAAAATGCCACAGCAAGAGTGTTTCAAATCTGCTCTCTCTAAAGCAAGGTTCAACTCTGTGAGTTGAATACACACAACACAAAAAAGTTACTGAGAACTCTTCTTAGTCTAGCATGAAAGGAAGAAACCCCGTTTGCAACGAAGGCCTCAAAGAGGTCCAAATATCCACTTGCAGACATAACAAGCAGAGTGTTTCTAAACTGCTCTAAGAAAAGAAAGGTTAAACTCTGTGAGTTGAAGGCACACATCACAAAGTAGTTTCTGAGAATGATTCTGTCTAGTTTTTATTTGAAGATATTTCCTTTTCTACTGTTGGCATCAAATCGCTTGAAATCTCCACTTGCAAATTCCACAAAAAGAGTGTTTCAAATCTGCTCTGTGCAAAGGGACGTTCCACTCTGTGAGTTGAATACACACAGCACAAAGAAGTTACTGAGAATTCTTCTGTCTAGCATGAAATGAAGAAATCCCGTTTCCAACGAAGGCCTCAATGCGGTCCATATATCCACTTGCAGACTTTACAAACAGAGTGTTTCCAAACTGCTCTATGAAAAGAAAGGTTAAACTATGTGAGTTGAACGCACACATCACAAAGAATTTTCTGAGAATGATTCTGTCTGGTTTTTATTTGAAGATATTTCCCTTTCTACTGTTGGCATCAAATGGCTAGAAATCTCCACTTGCAAATTCCGCAAAAAGAGTGTTTCAAATCTGCTCTGTCTAAAGGGACGTTCCACTCTGTGAGTTGAATGCACACAACACAAAGAATTTACTGAGAATTCTTCCGTCTAGCAGTCAATGAAGAAATCCCGTTTCCAACGAAGGCCTCAAACAGGTCCATATATCCAATTGCAGACTTTACAAACAGTGTGTTTCCAAACTCCTCTATGAAAAGAAAGGTTAAACACTGTGAGTTGAACGCACACATCACAAAGCACTCTCTGAGAATGATTCTGTCTGGTTGTTATACGAAGATATTTCCTTTTCTGCAATTGTCCTCAAATCGCTTGAAATCTCCACCTGAAAATGCCACAGCAAGAGTGTTTCAAATCTGCTCTCTCTAAAGCAAGGTTCAACTCTGTGAGTTGAATGCACACAACACAAAAAAGTTACTGAGAACTCTTCTTAGTCTAGCATTAAAGGAAGAAACCCCGTTTGCAACGAAGGCCTCAAAGAGGTCCAAATATCCACTTGCAGACATAACAAGCAGAGTGTTTCTAAACTGCTCTAAGAAAAGAAAGGTTAAACTCTGTGAGTTGAAGGCACACATCACAAAGTAGTTTCTGAGAATGATTCTGTCTAGTTTTTATTTGAAGATATTTCCTTTTCTACTGTTGGCATCAAATCGCTTGAAATCTCCACTTGCAAACTCCACAAAAAGAGTGTTTCAAATCTGCTCTGTGTAAAGGGACGTTCCACTCTGTGAGTTGAATACACACAGCACAAAGAAGTTACTGAGAATTCTTCTGTCTAGCATGAAATGAAGAAATCCCGTTTCCAACGAAGGCCTCAATGCGGTCCATAGATCCACTTGCAGACTTTACAAACAGAGTGTTTCCAAACTGCTCTATGAAAAGAAAGGTTAAACTATGTGAGTTGAACGCACACATCACAAAGAATTTTCTGAGAATGATTCTGTCTGGTTTTTATTTGAAGATATTTCCCTTTCTACTGTTGGCATCAAATGGCTAGAAATCTCCACTTGCAAATTCCGCAAAAAGAGTGTTTCAAATCTGCTCTGTCTAAAGGGACGTTCCACTCTGTCAGTTGAATGCACACAACACAAAGAATTTACTGAGAATTCTTCCGTCTAGCAGTCAATGAAGAAATCCCGTTTCCAACGAAGGCCTCAAACAGGTCCATATATCCACTTGCAGACTTTACAAACAGTGTGTTTCCAAACTCCTCTATGAAAAGAAAGGTTAAACTCTGTGAGTGGAACGCACACATCACAAAGCACTTTCTGAGAATGATTCTGTCTGGTTGTTATAGGAAGATATTTCCTTTTCTGCAATTGTCCTCAAAACGCTTGAAATCTCCACCTGAAAATGCCACAGCAAGAGTGTTTCAAATCTGCTCTCTCTAAAGCAAGGTTCAACTCTGTGAGTTGAATACACACAACACAAAAAAGTTACTGAGAACTCTTCTTAGTCTAGCATGAAAGGAAGAAACCCCGTTTGCAACGAAGGCCTCAAAGAGGTCCAAATATCCACTTGCAGACATAACAAGCAGAGTGTTTCTAAACTGCTCTAAGAAAAGAAAGGTTAAACTCTGTGAGTTGAAGGCACACATCACAAAGTAGTTTCTGAGAATGATTCTGTCTAGTTTTTATTTGAAGATATTTCCTTTTCTACTGTTGGCATCAAATCGCTTGAAATCTCCACTTGCAAACTCCACAAAAAGAGTGTTTCAAATCTGCTCTGTGTAAAGGGACGTTCCACTCTGTGAGTTGAATACACACAGCACAAAGAAGTTACTGAGAATTCTTCTGTCTAGCATGAAATGAAGAAATCCCGTTTCCAACGAAGGCCTCAATGCGGTCCATATATCCACTTGCAGACTTTACAAACAGAGTGTTTCCAAACTGCTCTATGAAAAGAAAGGTTAAACTATGTGAGTTGAACGCACACATCACAAAGAATTTTCTGAGAATGATTCTGTCTGGTTTTTATTTGAAGATATTTCCCTTTCTACTGTTGGCATCAAATGGCTAGAAATCTCCACTTGCAAATTCCGCAAAAAGAGTGTTTCAAATCTGCTCTGTCTAAAGGGACGTTCCACTCTGTCAGTTGAATGCACACAACACAAAGAATTTACTGAGAATTCTTCCGTCTAGCATTCAATGAAGAAATCCCGTTTCCAACGAAGGCCTCAAACAGGTCCATATATCCACTTGCAGACTTTACAAACAGTGTGTTTCCAAACTCCTCTATGAAAAGAAAGGTTAAACTCTGTGAGTGGAACGCACACATCACAAAGCACTTTCTGAGAATGATTCTGTCTGGTTGTTATACGAAGATATTTCCTTTTCTGCAATTGTCCTCAAATCGCTTGAAATCTCCACCTGAAAATGTCACAGCAAGAGTGTTTCAAATCTGCTCTCTCTAAAGCAAGGTTCAACTCTGTGAGTTGAATACACACAACACAGAAAAGTTACTGAGAACTCTTCTTAGTCTAGCATGAAAGGAAGAAACCCCGTTTGCAACGAAGGCCTCAAAGAGGTCCAAATATCCACTTGCAGACATAACAAGCAGAGTGTTTCTAAACTGCTCTAAGAAAAGAAAGGTTAAACTCTGTGAGTTGAAGGCACACATCACAAAGTAGTTTCTGAGAATGATTCTGTCTAGTTTTTATTTGAAGATATTTCATTTTCTACTGTTGGCATCAAATCGCTTGAAATCTCCACTTGCAAACTCCACAAAAAGAGTGTTTCAAATCTGCTCTGTGTAAAGGGACGTTCCACTCTGTGAGTTGAATACACACAGCACAAAGAAGTTACTGAGAATTCTTCTGTCTAGCATGAAATGAAGAAATCCCGTTTCCAACGAAGGCCTCAATGCGGTCCATAGATCCACTTGCAGACTTTACAAACAGAGTGTTTCCAAACTGCTCTATGAAAAGAAAGGTTAAACTATGTGAGTTGAACGCACACATCACAAAGAATTTTCTGAGAATGATTCTGTCTGGTTTTTATTTGAAGATATTTCCCTTTCTACTGTTGGCATCAAATGGCTAGAAATCTCCACTTGCAAATTCCGCAAAAAGAGTGTTTCAAATCTGCTCTGTCTAAAGGGACGTTCCACTCTGTGAGTTGAATGCACACAACACAAAGAATTTACTGAGAATTCTTCCGTCTAGCATTCAATGAAGAAATCCCGTTTCCAAAGAAGGCCTCAAACAGGTCCATATATCCAATTGCAGACTTTACAAACAGTGTGTTTCCAAACTCCTCTATGAAAAGAAAGGTTAAACTCTGTGAGTTGAACGCACACATCACAAAGCACTTTCTGAGAATGATTCTGTCTGGTTATTATACGAAGATATTTCCTTTTCTGCAATTGTCCTCAAATCGCTTGAAATCTCCACCTGAAAATGCCACAGCAAGAGTGTTTCAAATCTGCTCTCTCTAAAGCAAGGTTCAACTCTGTGAGTTGAATACACACAACACAAAAAAGTTACTGAGAACTCTTCTTAGTATAGCATGAAAGGAAGAAACCCCGTTTGCAACGAAGGCCTCAAAGAGGTCCAAATATCCACTTGCAGACATAACAAGCAGAGTGTTTCTAAACTGCTCTAAGAAAAGAAAGGTTAAACTCTGTGAGTTGAAGGCACACATCAAAAAGTAGTTTCTGAGAATGATTCTGTCTAGTTTTTATTTGAAGATATTTCCTTTTCTACTGTTGGCATCAAATCGCTTGAAATCTCCACTTGCAAATTCCACAAAAAGAGTGTTTCAAATCTGCTCTGTGCAAAGGGACGTTCCACTCTGTGAGTTGAATACACACAGCACAAAGAAGTTACTGAGAATTCTTCTGTCTAGCATGAAATGAAGAAATCCCGTTTCCAACGAAGGCCTCAATGCGGTCCATATATCCACTTGCAGACTTTACAAACAGAGTGTTTCCAAACTGCTCTATGAAAAGAAAGGTTAAACTATGTGAGTTGAACGCACACATCACAAAGAATTTTCTGAGAATGATTCTGTCTGGTTTTTATTTGAAGATATTTCCCTTTCTACTGTTGGCATCAAATGGCTAGAAATCTCCACTTGCAAATTCCGCAAAAAGAGTGTTTCAAATCTGCTCTGTCTAAAGGGACGTTCCACTCTGTGAGTTGAATGCACACAACACAAAGAATTTACTGAGAATTCTTCCGTCTAGCATTCAATGAAGAAATCCCGTTTCCAACGAAGGCCTCAAAGAGGTCCATATATCCACTTGCAGACTTTACAAACAGTGTGTTTCCAAACTCCTCTATGAAAAGAAAGGTTAAACTCTGTGAGTGGAACGCACACATCACAAAGCACTTTCTGAGAATGATTTTGTCTGGTTATTATACGAAGATATTTCCTTTTCTGCAATTGTCCTCAAATCGCTTGAAATCTCCACCTGAAAATGCCACAGCAAGAGTGTTTCAAATCTGCTCTCTCTAAAGCAAGGTTCAACTCTGTGAGTTGAATACACACAACACAAAAAAGTTACTGAGAACTCTTCTTAGTCTAGCATGAAAGGAAGAAACCCCGTTTGCAACGAAGGCCTCAAAGAGGTCCAAATATCCACTTGCAGACATAACAAGCAGAGTGTTTCTAAACTGCTCTAAGAAAAGAAAGGTTAAACTCTGTGAGTTGAAGGCACACATCACAAAGTAGTTTCTGAGAATGATTCTGTCTAGTTTTTATTTGAAGATATTTCCTTTTCTACTGTTGGCATCAAATCGCTTGAAATCTCCACTTGCAAATTCCACAAAAAGAGTGTTTCAAATCTGCTCTGTGCAAAGGGACGTTCCACTCTGTGAGTTGAATACACACAGCACAAAGAAGTTACTGAGAATTCTTCTGTCTAGCATGAAATGAAGAAATCCCGTTTCCAACGAAGGCCTCAATGCGGTCCATATATCCACTTGCAGACTTTACAAACAGAGTGTTTCCAAACTGCTCTATGAAAAGAAAGGTTAAATTATGTGAGTTGAACGCACACATCACAAAGAATTTTCTGAGAATGATTCTGTCTGGTTTTTATTTGAAGATATTTCCCTTTCTACTGTTGGCATCAAATGGCTAGAAATCTCCACTTGCAAATTCCGCAAAAAGAGTGTTTCAAATCTGCTCTGTCTAAAGGGACGTTCCACTCTGTGAGTTGAATGCACACAAAACAAAGAATTTACTGAGAATTCTTCCGTCTAGCATTCAATGAAGAAATCCCGTTTCCAACGAAGGCCTCAAAGAGGTCCATATATCCACTTGCAGACTTTACAAACAGTGTGTTTCCAAACTCCTCTATGAAAAGAAAGGTTAAACTCTGTGAGTGGAACGCACACATCACAAAGCACTTTCTGAGAATGATTCTGTCTGGTTATTATACGAAGATATTTCCTTTTCTGCAATTGTCCTCAAATCGCTTGAAATCTCCACCTGAAAATGCCACAGCAAGAGTGTTTCAAATCTGCTCTCTCTAAAGCAAGGTTCAACTCTGTGAGTTGAATACACACAACACAAAAAAGTTACTGAGAACTCTTCTTAGTCTAGCATTAAAGGAAGAAACCCCGTTTGCAACGAAGGCCTCAAAGAGGTCCAAATATCCACTTGCAGACATAACAAGCAGAGTGTTTCTAAACTGCTCTAAGAAAAGAAAGGTTAAACTCTGTGAGTTGAAGGCACACATCACAAAGTAGTTTCTGAGAATGATTCTGTCTAGTTTTTATTTGAAGATATTTCATTTTCTACTGTTGGCATCAAATCGCTTGAAATCTCCACTTGCAAACTCCACAAAAAGAGTGTTTCAAATCTGCTCTGTGTAAAGAGACGTTCCACTCTGTGAGTTGAATACACACAGCACAAAGAAGTTACTGAGAATTCTTCTGTCTAGCATGAAATGAAGAAATCCCGTTTCCAACGAAGGCCTCAATGCGGTCCATAGATCCACTTGCAGACTTTACAAACAGAGTGTTTCCAAACTGCTCTATGAAAAGAAAGGTTAAACTATGTGAGTTGAACGCACACATCACAAAGAATTTTCTGAGAATGATTCTGTCTGGTTTTTATTTGAAGATATTTCCCTTTCTACTGTTGGCATCAAATGGCTAGAAATCTCCACTTGCAAATTCCGCAAAAAGAGTGTTTCAAATCTGCTCGGTCTAAAGGGACGTTCCACTCTGTGAGTTGAATGCACACAACACAAAGAATTTACTGAGAATTCTTCCGTCTAGCAGTCAATGAAGAAATCCCGTTTCCAACGAAGGCCTCAAACAGGTCCATATATCCAATTGCAGACTTTACAAACAGTGTGTTTCCAAACTCCTCTATGAAAAGAAAGGTTAAACTCTGTGAGTTGAACGCACACATCACAAAGCACTTTCTGAGAATGATTCTGTCTGGTTGTTATACGAAGATATTTCCTTTTCTGCAATTGTCCTCAAATCGCTTGAAATCTCCACCTGAAAATGCCACAGCAAGAGTGTTTCAAATCTGCTCTCTCTAAAGCAAGGTTCAACTCTGTGAGTTGAATACACACAACACAAAAAAGTTACTGAGAACTCTTCTTAGTCTAGCATGAAAGGAAGAAACCCCGTTTGCAAAGAAGGCCTCAAAGAGGTCCAAATATCCACTTGCAGACATAACAAGCAGAGTGTTTCTAAACTGCTCTAAGAAAAGAAAGGTTAAACTCTGTGAGTTGAAGGCACACATCACAAAGTAGTTTCTGAGAATGATTCTGTCTAGTTTTTATTTGAAGATATTTCCTTTTCTACTGTTGGCATCAAATCGCTTGAAATCTCCACTTGCAAACTCCACAAAAAGAGTGTTTCAAATCTGCTCTGTGTAAAGGGACGTTCCACTCTGTGAGTTGAATACACACAGCACAAAGAAGTTACTGAGAATTCTTCTGTCTAGCATGAAATGAAGAAATCCCGTTTCCAACGAAGGCCTCAATGCGGTCCATATATCCACTTGCAGACTTTACAAACAGAGTGTTTCCAAACTGCTCTATGAAAAGAAAGGTTAAACTATGTGAGTTGAACGCACATATCACAAAGAATTTTCTGAGAATGATTCTGTCTGGTTTTTATTTGAAGATATTTCCCTTTCTACTGTTGGCATCAAATGGCTAGATATCTCCACTTGCAAATTCCGCAAAAAGAGTGTTTCAAATCTGCTCTGTCTAAAGGGACGTTCCACTCTGTGAGTTGAATGCACACAACACAAAGAATTTACTGAGAATCCTTCCGTCTAGCATTCAATGAAGAAATCCCGTTTCCAACGAAGGCCTCAAACAGGTCCATATATCCAATTGCAGACATTACAAACAGTGTGTTTCCAAACTCCTCTATGAAAAGAAAGGTTAAACTCTGTGAGTTGAACGCACACATCACAAAGCACTTTCTGAGAATGATTCTGTCTGGTTATTATACGAAGATATTTCCTTTTCTGCAATTGTCCTCAAATCGCTTGAAATCTCCACCTGAAAATGCCACAGCAAGAGTGTTTCAAATCTGCTCTCTCTAAAGCAAGGTTCAACTCTGTGAGTTGAATACACACAACACAAAAAAGTTACTGAGAACTCTTCTTAGTCTAGCATGAAAGGAAGAAACCCCGTTTGCAACGAAGGCCTCAAAGAGGTCCAAATATCAACTTGCAGACATAACAAGCAGAGTGTTTCTAAGCTGCTCTCAGAAAAGAAAGGTTAAACTCGGTGAGTTGAAGGCACACATCACAAAGTAGTTTCTGAGAATGATTCTGTCTAGTTTTTATTTGAAGATATTTCCTTTTCTACTGTTGGCATCAAATCGCTTGAAATCTCCACTTGCAAACTCCACAAAAAGAGTGTTTCAAATCTGCTCTGTGTAAAGGGACGTTCCACTCTGTGAGTTGAATACACACAGCACAAAGAAGTTACTGAGAATTACTTTGGCTAGCATGAAATGAAGAAATCCCGTTTCCAACGAAGGCCTCAATGCGGTCCATATATCCACTTGCAGACTTTACAAACAGAGTGTTTCCAAACTGCTCTATGAAAAGAAAGGTTAAACTATGTGAGTTGAACGCACACATCACAAAGAATTTTCTGAGAATGATTCTGTCTGGTTTTTATTTGAAGATATTTCCCTTTCTACTGTTGGCATCAAATGGCTAGAAATCTCCACTTGCAAATTCCGCAAAAAGAGTGTTTCAAATCTGCTCTGTCTAAAGGGACGTTCCACTCTGTGAGTTGAATGCACACAACACAAAGAATTTACTGAGAATTCTTCCGTCTAGCATTCAATGAAGAAATCCCGTTTCCAACGAAGGCCTCAAACAGGTCCATATATCCACTTGCAGAGTTTACAAACAGTGTGTTTCCAAACTCCTCTATGAAAAGAAAGGTTAAACTCTGTGAGTGGAACGCACACATCACAAAGCACTTTCTGAGAATGATTCTGTCTGGTTGTTATACGAAGATATTTCCTTTTCTGCAATTGTCCTCAAATCGCTTGAAATCTCCACCTGAAAATGCCACAGCAAGAGTGTTTCAAATCTGCTCTCTCTAAAGCAAGGTTCAACTCTGTGAGTTGAATACACACAACACAAAAAAGTTACTGAGAACTCTTCTTAGTCTAGCATGAAAGGAACAAACCCCGTTTGCAACGAAGGCCTCAAAGAGGTAAAAATATCCACTTGCAGACATAACAAGCAGAGTGTTTCTAAACTGCTCTATGAAAAGAAAGGTTAAACTCTGTGAGTTGAAGGCACACATCACAAAGTAGTTTCTGAGAATGATTCTGTCTAGTTTTTATTTGAAGATATTTCCTTTTCTACTGTTGGCATCAAATCGCTTGAAATCTCCACTTGCAAACTCCACAAAAAGAGTGTTTCAAATCTGCTCTGTGTAAAGGGACGTTCCACTCTGTGAGTTGAATACACACAGCACAAAGAAGTTACTGAGAATTCTTCTGTCTAGCATGAAATGAAGAAATCCCGTTTCCAACGAAGGCCTCAATGCGGTCCATATATCCACTTGCAGACTTTACAAACAGAGTGTTTCCAAACTGCTCTATGAAAAGACAGGTTAAACTATGTGAGTTGAACGCACACATCACAAAGAATTTTCTGAGAATGATTCTGTCTGGTTTTTATTTGAAGATATTTCCCTTTCTACTGTTGGCATCAAATGGCTAGAAATCTCCACTTGCAAATTCCGCAAAAAGAGTGTTTCAAATCTGCTCTGTCTAAAGGGACGTTCCACTCTGTCAGTTGAATGCACACAACACAAAGAATTTACTGAGAATTCTTCCGTCTAGCATTCAATGAAGAAATCCCGTTTCCAACGAAGGCCTCAAACAGGTCCATATATCCAATTGCAGACTTTACAAACAGTGTGTTTCCAAACTCCTCTATGAAAAGAAAGGTTAAACTCTGTGAGTGGAACGCACACATCACAAAGCACTTTCTGAGAATGATTCTGTCTGGTTATTATACGAAGATATTTCCTTTTCTGCAATTGTCCTGAAATCGCTTGAAATCTCCACCTGAAAATGCCACAGCAAGAGTGTTTCAAATCTGCTCTCTCTAAAGCAAGGTTCAACTCTGTGAGTTGAATACACACAACACAAAAAAGTTACTGAGAACTCTTCTTAGTCTAGCATGAAAGGAAGAAACCCCGTTTGCAACGAAGGCCTCAAAGAGGTCCAAATATCCACTTGCAGACATAACAAGCAGAGTGTTTCTAAACTGCTCTAAGAAAAGAAAGGTTAAACTCTGTGAGTTGAAGGCACACATCACAAAGTAGTTTCTGAGAATGATTCTGTCTAGTTTTTATTTGAAGATATTTCCTTTTCTACTGTTGGCATCAAATCGCTTGAAATCTCCACTTGCAAACTCCACAAAAAGAGTGTTTCAAATCTGCTCTGTGTAAAGGGACGTTCCACTCTGTGAGTTGAATACACACAGCACAAAGAAGTTACTGAGAATTCTTCTGTCTAGCATGAAATGAAGAAATCCCGTTTCCAACGAAGGCCTCAATGCGGTCCATATATCCACTTGCAGACTTTACAAACAGAGTGTTTCCAAACTGCTCTATGAAAAGAAAGGTTAAACTATGTGAGTTGAACGCACACATCACAAAGAATTTTCTGAGAATGATTCTGTCTGGTTTTTATTTGAAGATATTTCCCTTTCTACTGTTGGCATCAAATGGCTAGAAATCTCCACTTGCTAATTCCGCAAAAAGAGTGTTTCAAATCTGCTCTGTCTAAAGGGACGTTCCACTCTGTGAGTTGAATGCACACAACACAAAGAATTTACTGAGAATTCTTCCGTCTAGCATTCAATGAAGAAATCCCGTTTCCAACGAAGGCCTCAAACAGGTCCATATATCCACTTGCAGAGTTTACAAACAGTGTGTTTCCAAACTCCTCTATGAAAAGAAAGGTTAAACTCTGTGAGTGGAAAGCACACATCACAAAGCACTTTCTGAGAATGATTCTGTCTGGTTATTATACGAAGATATTCCCTTTTCTGCAATTTTCCTCAAATCGCTTGAAATCTCCACCTGAAAATGCCACAGCAAGAGTGTTTCAAATCTGCTCTCTCTAAAGCAAGGTTCAACTCTGTGAGTTGAATACACACAGCACAAAGAAGTTACTGAGAATTCTTCTGTCTAGCATGAAATGAAGAAATCCCGTTTCCAACGAAGGCCTCAATGCGGTCCATATATCCACTTGCAGACTTTACAAACAGAGTGTTTCCAAACTGCTCTATGAAAAGAAAGGTTAAACTATGTGAGTTGAACGCACACATCACAAAGAATTTTCTGAGAATGATTCTGTCTGGTTTTTATTTGAAGATATTTCCCTTTCTACTGTTGGCATCAAATGGCTAGAAATCTCCACTTGCAAATTCCGCAAAAAGAGTGTTTCAAATCTGCTCTGTCTAAAGGGACGTTTCACTCTGTGAGTTGAATGCACACAACACAAAGAATTTACTGAGAATTCTTCCGTCTAGCATTCAATGAAGAAATCCCGTTTCCAACGAAGGCCTCAAACAGGTCCATATATCCACTTGCAGACTTTACAAACAGTGTGTTTCCAAACTCCTCTATGAAAAGAAAGGTTAAACTCTGTGAGTGGAACGCACACATCACAAAGCACTTTCTGAGAATGATTCTGTCTGGTTGTTATACGAAGATATTTCCTTTTCTGCAATTGTCCTCAAATCGCTTGAAATCTCCACCTGAAAATGCCACAGCAAGAGTGTTTCAAATCTGCTCTCTCTAAAGCAGGGTTCAACTCTGTGAGTTGAATACACACAACACAAAAATGTTACTGAGAACTCTTCTTAGTCTAGCATGAAAGGAAGAAACCCCGTTTGCAACGAAGGCCTCAAAGAGGTCCAAATATCCACTTGCAGACATAACAAGCAGAGTGTTTCTAAACTGCTCTAAGAAAAGAAAGGTTAAACTCTGTGAGTTGAAGGCACACATCACAAAGTAGTTTCTGAGAATGATTCTGTCTAGTTTTTATTTGAAGATATTTCCTTTTCTACTGTTGGCATCAAATCGCTTGAAATCTCCACTTGCAAACTCCACAAAAAGAGTGTTTCAAATCTGCTCTGTGTAAAGGGACGTTCCACTCTGTGAGTTGAATACACACAGCACAAAGAAGTTACTGAGAATTCTTCTGTCTAGCATGAAATGAAGAAATCCCGTTTCCAACGAAGGCCTCAATGCGGTCCATATATCCACTTGCAGACTTTACAAACAGAGTGTTTCCAAACTGCTCTATGAAAAGAAAGGTTAAACTATGTGAGTTGAACGCACACATCACAAAGAATTTTCTGAGAATGATTCTGTCTGGTTTTTATTTGAAGATATTTCCCTTTCTACTGTTGGCATCAAATGGCTAGAAATCTCCACTTGCAAATTCCGCAAAAAGAGTGTTTCAAATCTGCTCTGTCTAAAGGGACGTTCCACTCTGTGAGTTGAATGCACACAACACAAAGAATTTACTGAGAATTCTTCCGTCTAGCATTCAATGAAGAAATCCCGTTTCCAACGAAGGCCTCAAACAGGTCCATATATCCACTTGCAGACTTTACAAACAGTGTGTTTCCAAACTCCTCTATGAAAAGAAAGGTTAAACTCTGTGAGTTGAACGCACACATCACAAAGCACTTTCTGAGAATGATTCTGTCTGGTTATTATACGAAGATATTTCCTTTTCTGCAATTGTCCTCAAATCGCTTGAAATCTCCACCTGAAAATGCCACAGCAAGAGTGTTTCAAATCTGCTCTCTCTAAAGCAAGGTTCAACTCTGTGAGTTGAATACACACAACACAAAAAAGTTACTGAGAACTCTTCTTAGTCTAGCATGAAAGGAAGAAACCCCGTTTGCAACGAAGGCCTCAAAGAGGTCCAAATATCCACTTGCAGACATAACAAGCAGAGTGTTTCTAAACTGCTCTAAGAAAAGAAAGGTTGAACTCTGTGAGTTGAAGGCACACATCACAAAGTAGTTTCTGAGAATGATTCTGTCTAGTTTTTATTTGAAGATATTTCCTTTTCTACTGTTGGCATCAAATCGCTTGAAATCTCCACTTGCAAATTCCACAAAAAGAGTGTTTCAAATCTGCTCTGTGCAAAGGGACGTTCCACTCTGTGAGTTGAATACACACAGCACAAAGAAGTTACTGAGAATTCTTCTGTCTAGCATGAAATGAAGAAATCCCGTTTCCAACGAAGGCCTCAATGCGGTCCATATATCCACTTGCAGACTTTACAAACAGAGTGTTTCCAAACTGCTCTATGAAAAGAAAGGTTAAACTATGTGAGTTGAACGCACACATCACAAAGAATTTTCTGAGAATGATTCTGTCTGGTTTTTATTTGAAGATATTTCCCTTTCTACTGTTGGCATCAAATGGCTAGAAATCTCCACTTGCAAATTCCGCAAAAAGAGTGTTTCAAATCTGCTCTGTCTAAAGGGACGTTCCACTCTGTGAGTTGAATGCACACAACACAAAGAATTTACTGAGAATTCTTCCGTCTAGCATTCAATGAAGAAATCCCGTTTCCAACGAAGGCCTCAAACAGGTCCATATATCCACTTGCAGACTTTACAAACAGTGTGTTTCCAAACTCCTCTATGAAAAGAAAGGTTAAACTCTGTGAGTTGAACGCACACATCACAAAGCACTTTCTGAGAATGATTCTGTCTGGTTATTATACGAAGATATTTCCTTTTCTGCAATTGTCCTCAAATCGCTTGAAATCTCCACCTGAAAATGCCACAGCAAGAGTTTTTCAAATCTGCTCTCTCTAAAGCAAGGTTCAACTCTGTGAGTTGAATGCACACAACACAAAAAAGTTACTGAGAACTCTTCTTAGTCTAGCATGAAAGGAAGAAACCCCGTTTGCAACGAAGGCCTCAAAGAGGTCCAAATATCCACTTGCAGACATAACAAGCAGAGTGTTTCTAAACTGCTCTAAGAAAAGAAAGGTTAAACTCTGTGAGTTGAAGGCACACATCACAAAGTAGTTTCTGAGAATGATTCTGTCTAGTTTTTATTTGAAGATATTTCCTTTTCTACTGTTGGCATCAAATCGCTTGAAATCTCCACTTGCAAACTCCACAAAAAGAGTGTTTCAAATCTGCTCTGTGCAAAGGGACGTTCCACTCTGTGAGTTGAATACACACAGCACAAAGAAGTTACTGAGAATTCTTCTGTCTAGCATGAAATGAAGAAATCCCGTTTCCAACGAAGGCCTCAAAGCGGTCCATATATCCACTTGCAGACATTACCAACAGAGTGTTCCCAAACTGCTCTATGAAAAGAAAGGTTAAACTATGTGAGTTGAACGCACACATCACAAAGAATTTTCTGAGAATGATTCTGTCTGGTTTTTATTTGAAGATATTTCCCTTTCTACTGTTGGCATCAAATGGCTAGAAATCTCCACTTGCAAATTCCGCAAAAAGAGTGTTTCAAATCTGCTCTGTCTAAAGGGACGTTCCACTCTGTGAGTTGAATGCACACAACACAAAGAATTTACTGAGAATTCTTCCGCCTAGCATTCAATGAAGAAATCCCGTTTCCAACGAAGGCCTCAAACAGGTCCATATATCCAATTGCAGACTTTACAAACAGTGTGTTTCCAAACTCCTCTATGAAAAGAAAGGTTAAACTCTGTGAGTTGAACGCACACATCACAAAGCACTTTCTGAGAATGATTCTGTCTGGTTGTTATACGAAGATATTTCCTTTTCTGTAATTGTCCTCAAATCGCTTGAAATCTCCACCTGAAAATGCCACAGCAAGAGTGTTTCAAATCTGCTCTCTCTAAAGCAAGGTTCAACTCTGTGAGTTGAATACACACAACACAAAAAAGTTACTGAGAACTCTTCTTAGTCTAGCATGAAAGGAAGAAACCCCGTTTGCAATGAAGGCCTCAAAGAGGTCCAAATATCCACTTGCAGACATAACAAGCAGAGTGTTTCTAAACTGCTCTAAGAAAAGAAAGGTTAAACTCTGTGAGTTGAAGGCACACATCACAAAGTAGTTTCTGAGAATGATTCTGTCTAGTTTTTATTTGAAGATATTTCCTTTTCTACTGTTGGCATCAAATCGCTTGAAATCTCCACTTGCAAACTCCACAAAAAGAGTGTTTCAAATCTGCTCTGTGTAAAGGGACGTTCCACTCTGTGAGTTGAATACACACAGCACAAAGAAGTTACTGAGAATTCTTCTGTCTAGCATGAAATGAAGAAATCCCGTTTCCAACGAAGGCCTCAATGCGGTCCATATATCCAATTGCAGACTTTACAAACAGTGTGTTTCCAAACTCCTCTATGAAAAGAAAGGTTAAACTCTGTGAGTTGAACGCACACATCACAAAGCACTTTCTGAGAATGATTCTGTCTGGTTTTTATTTGAAGATATTTCCCTTTCTACTGTTGGCATCAAATGGCTAGAAATCTCCACTTGCAAATTCCGCAAAAAGAGTGTTTCAAATCTGCTCTGTCTAAAGGGACGTTCCACTCTGTGAGTTGAATGCACACAACACAAAGAATTTACTGAGAATTCTTCCTTCTAGCATTCAATGAAGAAATCCCGTTTCCAACGAAGGCCTCAAACAGGTCCATATATCCAATTACAGACTTTACAAACAGAGTGTTTCCAAACTCCTCTATGAAAAGAAAGGTTAAACTCTGTGAGTTGAACGCACACATCACAAAGCACTTTCTGAGAATTATTCTGTCTGGTTATTATACGAAGATATTTCCTTTTCTGCAATTGTCCTCAAATCGCTTGAAATCTCCACCTGAAAATGCCACAGCAAGAGTGTTTCAAATCTGCTCTCTCTAAAGCAAGGTTCAACTCTGTGAGTTGAATACACACAACACAAAAAAGTTACTGAGAACTCTTCTTAGTCTAGCATGAAAGGAAGAAACCCCGTTTGCAACGAAGGCCTCAAAGAGGTCCAAATATCCACTTGCAGACATAACAAGCAGAGTGTTTCTAAACTGCTCTATGAAAAGAAAGGTTAAACTCTGTGAGTTGAAGGCACACATCACAAAGTAGTTTCTGAGAATGATTCTGTCTAGTTTTTATTTGAAGATATTTCCTTTTCTACTGTTGGCATCAAATCGCTTGAAATCTCCACTTGCAAATTCCACAAAAAGAGTGTTTCAAATCTGCTCTGTCTAAAGGGACGTTCCACTCTGTGAGTTGAATACACACAACACAAAGAAGTTACTGAGAATTCTTCTGTCTAGCATGAAATGAAGAAAACCCGTTTCCAACAAAGGCCTCAAAGCGGTCCATATATCTACTTGCAGACTTTACAAACAGAGTGTTTCCAAACTGCTCTATGAAAAGAAAGGTTAAACTATGTGAGTTGAACGCACACATCACAAAGAATTTTCTGAGAATGATTCTGTCTAGTTTTTATTTGAAGATATTTCCCTTTCTATTGTTGGCATCAAATGGCTTGAAATCTCCACTTCCAAATTTCGCAAAAAGAGTGTTTCAAATCTGCTCTGTCTAAAGGGACGTTCCACTCGGTGAGTTGAATGCACACAACACAAAGAGTTTACTGAGAATTCTTCTGTCTAGCATTCAATGAAGAAATCCCGTTTCCAAGGAATGCCTCAAAGCGGTACATATATCCACTTGCAGATTTTACAAACAGTGTGTTTCGAAACTGCTCTATGAAAAGAAAGTTTAAACTATGTGAGCTGAACGCACACATCACAAAGAATTTTCTGAGAATGATTCTGTCTAATTTTTATTTGAAGATATTTCCTTTCCAACTTTTGGCATCAAATCGCTTGAATTCTCCACTTTTAAATTCCACAAAAAGAGTGTTTCAAAACTGCTCTGTGTAATGGGACATTCCAATCTGTCAGTTGAATACACACAACACAAAGAAGTTACTGAGAATTCTTCTGTCTAGCATGAAATTAAGAAATTCCGTTTCCAACGAAGTCCTCAAAGCGGTCCATATATCCACTTGCAGACATTACCAACAGAGTGTTTCCAAACTGGTCTATGAAAAGAAAGGTTAAACTATGTGAGTTGAACGCACACATCACAAAGAATTTTCTGAGGATGATTCTGTCTAGTTTTTATTTGAAGATATTTCCCTTTCTACCGTTGGCATCAAATGGCTAGAAATCTCCAATTGCAAATTCCGCAAAAAGAGTGTTTCAAATCTGCTCTGTCTAAAGGGACGTTCCACTCTGTGAGTTGAATGCACACAACACAAAGAATTTACTGAGAATTCTTCCGTCTAGCATTATATGATAAAATCCCGTTTCCAACGAAGGCATCAAACAGGTCCATATATCCACTTGCAGACTTTACAAACAGTGTGTTTCCAAACTCCTCTATGAAAAGAAAGGTTGAACTCTGTGAGTTGAACGCACACATCACAAAGCACTTTCTGAGAATGATTCTGTCTGGTTATTATACGAAGATATTTCCTTTTCTGCAATTGTCCTCAAATCGCTTGAAATCTCCACCTGAAAATGCCACAGCAAGAGTGTTTCAAATCTGCTCTCTCTAAAGCAAGGTTCAACTCTGTGAGTTGAATACACACAACACAAAAAAGTTACTGAGAACTCTTCTTAGTCTAGCATTAAAGGAAGAAATCCCGTTTGCAACGAAGGCCTCAAAGAGGTCCAAATATCCACTTGCAGACATAAGCAGCAGAGTGTTTCTAAACTGCTCTAAGAAAAGAAAGGTTAAACTCTGTGAGTTGAAGGCACACATCACAAAGTAGTTTCTGAGAATGATTCTGTCTAGTTTTTATTAGAAGATATTTGCTTTTCTACTGCTGGCATCAAATCGCTTGAAATCTCCACTTGCAAATTCCACAAAAAGAGTGTTTCAAATCTGCTCTGTCTAAAGGGACGTTCCACACTGTGAGTTGAATACACACAACACAAAGGAGTTACTGAGAATTCTTCTGTCTAGCATGAAATGAAGAAATCCCGTTTCCAACGAAGGCCTCAAAGCGGTCCATATATCTACTTGCAGACTTTACAAACAGAGTGTTTCCAAACTGCTCTATGAAAAGAAAGGTTAAACTATGTGAGTTGAACGCACACATCACAAAGAATTTTCTGAGAATGATTCTGTCTAGTTTTTATTTGAAGATATTTCCCTTTCTATTGTTGGCATCAAATGGCTTGAAATCTCCACTTCCAAATTTCGCAAAAAGAGTGTTTCAAATCTGGTCTGTCTAAAGGGACGTTCCACTCGGTGAGTTGAATGCACACAACACAAAGAATTTACTGAGAATTCTTCCGTCTAGCATTCAATGAAGAAATCCCGTTTCCAACGAAGGCCTCAAACAGGTCCATATATCCAATTGCAGACTTTACAAACAGTGTGTTTCCAAACTCCTCTATGAAAAGAAAGGTTAAACTCTGTGAGTTGAACGCACACATCACAAAGCACTTTCTGAGAATGATTCTGTCTGGTTATTATACGAAGATATTTCCTTTTCTGCAATTGTCCTCAAATCGCTTGAAATCTCCACCTGAAAATGCCACAGCAAGAGTGTTTCAAATCTGCTCTCTCTAAAGCAAGGTTCAACTCTGTGAGTTGAATACACACAACACAAAAAAGTTACTGAGAACTCTTCTTAGTCTAGCATTAAAGGAAGAAACCCCGTTTGCAACGAAGGCCTCAAAGAGGTCCAAATATCCACTTGCAGACATAACAAGCAGAGTGTTTCTAAACTGCTCTAAGAAAAGAAAGGTTAAACTCTGTGAGTTGAAGGCACACATCACAAAGTAGTTTCTGAGAATGATTCTGTCTAGTTTTTATTTGAAGATATTTCCTTTTCTACTGTTGGCATCAAATCGCTTGAAATCTCCACTTGCAAACTCCACAAAAAGAGTGTTTCAAATCTGCTCTGTGTAAAGGGACGTTCCACTCTGTGAGTTGAATACACACAGCACAAAGAAGTTACTGAGAATTCTTCTATCTAGCATGAAATGAAGAAATCCCGTTTCCAACGAAGGCCTCAATGCGGTCCATATATCCACTTGCAGACTTTACAAACAGAGTGTTTCCAAACTGCTCTATGAAAAGAAAGGTTAAACTATGTGAGTTGAACGCACACATCACAAAGAATTTTCTGAGAATGATTCTGTCTGGTTTTTATTTGAAGATATTTCCCTTTCTACTGTTGGCATCAAATGGCTAGAAATCTCCACTTGCAAATTCCGCAAAAAGAGTGTTTCAAATCTGCTCTGTCTAAACGGACGTTCCACTCTGTGAGTTGAATGCACACAACACAAAGAATTTACTGAGAATTCTTCCGTCTAGCATTCAATGAAGAAATCCCGTTTCCAACGAAGGCCTCAAACAGGTCCATATATCCACTTGCAGAGTTTACAAACAGTGTGTTTCCAAACTCCTCTATGAAAAGAAAGGTTAATCTCTGTGAGTGGAACGCACACATCACAAAGCACTTTCTGAGAATGATTCTGTCTGGTTGTTATACGAAGATATTTCCTTTTCTGTAATTGTCCTCAAATCGCTTGAAATCTCCACCTGAAAATGCCACAGCAAGAGTGTTTCAAATCTGCTCTCTCTAAAGCAAGGTTCAACTCTGTGAGTTGAATACACACAACACAAAAAAGTTACTGAGAACTCTTCTTAGTCTAGCATGAAAGGAAGAAACCCCGTTTGCAACGAAGGCCTCAAAGAGGTCCAAATATCCACTTGCAGACATAACAAGCAGAGTGTTTCTAAACTGCTCTAAGAAAAGAAAGGTTAAACTCTGTGAGTTGAAGGCACACATCACAAAGTAGTTTCTGAGAATGATTCTGTCTAGTTTTTATTTGAAGATATTTCCTTTTCTACTGTTGGCATCAAATCGCTTGAAATCTCCACTTGCAAATTCCACAAAAAGAGTGTTTCAAATCTGCTCTGTGCAAAGGGACGTTCCACTCTGTGAGTTGAATACACACAGCACACAGAAGTTACTGAGAATTCTTCTGTCTAGCATGAAATGAAGAAATCCCGTTTCCAACGAAGGCCTCAATGCGGTCCATATATCCACTTGCAGACTTTACAAACAGAGTGTTTCCAAACTGCTCTATGAAAAGAAAGGTTAAATTATGTGAGTTGAACGCACACATCACAAAGAATTTTCTGAGAATGATTCTGTCTGGTTTTTATTTGAAGATATTTCCCTTTCTACTGTTGGCATCAAATGGCTAGAAATCTCCACTTGCAAATTCCGCAAAAAGAGTGTTTCAAATCTGCTCTGTCTAAAGGGACGTTCCACTCTGTGAGTTGAATGCACACAACACAAAGAATTTACTGAGAATTCTTCCGTCTAGCATTCAATGAAGAAATCCCGTTTCCAACGAAGGCCTCAAACAGGTCCATATATCCACTTGCAGACTTTACAAACAGTGTGTTTCCAAACTCCTCTATGAAAAGAAAGGTTAAACTCTGTGAGTGGAACGCACACATCACAAAGCACTTTCTGAGAATGATTCTGTCTGGTTATTATACGAAGATATTTCCTTTTCTGCAATTGTCCTCAAATCGCTTGAAATCTCCACCTGAAAATGCCACAGCAAGAGTGTTTCAAATCTGCTCTCTCTAAAGCAAGGTTCAACTCTGTGAGTTGAATACACACAACACAAAAAAGTTACTGAGAACTCTTCTTAGTCTAGCATGAAAGGAAGAAACCCCGTTTGCAACGAAGGCCTCAAAGAGGTCCAAATATCCACTTGCAGACATAACAAGCAGAGTGTTTCTAAACTGCTCTAAGAAAAGAAAGGTTAAACTCTGTGAGTTGAAGGCACACATCACAAAGTAGTTTCTGAGAATGATTCTGTCTAGTTTTTATTTGAAGATATTTCCTTTTCTACTGTTGGCATCAAATCGCTTGAAATCTCCACTTGCAAATTCCACAAAAAGAGTGTTTCAAATCTGCTCTGTGCAAAGGGACGTTCCACTCTGTGAGTTGAATACACACAGCACAAAGAAGTTACTGAGAATTCTTCTGTCTAGCATGAAATGAAGAAATCCCGTTTCCAACGAAGGCCTCAATGCGGTCCATATATCCACTTGCAGACTTTACAAACAGAGTGTTTCCAAACTGCTCTATGAAAAGAAAGGTTAAACTATGTGAGTTGAACGCACACATCACAAAGAATTTTCTGAGAATGATTCTGTCTGGTTTTTATTTGAAGATATTTCCCTTTCTACTGTTGGCATCAAATGGCTAGAAATCTCCACTTGCAAATTCCGCAAAAAGAGTGTTTCAAATCTGCTCTGTCTAAAGGGACGTTCCACTCTGTGAGTTGAATGCACACAACACAAAGAATTTACTGAGAATTCTTCCGTCTAGCATTCAATGAAGAAATCCCGTTTCCAACGAAGGCCTCAAACAGGTCCATATATCCACTTGCAGACTTTACAAACAGTGTGTTTCCAAACTCCTCTATGAAAAGAAAGGTTAAACTCTGTGAGTGGAACGCACACATCACAAAGCACTTTCTGAGAATGATTCTGTCTGGTTATTATACGAAGATATTTCCTTTTCTGCAATTGTCCTCAAATCGCTTGAAATCTCCACCTGAAAATGCCACAGCAAGAGTGTTTCAAATCTGCTCTCTCTAAAGCAAGGTTCAACTCTGTGAGTTGAATACACACAACACAAAAAAGTTACTGAGAACTCTTCTTAGTCTAGCATGAAAGGAAGAAACCCCGTTTGCAACGAAGGCCTCAAAGAGGTCCAAATATCCACTTGCAGACATAACAAGCAGAGTGTTTCTAAACTGCTCTAAGAAAAGAAAGGTTAAACTCTGTGAGTTGAAGGCACACATCACAAAGTAGTTTCTGAGAATGATTCTGTCTAGTTTTTATTTGAAGATATTTCCTTTTCTACTGTTGGCATCAAATCGCTTGAAATCTCCACTTGCAAACTCCACAAAAAGAGTGTTTCAAATCTGCTCTGTGCAAAGGGACGTTCCACTCTGTGAGTTGAATACACACAGCACAAAGAAGTTACTGAGAATTCTTCTGTCTAGCATGAAATGAAGAAATCCCGTTTCCAACGAAGGCCTCAATGCGGTCCATATATCCACTTGCAGACTTTACAGAGTGTTTCCAAACTGCTCTATGAAAAGAAAGGTTAAACTATGTGAGTTGAACGCACACATCACAAAGAATTTTCTGAGAATGATTCTGTCTGGTTTTTATTTGAAGATATTTCCCTTTCTACTGTTGGCATCAAATGGCTAGAAATCTCCACTTGCAAATTCCGCAAAAAGAGTGTTTCAAATCTGCTCTGTCTAAAGGGACGTTCCACTCTGTGAGTTGAATGCACACCACACAAAGAATTTACTGAGAATTCTTCCGTCTAGCATTCAATGAAGAAATCCCGTTTCCAACGAAGGCCTCAAACAGGTCCATATATCCAATTGCAGACTTTACAAACAGTGTGTTTCCAAACTCCTCTATGAAAAGAAAGGTTAAACTCTGTGAGTTGAACGCACACATCACAAAGCACTTTCTGAGAAGATTCTGTCTGGTTGTTATACGAAGATATTTCCTTTTCTGCAATTGTCCTCAAATCGCTTGAAATCTCCACCTGAAAATGCCACAGCAAGAGTGTTTCAAATCTGCTCTCTCTAAAGCAAGGTTCAACTCTGTGAGTTGAATACACACAACACAAAAAAGTTACTGAGAACTCTTCTTAGTCTAGCATGAAAGGAAGAAACCCCGTTTGCAACGAAGGCCTCAAAGAGGTCCAAATATCCACTTGCAGACATAACAAGCAGAGTGTTTCTAAACTGCTCTAAGAAAAGAAAGGTTAAACTCTGTGAGTTGAAGGCACACATCACAAAGTAGTTTCTGAGAATGATTCTGTCTAGTTTTTATTTGAAGATATTTCCTTTTCTACTGTTGGCATCAAATCGCTTGAAATCTCCACTTGCAAATTCCACAAAAAGAGTGTTTCAAATCTGCTCTGTGCAAAGGGACGTTCCACTCTGTGAGTTGAATACACACAGCACAAAGAAGTTACTGAGAATTCTTCTGTCTAGCATGAAATGAAGAAATCCCGTTTCCAACGAAGGCCTCAATGCGGTCCATATATCCACTTGCAGACTTTACAAACAGAGTGTTTCCAAACTGCTCTATGAAAAGAAAGGTTAAACTATGTGAGTTGAACGCACACATCACAAAGAATTTTCTGAGAATGATTCTGTCTGGTTTTTATTTGAAGATATTTCCCTTTCTACTGTTGGCATCAAATGGCTAGAAATCTCCACTTGCAAATTCCGCAAAAAGAGTGTTTCAAATCTGCTCTGTCTAAAGGGACGTTCCACTCTGTGAGTTGAATGCACACAACACAAAGAATTTACTGAGAATTCTTCCGTCTAGCATTCAATGAAGAAATCCCGTTTCAAACGAAGGCCTCAAACAGGTCCATATATCCACTTGCAGACTTTACAAACAGTGTGTTTCCAAACTCCTCTATGAAAAGAAAGGTTAAACTCTGTGAGTGGAACGCACACATCACAAAGCACTTTCTGAGAATGATTCTGTCTGGTTATTATACGAAGATATTTCCTTTTCTGCAATTGTCCTCAAATCGCTTGAAATCTCCACCTGAAAATGCCACAGCAAGAGTGTTTCAAATCTGCTCTCTCTAAAGCAAGGTTCAACTCTGTGAGTTGAATACACACAACACAAAAAAGTTACTGAGAACTCTTCTTAGTCTAGCATGAAAGGAAGAAACCCCGTTTGCAACGAAGGCCTCAAAGAGGTCCAAATATCCACTTGCAGACATAACAAGCAGAGTGTTTCTAAACTGCTCTAAGAAAAGAAAGGTTAAACTCTGTGAGTTGAAGGCACACATCACAAAGTAGTTTCTGAGAATGATTCTGTCTAGTTTTTATTTGAAGATATTTCCTTTTCTACTGTTGGCATCAAATCGCTTGAAATCTCCACTTGCAAATTCCACAAAAAGAGTGTTTCAAATCTGCTCTGTGCAAAGGGACGTTCCACTCTGTGAGTTGAATACACACAGCACAAAGAAGTTACTGAGAATTCTTCTGTCTAGCATGAAATGAAGAAATCCCGTTTCCAACGAAGGCCTCAATGCGGTCCATATATCCACTTGCAGACTTTACAAACAGAGTGTTTCCAAACTGCTCTATGAAAAGAAAGGTTAAACTATGTGAGTTGAACGCACACATCACAAAGAATTTTCTGAGAATGATTCTGTCTGGTTTTTATTTGAAGATATTTCCCTTTCTACTGTTGGCATCAAATGGCTAGAAATCTCCACTTGCAAATTCCGCAAAAAGAGTGTTTCAAATCTGCTCTGTCTAAAGGGACGTTCCACTCTGTCAGTTGAATGCACACAACACAAAGAATTTACTGAGAATTCTTCCGTCTAGCATTCAATGAAGAAATCCCGTTTCCAACGAAGGCCTCAAACAGGTCCATATATCCAATTGCAGAGTTTACAAACAGTGTGTTTCCACACTCCTCTATGAAAAGAAAGGTTAAAATCTGTGAGTTGAACGCACACATCACAAAGCACTTTCTGAGAATGATTCTGTCTGGTTATTATACGAAGATATTTCCTTTTCTGCAATTGTCCTCAAATCGCTTGAAATCTCCACCTGAAAATGCCACAGCAAGAGTGTTTCAAATCTGCTCTCTCTAAAGCAAGGTTCAACTCTGTGAGTTGAATACACACAACACAAAAAGTTACTGAGAACTCTTCTTAGTCTAGCATGAAAGGAAGAAACCCCGTTTGCAACGAAGGCCTCAAAGAGGTCCAAATATCCACTTGCAGACATAACAAGCAGAGTGTTTCTAAAGTGCTCTAAGAAAAGAAAGGTTAAACTCTGTGAGTTGAAGGCACACATCACAAAGTAGTTTCTGAGAATGATTCTGTCTAGTTTTTATTTGAAGATATTTCCTTTTCTACTGTTGGCATCAAATCGCTTGAAATCTCCACTTGCAAACTCCACAAAAAGAGTGTTTCAAATCTGCTCTGTGTAAAGGGACGTTCCACTCTGTGAGTTGAATACACACAGCACAAAGAAGTTACTGAGAATTCTTCTGTCTAGCATGAAATGAAGAAATCCCGTTTCCAACGAAGGCCTCAATGCGGTCCATATATCCACTTGCAGACTTTACAAACAGAGTGTTTCCAAACTGCTCTATGAAAAGAAAGGTTAAACTATGTGAGTTGAACGCACACATCACAAACAATTTTCTGAGAATGATTCTGTCTGGTTTTTATTTGAAGATATTTCCCTTTCTACTGTTGGCATCAAATGGCTAGAAATCTCCACTTGCAAATTCCGCAAAAAGAGTGTTTCAAATCTGCTCTGTCTAAAGGGACGTTCCACTCTGTCAGTTGAATGCACACAACACAAAGAATTTACTGAGAATTCTTCCGTCTAGCATTCAATGAAGAAATCCCGTTTCCAACGAAGGCCTCAAACAGGTCCATATATCCACTTGCAGACTTTACAAACAGTGTGTTTCCAAACTCCTCTATGAAAAGAAAGGTTAAACTCTGTGAGTGGAACGCACACATCACAAAGCACTTTCTGAGAATGATTCTGTCTGGTTATTATACGAAGATATTTCCTTTTCTGCAATTGTCCTCAAATCGCTTGAAATCTCCACCTGAAAATGCCACAGCAAGAGTGTTTCAAATCTGCTCTCTCTAAAGCAAGGTTCAACTCTGTGAGTTGAATACACACAACACAAAAAAGTTACTGAGAACTCTTCTTAGTCTAGCATGAAAGGAAGAAACCCCGTTTGCAACGAAGGCCTCAAAGAGGTCCAAATATCCACTTGCAGACATAACAAGCAGAGTGTTTCTAAACTGCTCTAAGAAAAGAAAGGTTAAACTCTGTGAGTTGAAGGCACACATCACAAAGTAGTTTCTGAGAATGATTCTGTCTAGTTTTTATTTGAAGATATTTCCTTTTCTACTGTTGGCATCAAATCGCTTGAAATCTCCACTTGCAAACTCCACAAAAAGAGTGTTTCAAATCTGCTCTGTGTAAAGGGACGTTCCACTCTGTGAGTTGAATACACACAGCACAAAGAAGTTACTGAGAATTCTTCTGTCTAGCATGAAATGAAGAAATCCCGTTTCCAACGAAGGCCTCAATGCGGTCCATATATCCACTTGCAGACTTTACAAACAGAGTGTTTCCAAACTGCTCTATGAAAAGAAAGGTTAAACTATGTGAGTTGAACGCACACATCACAAAGAATTTTCTGAGAATGATTCTGTCTGGTTTTTATTTGAAGATATTTCCCTTTCTACTGTTGGCATCAAATGGCTAGAAATCTCCACATGCAAATTCCGCAAAAAGAGTGTTTCAAATCTGCTCTGTCTAAAGGGACGTTCCACTCTGTGAGTTGAATGCACACAACACAAAGAATTTACTGAGAATTCTTCCGTCTAGCATTCAATGAAGAAATCCCGTTTCCAACGAAGGCCTCAAACAGGTCCATATATCCACTTGCAGACTTTACAAACAGTGTGTTTCCAAACTCCTCTATGAAAAGAAAGGTTAAACTCTGTGAGTGGAACGCACACATCACAAAGCACTTTCTGAGAATGATTCTGTCTGGTTATTATACGAAGATATTTCCTTTTCTGCAATTGTCCTCAAATCGCTTGAAATCTCCACCTGAAAATGCCACAGCAAGAGTGTTTCAAATCTGCTCTCTCTAAAGCAAGGTTCAACTCTGTGAGTTGAATACACACAACACAAAAAAGTTACTGAGAACTCTTCTTAGTCTAGCATGAAAGGAAGAAACCCCGTTTGCAACGAAGGCCTCAAAGAGGTCCAAATATCCACTTGCAGACATAACAAGCAGAGTGTTTCTAAACTGCTCTAAGAAAAGAAAGGTTAAACTCTGTGAGTTGAAGGCACACATCACAAAGTAGTTTCTGAGAATGATTCTGTCTAGTTTTTATTTGAAGATATTTCCTTTTCTACTGTTCGCATCAAATCGCTTGAAATCTCCACTTGCAAACTCCACAAAAAGAGTGTTTCAAATGTGCTCTGTGTAAAGGGACGTTCCACTCTGTGAGTTGAATACACACAGCACAAAGAAGTTACTGAGAATTCTTCTGTCTAGCATGAAATGAAGAAATCCCGTTTCCAACGAAGGCCTCAATGCGGTCCATATATCCACTTGCAGACTTTACAAACAGAGTGTTTCCAAACTGCTCTATGAAAAGAAAGGTTAAACTATGTGAGTTGAACGCGCACATCACAAAGAATTTTCTGAGAATGATTCTGTCTGGTTTTTATTTGAAGATATTTCCCTTTCTACTGTTGGCATCAAATGGCTAGAAATCTCCACTTGCAAATTCCGCAAAAAGAGTGTTTCAAATCTGCTCTGTTTTAAGGGACGTTCCACTCTGTCAGTTGAATGCACACAACACAAAGAATTTACTGAGAATTCTTCCGTCTAGCATTCAATGAAGAAATCCCGTTTCCAACGAAGGCCTCAAACAGGTCCATATATCCAATTGCAGACTTTACAAACAGTGTGTTTCCAAACTCCTCTATGAAAAGAAAGGTTAAACTCTGTGAGTTGAACGCACACATCACAAAGCACTTTCTGAGAATGATTCTGTCTGGTTATTATACGAAGATATTTCCTTTTCTGCAATTGTCCTCAAATCGCTTGAAATCTCCACATGAAAATTCCACAGCGAGAGTGTTTCAAATCTGCTCTCTCTAAAGCAAGGTTCAACTCTGTGAGTTGAATACACACAACACAAAAAAGTTACTGAGAACTGTTCTTAGTCTAGCATTAAAGGAAGAAACCCCGTTTGCAACGAAGGCCTAAAAGAGGTCCAAATATCCACTTGCAGACATAACAAGCAGAGTGTTTCTAAACTGCTCTAAGAAAAGAAAGGTTAAACTCTGTGAGTTGAAGGCACACATCACAAAGTAGTTTCTGAGAATGATTCTGTCTAGTTTTTATTTGAAGATATTTCCTTTTCTACTGTTGGCATCAAATCGCTTGAAATCTCCACTTGCAAACTCCACAAAAAGAGTGTTTCAAATCTGCTCTGTGCAAAGGGACGTTCCACTCTGTGAGTTGAATACACACAGCACAAAGAAGTTACTGAGAATTCTTCTGTCTAGCATGAAATGAAGAAATCCCGTTTCCAACGAAGGCCTCAATGCGGTCCATATATCCACTTGCAGACTTTACAAACAGAGTGTTTCCAAACTGCTCTATGAAAAGAAAGGTTAAACTATGTGAGTTGAACGCACACATCACAAAGAATTTTCTGAGAATGATTCTGTCTGGTTTTTATTTGAAGATATTTCCCTTTCTACTGTTGGCATCAAATGGCTAGAAATCTCCACTTGCAAATTCCGCAAAAATAGTGTTTCAAATCTGCTCTGTCTAAAGGGACGTTCCACTCTGTGAGTTGAATGCACACCACACAAAGAATTTACTGAGAATTCTTCCGTCTAGCATTCAATGAAGAAATCCCGTTTCCAACGAAGGCCTCAAACAGGTCCATATATCCAATTGCAGACTTTACAAACAGTGTGTTTCCAAACTCCTCTATGAAAAGAAAGGTTAAACTCTGTGAGTTGAACGCACACATCACAAAGCACTTTCTGAGAATGATTCTTGTCTGGTTATTATACGAAGATATTTCCTTTTCTGCAATTGTCCTCAAATCGCTTGAAATCTCCACCTGAAAATGCCACAGCAAGAGTGTTTCAAATCTGCTCTCTCTAAAGCAAGGTTCAACTCTGTGAGTTGAATACACACAACACAAAAAAGTTACTGAGAACTCTTCTTAGTCTAGCATGAAAGGAAGAAACCCCGTTTGCAACGAAGGCCTCAAAGAGGTCCAAATTTCCACTTGCAGACATAACAAGCAGAGTGTTTCTAAACTGCTCTAAGAAAAGAAAGGTTAAACTCTGTGAGTTGAAGGCACACATCACAAAGTAGTTTGCTGAGAATGATTCTGTCTAGTTTTTATTTGAAGATATTTCCTTTTCTACTGTTGGCATCAAATCGCTTGAAATCTCCACTTGCAAACTCCACAAAAAGAGTGTTTCAAATCTGCTCTGTGCAAAGGGACGTTCCACTCTGTGAGTTGAATACACACAGCACAAAGAAGTTACTGAGAATTCTTCTGTCTAGCAAGAAATGAAGAAATCCCGTTTCCAACGAAGGCCTCAATGCGGTCCATATATCCACTTGCAGACTTTACAAACAGAGTGTTTCCAAACTGCTCTATGAAAAGAAAGGTTAAACTATGTGAGTTGAACGCACACATCACAAAAAATTTTCTGAGAATGATTCTGTCTGGTTTTTATTTGAAGATATTTCCCTTTCTACTGTTGGCATCAAATGGCTAGAAATCTCCACTTGCAAATTCCGCAAAAAGAGTGTTTCAAATCTGCTCTGTCTAAAGGGACGTTCCACTCTGTCAGTTGAATGCACACAACACAAAGAATTTACTGAGAATTCTTCCGTCTAGCATTCAATGAAGAAATCCCGTTTCCAACGAAGGCCTCAAAGAGGTCCATATATCCACTTGCAGACTTTACAAACAGTGTGTTTCCAAACTCCTCTATGAAAAGAAAGGTTAAACTCTGTGAGTGGAACGCACACATCACAAAGCACTTTCTGAGAATGATTCTGTCTGGTTATTATACGAAGATATTTCCTTTTCTGCAATTGTCCTCAAATCGCTTGAAATCTCCACCTGAAAATGCCACAGCAAGAGTGTTTCAAATCTGCTCTCTCTAAAGCAAGGTTCAACTCTGTGAGTTGAATACACACAACACAAAAAAGTTACTGAGAACTCTTCTTAGTCTAGCATGAAAGGAAGAAACCCCGTTTGCAACGAAGGCCTCAAAGAGGTCCAAATATCCACTTGCAGACATAACAAGCAGAGTGTTTCTAAACTGCTCTAAGAAAAGAAAGGTTAAACTCTGTGAGTTGAAGGCACACATCACAAAGCAGTTTCTGAGAATGATTCTGTCTAGTTTTTATTTGAAGATATTTCCTTTTCTACTGTTTTCATCAAATCGCTTGAATTCTCCACTTGCAAACTCCACAAAAAGAGTGTTTCAAATCTGCTCTGTGTAAAGGGACGTTCCACTCTGTGAGTTGAATACACACAGCACAAAGAAGTTACTGAGAATTCTTCTGTCTAGCATGAAATGAAGAAATCCCGTTTCCAACGAAGGCCTCAAAGCGGTCCATATATCCACTTGCAGACATTACCAACAGAGTGTTCCCAAACTGCTCTATGAAAAGAAAGGTTAAACTATGTGAGTTGAACGCACACATCACAAAGAATTTTCTGAGAATGATTCTGTCTGGTTTTTATTTGAAGATATTTCCCTTTCTACTGTTGGCATCAAATGGCTAGAAATCTCCACTTGCAAATTCCGCAAAAAGAGTGTTTCAAATCTGCTCTGTCTAAAGGGACGTTCCACTCTGTGAGTTGAATGCACACAACACAAAGAATTTACTGAGAATTCTTCCGTCTAGCATTCAATGAAGAAATCCCGTTTCCAACGAAGGCCTCAAACAGGTCCATATATCCAATTGCAGACTTTACAAACAGTGTGTTTCCAAACTCCTCTATGAAAAGAAAGGTTAAACTCTGTGAGTTGAACGCACACATCACAAAGCACTTTCTGAGAATGATTGTGTCTGGTTATTATACGAAGATATTTCCTTTTCTGCAATTGTCCTCAAATCGCTTGAAATCTCCACCTGAAAATGCCACAGCAAGAGTGTTTCAAATCTGCTCTCTCTAAAGCAAGGTTCAACTCTGTGAGTTGAATACACACAACACAAAAAAGTTACTGAGAACTCTTCTTAGTCTACCATTAAAGGAAGAAACCCCGTTTGCAACGAAGTCCTCAAAGAGGTCCAAATATCCACTTGCAGACATAACAAGCAGAGTGTTTCTAAACTGCTCTAAGAAAAGAAAGGTTAAACTCTGTGAGTTGAAGGCACACATCACAAATTACTTTCTGAGAATGATTCTGTCTAGTTTTTATTTGAAGATATTTCCTTTTCTTCTGTTGGCATCAAATCGCTTGAAATCTCCACTTGCAAATTCCACAAAAAGAGTGTTTCAAATCTGCTCTGTGCAAAGGGACGTTCCACTCTGTGAGTTGAATACACACAGCACAAAGAAGTTACTGAGAATTCTTCTGTCTAGCATGAAATGAAGAAATCCCGTTTCCAACGAAGGCCTCAATGCGGTCCATATATCCACTTGCAGACTTTACAAACAGAGTGTTTCCAAACTGCTCTATGAAAAGAAAGGTTAAACTATGTGAGTTGAACGCACACATCACAAAGAATTTTCTGAGAATGATTCTGTCTGGTTTTTATTTGAAGATATTTCCCTTTCTACTGTTGGCATCAAATGGCTAGAAATCTCCACTTGCAAATTCCGCAAAAGAGTGTTTCAAATGTGCTCTGTCTAAAGGGACGTTCCACTCTGTGAGTTGAATGCACACAACACAAAGAATTTACTGAGAATTCTTCCGTCTAGCATTCAATGAAGAAATCCCGTTTCCAACGAAGGCCTCAAACAGGTCCATATATCCACTTGCAGACTTTACAAACAGTGTGTTTCCAAACTCCTCTATGAAAAGAAAGGTTAAACTCTGTGAGTGGAACACACACATCACAAAGCACTTTCTGAGAATGATTCTGTCTGGTTATTATACGAAGATATTTCCTTTTCTGCAATTGTCCTCAAATCGCTTGAAATCTCCACCTGAAAATGCCACAGCAAGAGTGTTTCAAATCTGCTCTCTCTAAAGCAAGGTTCAACTCTGTGAGTTGAATACACACAACACAAAAAAGTTACTGAGAACTCTTCTTAGTCTAGCATGAAAGGAAGAAACCCCGTTTGCAACGAAGGCCTCAAAGAGGTCCAAATATCCACTTGCAGACATAACAAGCAGAGTGTTTCTAAACTGCTCTAAGAAAAGAAAGGTTAAACTCTGTGAGTTGAAGGCACACATCACAAAGTAGTTTCTGAGAATGATTCTGTCTAGTTTTCATTTGAAGATATTTCCTTTTCTACTGTTGGCATCAAATCGCTTGAAATCTCCACTTGCAAACTCCACAAAAAGAGTGTTTCAAATCTGCTCTGTGTAAAGGGACGTTCCACTCTGTGAGTTGAATACACACAGCACAAAGAAGTTACTGAGAATTCTTCTGTCTAGCATGAAATGAAGAAATCCCGTTTCCAACGAAGGCCTCAATGCGGTCCATATATCCACTTGCAGACTTTACAAACAGAGTGTTTCCAAACTGCTCTATGAAAAGAAAGGTTAAACTATGTGAGTTGAACGCACACATCACAAAGAATTTTCTGAGAATGATTCTGTCTGGTTTTTATTTGAAGATATTTCCCTTTCTACTGTTGGCATCAAATGGCTAGAAATCTCCACTTGCAAATTCCGCAAAAAGAGTGTTTCAAATCTGCTCTGTCTAAAGGGACGTTCCACTCTGTGAGTTGAATGCACACAACACAAAGAATTTACTGAGAATTCTTCCGTCTAGCATTCAATGAAGAAATCCCGTTTCCAACGAAGGCCTCAAACAGGTCCATATATCCAATTGCAGACTTTACAAACAGTGTGTTTCCAAACTCCTCTATGAAAAGAAAGGTTAAACTCTGTGAGTTGAACGCACACATCACAAAGCACTTTCTGAGAATGATTCTGTCTGGTTATTATACGAAGATATTTCCTTTTCTGCAATTGTCCTCAAATCGCTTGAAATCTCCACCTGAAAATGCCACAGCAAGAGTGTTTCAAATCTGCTCTCTCTAAAGCAAGGTTCAACTCTGTGAGTTGAATACACACAACACAAAAAAGTTACTGAGAACTCTTCTTAGTCTAGCATGAAAGGAAGAAACCCCGTTTGCAACGAAGGCCTCAAAGAGGTCCAAATATCCACTTGCAGACATAACAAGCAGAGTGTTTCTAAACTGCTCTAAGAAAAGAAAGGTTAAACTCTGTGAGTTGAAGGCACACATCACAAAGTAGTTTCTGAGAATGATTCTGTCTAGTTTTTATTTGAAGATATTTCCTTTTCTACTGTTGGCATCAAATCGCTTGAAATCTCCACTTGCAAACTCCACAAAAAGAGTGTTTCAAATCTGCTCTGTGCAAAGGGACGTTCCACTCTGTGAGTTGAATACACACAGCACAAAGATGTTACTGAGAATTCTTCTGTCTAGCATGAAATGAAGAAATCCCGTTTCCAACGAAGGCCTCAATGCGGTCCATATATCCACTTGCAGACTTTACAAACAGAGTGTTTCCAAACTGCTCTATGAAAAGAAAGGTTAAACTATGTGAGTTGAACGCACACATCACAAAGAATTTTCTGAGAATGATTCTGTCTGGTTTTTATTTGAAGATATTTCCCTTTCTACTGTTGGCATCAAATGGCTAGAAATCTCCACTTGCAAATTCCGCAAAAAGAGTGTTTCAAATCTGCTCTGTCTAAAGGGACGTTCCACTCTGTGAGTTGAATGCACACAACACAAAGAATTTACTGAGAATTCTTCTGTCTAGCAGTCAATGAAGAAATCCCGTTTCCAACGAAGGCCTCAAACAGGTCCATATATCCAATTGCAGACTTTACAAACAGTGTGTTTCCAAACTCCTCTATGAAAAGAAAGGTTAAACTCTGTGAGTTGAACCCACACATCACAAAGCACTTTCTGAGAATGATTCTGTCTGGTTGTTATACGAAGATATTTCCTTTTCTGCAATTGTCCTCAAATCGCTTGAAATCTCCACCTGAAAATGCCACAGCAAGAGTGTTTCAAATCTGCTCTCTCTAAAGCATGGTTCAACTCTGTGAGTTGAATACACACAACACAAAAAAGTTACTGAGAACTCTTCTTAGTCTAGCATGAAAGGAAGAAACCCCGTTTGCAACGAAGGCCTCAAAGAGGTCCAAATATCCACTTGCAGACATAACAAGCAGAGTGTTTCTAAACTGCTCTAAGAAAAGAAAGGTTAAACTATGTGAGTTGAACGCACACATCACAAAGAATTTTCTGAGAATGATTCTGTCTGGTTTTTATTTGAAGATATTTCCCTTTCTACTGTTGGCATCAAATGGCTAGAAATCTCCACTTGCAAATTCCGCAAAAAGAGTGTTTCAAATCTGCTCTGTCTAAAGGGACGTTCCACTCTGTGAGTTGAATGCACACAACACAAAGAATTTACTGAGAATTCTTCCGTCTAGCATGCAATGAAGAAATCCCGTTTCCAACGAAGGCCTCAAACAGGTCCATATATCCAATTGCAGACTTTACAAACAGTGTGTTTCCAAACTCCTCTATGAAAAGAAAGGTTAAACTCTGTGAGTTGAACGCACACATCACAAAGCACTTTCTGAGAATGATTCTGTCTGGTTATTATACGAAGATATTTCCTTTTCTGCAATTGTCCTCAAAACGCTTGAAATCTCCACCTGAAAATGCCACAGCAAGAGTGTTTCAAATCTGCTCTCTCTAAAGCAAGGTTCAACTCTGTGAGTTGAATACACACAACACAAAAAAGTTACTGAGAACTCTTCTTAGTCTAGCATGAAAGGAAGAAACCCCGTTTGCAACGAAGGCCTCAAAGAGGTCCAAATATCCACTTGCAGACATAACAAGCAGAGTGTTTCTAAACTGCTCTAAGAAAAGAAAGGTTAAACTCTGTGAGTTGAAGGCACACATGACAAAGTAGTTTCTGAGAATGATTCTGTCTAGTTTTTATTTGAAGATATTTCCTTTTCTACTGTTGGCATCAAATCGCTTGAAATCTCCACTTGCAAACTCCACAAAAAGAGTGTTTCAAATCTGCTCTGTGTAAAGGGACGTTCCACTCTGTGAGTTGAATACACACAGCACAAAGAAGTTACTGAGAATTCTTCTGTCTAGCATGAAATGAAGAAATCCCGTTTCCAACGAAGGCCTCAATGCGGTCCATATATCCACTTGCAGACTTTACAAACAGAGTGTTTCCAAACTGCTCTATGAAAAGAAAGGTTAAACTATGTGAGTTGAACGCACACATCACAAAGAATTTTCTGAGAATGATTCTGTCTGGTTTTTATTTGAAGATATTTCCCTTTCTACTGTTGGCATCAAATGGCTAGAAATCTCCACTTGCAAATTCCGCAAAAAGAGTGTTTCAAATCTGCTCTGTCTAAAGGGACGTTCCACTCTGTGAGTTGAATGCACACAACACAAAGAATTTACTGAGAATTCTTCCGTCTAGCATTCAATGAAGAAATCCCGTTTCCAACGAAGGCCTCAAACAGGTCCATATATCCACTTGCAGAGTTTACAAACAGTGTGTTTCCAAACTCCTCTATGAAAAGAAAGGTTAAACTCTGTGAGTGGAACGCACACATCACAAAGCACTTTCTGAGAATGATTCTGTCTGGTTATTATACGAAGATATTTCCTTTTCTGCAATTGTCCTCAAATCGTTTGAAATCTCCACCTGAAAATGCCACAGCGAGAGTGTTTCAAATCTGCTCTCTATAAAGCAAGGTTCAACTCTGTGAGTTGAATACACACAACACAAAAAAGTTACTGAGAACTCTTCTTAGTCTAGCATTAAAGGAAGAAACCCCGTTTGCAATGAAGGCCTCAAAGAGGTCCAAATATCCACTTGCAGACATAACAAGCAGAGTGTTTCTAAACTGCTCTAAGAAAAGAAAGGTTAAACTCTGTGAGTTGAAGGCACACATCACAAAGTAGTTTCTGAGAATGATTCTGTCTAGTTTTTATTTGAAGATATTTCCTTTTCTACTGTTGGCATCAAATCGCTTGAAATCTCCACTTGCAAACTCCACAAAAAGAGTGTTTCAAATCTGCTCTGTGCAAAGGGACGTTCCACTCTGTGAGTTGAATACACACAGCACAAAGAAGTTACTGAGAATTCTTCTGTCTAGCATGAAATGAAGAAATCCCGTTTCCAACGAAGGCCTCAATGCGGTCCATATATCCACTTGCAGACTTTACAAACAGAGTGTTTCCAAACTGCTCTATGAAAAGAAAGTTTAAACTATGTGAGTTGAACGCACACATCACAAAGAATTTTCTGAGAATTATTCTGTCTGGTTTTTATTTGAAGATATTTCCCTTTCTACTGTTGGCATCAAATGGCTAGAAATCTCCACTTGCAAATTCCGCAAAAAGAGTGTTTCAAATCTGCTCTGTCTAAAGGGACGTTCCACTCTGTGAGTTGAATGCACACAACACAAAGAATTTACTGAGAATTCTTCCGTCTAGCATTCAATGAAGAAATCCCGTTTCCAACGAAGGCCTGAAACAGGTCCATATATCCACTTGCAGAGTTTACAAACAGTGTGTTTCCAAACTCCTCTATGAAAAGAAAGGTTAAACTCTGTGAGTGGAACGCACACATCACAAAGCACTTTCTGAGAATGATTCTGTCTGGTTGTTATACGAAGATATTTCCTTTTCTGCAATTGTCCTCAAATCGCTTGAAATCTCCACCTGAAAATGCCACAGCAAGAGTGTTTCAAATCTGCTCTCTCTAAAGCAAGGTTCAGCTCTGTGAGTTGAATACACACAACACAAAAAAGTTACTGAGAACTCTTCTTAGTCTAGCATGAAAGGAAGAAACCCCGTTTGCAACGAAGGCCTCAAAGAGGTCCAAATATCCACTTGCAGACATAACAAGCAGAGTGTTTCTAAACTGCTCTAAGAAAAGAAAGGTTAAACTCTGTGAGTTGAAGGCACACATCACAAAGTAGTTTCTGAGAATGATTCTGTCTAGTTTTTATTTGAAGATATTTCCTTTTCTACTGTTGGCATCAAATCGCTTGAAATCTCCACTTGCAAATTCCACAAAAAGAGTGTTTCAAATCTGCTCTGTGCAAAGGGACGTTCCACTCTGTGAGTTGAATACACACAGCACAAAGAAGTTACTGAGAATTCTTCTGTCTAGCATGAAATGAAGAAATCCCGTTTCCAACGAAGGCCTCAATGCGGTCCATATATCCACTTGCAGACTTTACAAACAGAGTGTTTCCAAACTGCTCTATGAAAAGAAAGGTTAAACTATGTGAGTTGAACGCACACATCACAAAGAATTTTCTGAGAATGATTCTGTCTGGTTTTTATTTGAAGATATTTCCCTTTCTACTGTTGGCATCAAATGGCTAGAAATCTCCACTTGCAAATTCCGCAAAAAGAGTGTTTCAAATCTGCTCTGTCTAAAGGGACGTTCCACTCTGTGAGTTGAATGCACACAACACGAAAGAATTTACTGAGAATTCTTCCGTCTAGCATTCAATGAAGAAATCCCGTTTCCAACGAAGGCCTCAAACAGGTCCATATATCCAATTGCAGACTTTACAAACAGTGTGTTTCCAAACTCCTCTATGAAAAGAAAGATTAAACTCTGTGAGTTGAACGCACACATCACAAAGCACTTTCTGAGAATGATTCTGTCTGGTTGTTATACGAAGATATTTCCTTTTCTGCAATTGTCCTCAAATCGCTTGAAATCTCCACCTGAAAATGCCACAGCAAGAGTGTTTCAAATCTGCTCTCTCTAAAGCAAGGTTCAACTCTGTGAGTTGAATACACACAACACAAAAAAGTTACTGAGAACTCTTCTTAGTCTAGCATGAAAGGAAGAAACTCCGTTTGCAACGAAGGCCTCAAAGAGGTCCAAATATCCACTTGCAGACATAACAAGCAGAGTGTTTCTAAACTGCTCTATGAAAAGAAAGGTTAAACTCTGTGAGTTGAAGGCACACATCACAAAGTAGTTTCTGAGAATGATTCTGTCTAGTTTTTATTTGAAGATATTTCCTTTTCTACTGTTGGCATCAAATCGCTTGAAATCTCCACTTGCAAACTCCACAAAAAGAGTGTTTCAAATCTGCTCTGTGTAAAGGGACGTTCCACTCTGTGAGTTGAATACACACAGCACAAAGAAGTTACTGAGAATTCTTCTGTCTAGCATGAAATGAAGAAATCCCGTTTCCAACGAAGGCCTCAATGCGGTCCATATATCCACTTGCAGACTTTACAAACAGAGTGTTTCCAAACTGCTCTATGAAAAGAAAGGTTAAACTATGTGAGTTGAACGCACACATCACAAAGAATTTTCTGAGAATGATTCTGCCTGGTTTTTATTTGAAGATATTTCCCTTTCTACTGTTGGCATCAAATGGCTAGAAATCTCCACTTGCAAATTCCGCAAAAAGAGTGTTTCAAATCTGCTCTGTCTAAAGGGACGTTCCACTCTGTGAGTTGAATGCACACAACACAAAGAATTTACTGAGAATTCTTCCGTCTAGCATTCAATGAAGAAATCCCGTTTCCAACGAAGGCCTCAAACAGGTCCATATATCCACTTGCAGAGTTTACAAACAGTGTGTTTCCAAACTCCTCTATGAAAAGAAAGGTTAAACTCTGTGAGTGGAACGCACACATCACAAAGCACTTTCTGAGAATGATTCTGTCTGGTTATTATACGAAGATATTCCCTTTTCTGCAATTTTCCTCAAATCGCTTGAAATCTCCACCTGAAAATGCCACAGCAAGAGTGTTTCAAATCTGCTCTCTCTAAAGCAAGGTTCAACTCTGTGATTTGAATACACACAGCACAAAGAAGTTACTGAGAATTCTTCTTAGTCTAGCATGAAAGGAAGAAACCCCGTTTGCAACGAAGGCCTCAAAGAGGTCCAAATATCCACTTGCAGACATAACAAGCAGAGTGTTTCTAAACTGCTCTAAGAAAAGAAAGGTTGAACTCAGTGAGTTGAAGGCACACATCACAAAGTAGTTTCTGAGAATGATTCTGTCTAGTTTTTATTTGAAGATATTTCCTTTTCTACTGTTGGCATCAAATCGCTTGAAATCTCCACTTGCAAACTCCACAAAAAGAGTGTTTCAAATCTGCTCTGTGTAAAGGGACGTTCCACTCTGTGAGTTGAATACACACAGCACAAAGAAGTTACTGAGAATTCTTCTGTCTAGCATGAAATGAAGAAATCCCGTTTCCAACGAAGGCCTCAATGCGGTCCATAGATCCACTTGCAGACTTTACAAACAGAGTGTTTCCAAACTGCTCTATGAAAAGAAAGGTTAAACTATGTGAGTTGAACGCACACATCACAAAGAATTTTCTGAGAATGATTCTGTCTGGTTTTTATTTGAAGATATTTCCCTTTCTACTGTTGGCATCAAATGGCTAGAAATCTCCACTTGCAAATTCCGCAAAAAGAGTGTTTCAAATCTGCTCTGTCTAAAGGGACGTTCCACTCTGTCAGTTGAATGCACACAACACAAAGAATTTACTGAGAATTCTTCCGTCTAGCATTCAATGAAGAAATCCCGTTTCCAACGAAGGCCTCAAACAGGTCCATATATCCAATTGCAGACTTTACAAACAGTGTGTTTCCAAACTCCTCTATGAAAAGAAAGGTTAAACTCTGTGAGTTGAACGCACACATCACAAAGCACTTTCTGAGAATGATTCTGTCTGGTTATTATACGAAGATATTTCCTTTTCTGCAATTGTCCTCAAAACGCTTGAAATCTCCACCTGAAAATGCCACAGCAAGAGTGTTTCAAATCTGCTCTCTCTAAAGCAAGGTTCAACTCTGTGAGTTGAATACACACAACACAAAAAAGTTACTGAGAACTCTTCTTAGTCTAGCATGAAAGGAAGAAACCCCGTTTGCAACGAAGGCCTCAAAGAGGTCCAAATATCCTCTTGCAGACATAACAAGCAGAGTGTTTCTAAACTGCTCTAAGAAAAGAAAGGTTAAACTCTGTGAGTTGAAGGCACACATCACAAAGTAGTTTCTGAGAATGATTCTGTCTAGTTTTTATTTGAAGATATTTCCTTTTCTACTGTTGGCATCAAATCGTTTGAAATCTTCACTTGCAAACTCCACAAAAAGAGTGTTTCAAATCTGCTCTGTGTAAAGGGACGTTCCACTCTGTGAGTTGAATACACACAGCACAAAGAAGTTGCTGAGAATTCTTCTGTCTAGCATGAAATGAAGAAATCCCGTTTCCAACGAAGGCCTCAATGCGGTCCATATATCCACTTGCAGACTTTACAAACAGAGTGTTTCCAAACTGCTCTATGAAAAGAAAGGTTAAACTATGTGAGTTGAACGCACACATCACAAAGAATTTTCTGAGAATGATTCTGTCTGGTTTTTATTTGAAGATGTTTCCCTTTCTACTGTTGGCATCAAATGGCTAGAAATCTCCACTTGCAAATTCCGCAAAAAGAGTGTTTCAAATCTGCTCTGTCTAAAGGGACGTTCCACTCTGTGAGTTGAATGCACACAACACAAAGAATTTACTGAGAATTCTTCCATCTAGCATTCAATGAAGAAATCCCGTTTCCAACGAAGGCCTCAAACAGGTCCATATATCCAATTGCAGACTTTACAAACAGTGTGTTTCCAAACTCCTCTATGGAAAGAAAGGTTGAACTCTGTGAGTTGAACGCACACATCACAAAGCACTTTCTGAGAATGATTCTGTCTGGTTATTATACGAAGATATTTCCTTTTCTGCAATTGTCCTCAAATCGCTTGAAATCTCCACCTGAAAATGCCACAGCAAGAGTGTTTCAAATCTGCTCTCTCTAAAGCAAGGTTCAACTCTGTGAGTTGAATACACACAACACAAAAAAGTTACTGAGAACTCTTCTTAGTCTAGCAGTAAAGGAAGAAACGCCGTTTGCAACGAAGGCCTCAAAGAGGTCCAAATATCCACTTGCAGACATAACAAGCAGAGTGTTTCTAAACTGCTCTAAGAAAAGAAAGGTTAAACTCTGTGAGTTGAAGGCACACATCACAAAGTAGTTTCTGAGAATGATTCTGTCTAGTTTTTATTTGAAGATATTTCCTTTTCTACTGTTGGCATCAAATCGCTTGAAATCTCCACTTGCAAACTCCACAAAAAGAGTGTTTTAAATCTGCTCTGTGCAAAGGGACGTTCCACTCTGTGAGTTGAATACACACAGCACAAAGAAGTTACTGAGAATTCTTCTGTCTAGCATGAAATGAAGAAATCCCGTTTCCAACGAAGGCCTCAATGCGGTCCATATATCCACTTGCAGACTTTACAAACAGAGTGTTTCCAAACTGCTCTATGAAAAGAAAGGTTAAACTATGTGAGTTGAACGCACACATCACAAAGAATTTTCTGAGAATGATTCTGTCTGGTTTTTATTTGAAGATATTTCCCTTTCTACTGTTGGCATCAAATGGCTAGAAATCTCCACTTGCAAATTCCGCAAAAAGAGTGTTTCAAATCTGCTCTGTCTAAAGGGACGTTCCACTCTGTGAGTTGAATGCACACAACACAAAGAATTTACTGAGAATTCTTCCGTCTAGCATTCAATGAAGAAATCCCGTTTCCAACGAAGGCCTCAAACAGGTCCATATATCCACTTGCAGACTTTACAAACAGTGTGTTTCCAAACTCCTCTATGAAAAGAAAGGTTAAACTCTGTGAGTGGAACGCACACATCACAAAGCACTTTCTGAGAATGATTCTGTCTGGTTATTATACGAAGATATTTCCTTTTCTGCAATTGTCCTCAAATCGCTTGAAATCTCCACCTGAAAATGCCACAGCAAGAGTGTTTCAAATCTGCTCTCTCTAAAGCAAGGTTCAACTCTGTGAGTTGAATACACACAACACAAAAAAGTTACTGAGAACTCTTCTTAGTCTAGCATGAAAGGAAGAAACCCCGTTTGCAACGAAGGCCTCAAAGAGGTCCAAATATCCACTTGCAGACATAACAAGCAGAGTGTTTCTAAACTGCTCTAAGAAAAGAAAGGTTAAACTCTGTGAGTTGAAGGCACACATCACAAAGTAGTTTCTGAGAATGATTCTGTCTAGTTTTTATTTGAAGATATTTCCTTTTCTACTGTTGGCATCAAATCGCTTGAAATCTCCACTTGCAAACTCCACAAAAAGAGTGTTTCAAATCTGCTCTGTGCAAAGGGACGTTCCACTCTGTGAGTTGAATACACACAGCACAAAGAAGTTACTGAGAATTCTTCTGTCTAGCATGAAATGAAGAAATCCCGTTTCCAACGAAGGCCTCAATGCGGTCCATATATCCACTTGCAGACTTTACAAACAGAGTGTTTCCAAACTGCTCTATGAAAAGAAAGGTTAAACTATGTGAGTTGAACGCACACATCACAAAGAATTTTCTGAGAATGATTCTGTCTGGTTTTTATTTGAAGATATTTCCCTTTCTACTGTTGGCATCAAATGGCTAGAAATCTCCACTTGCAAATTCCGCAAAAAGAGTGTTTCAAATCTGCTCTGTCTAAAGGGACGTTCCACTCTGTGAGTTGAATGCACACAACACAAAGAATTTACTGAGAATTCTTCCGTCTAGCATTCAATGAAGAAATCCCGTTTCCAACGAAGGCCTCAAACAGGTCCATATATCCACTTGCAGACTTTACAAACAGTGTGTTTCCAAACTCCTCTATGAAAAGAAAGGTTAAACTCTGTGAGTTGAACGCACACATCACAAAGCACTTTCTGAGAATGATTCTGTCTGGTTATTATACGAAGATATTTCCTTTTCTGCAATTGTCCTCAAATCGTTTGAAATCTCCACCTGAAAATGCCACAGCAAGAGTGTTTCAAATCTGCTCTCTCTAAAGCAAGGTTCAACTCTGTGAGTTGAATACACACAACACAAAAAAGTTACTGAGAACTCTTCTTAGTCTAGCATGAAAGGAAGAAACCCCGTTTGCAACGAAGGCCTCAAAGAGGTCCAAATATCCACTTGCAGACATAACAAGCAGAGTGTTTCTAAACTGCTCTAAGAAAAGAAAGGTTAAACTCTGTGAGTTGAAGGCACACATCACAAAGTAGTTTCTGAGAATGATTCTGTCTAGTTTTTATTTGAAGATATTTCCTTTTCTACTGTTGGCATCAAATCGCTTGAAATCTCCACTTGCAAATTCCACAAAAAGAGTGTTTCAAATCTGCTCTGTGCAACGGGACGTTCCACTCTGTGAGTTGAATACACACAGCACAAAGAAGTTACTGAGAATTCTTCTGTCTAGCATGAAATGAAGAAATCCCGTTTCCAACGAAGGCCTCAATGCGGTCCATATATCCACTTGCAGACTTTACAAACAGAGTGTTTCCAAACTGCTCTATGAAAAGAAAGGTTAAACTATGTGAGTTGAACGCACACATCACAAAGAATTTTCTGAGAATGATTCTGTCTGGTTTTTATTTGAAGATATTTCCCTTTCTACTGTTGGCATCAAATGGCTAGAAATCTCCACTTGCAAATTCCGCAAAAAGAGTGTTTCAAATCTGCTCTGTCTAAAGGGACGTTCCACTCTGTGAGTTGAATGCACACAACACAAAGAATTTACTGAGAATTCTTCCGTCTAGCATTCAATGAAGAAATCCCGTTTCCAACGAAGGCCTCAAACAGGTCCATATATCCAATTGCAGACTTTACAAACAGTGTGTTTCCAAACTCCTCTATAAAAAGAAAGGTTAAACTCTGTGAGTTGAACGCACACATCACAAAGCACTTTCTGAGAATGATTCTGTCTGGTTATTATACGAAGATATTTCCTTTTCTGCAATTGTCCTCAAATCGCTTGAAATCTCCACCTGAAAATGCCACAGCAAGAGTGTTTCAAATCTGCTCTCTCTAAAGCAAGGTTCAACTCTGTGAGTTGAATACACACAACACAAAAAAGTTACTGAGAACTCTTCTTAGTCTAGCATGAAAGGAAGAAACCCCGTTTGCAACGAAGGCCTCAAAGAGGTCCAAATATCCACTTGCAGACATAACAAGCAGAGTGTTTCTAAACTGCTCTCAGAAAAGAAAGGTTAAACTCTGTGAGTTGAAGGCACACATCACAAAGTAGTTTCTGAGAATGATTCTGTCTAGTTTTTATTTGAAGATATTTCCTTTTCTACTGTTGGCATCAAATCGCTTGAAATCTCCACTTGCAAACTCCACAAAAAGAGTGTTTCAAATCTGCTCTGTGTAAAGGGACGTTCCACTCTGTGAGTTGAATACACACAGCACAAAGAAGTTACTGAGAATTCTTCTGTCTAGCATGAAATGAAGAAATCCCGTTTCCAACGAAGGCCTCAATGCGGTCCATATATCCACTTGCAGACTTTACAAACAGAGTGTTTCCAAACTGCTCTATGAAAAGAAAGGTTAAACTATGTGAGTTGAACGCACACATCACAAAGAATTTTCTGAGAATGATTCTGTCTGGTTTTTATTTGAAGATATTTCCCTTTCTACTGTTGGCATCAAATGGCTAGAAATCTCCACTTGCAAATTCCGCAAAAAGAGTGTTTCAAATCTGCTCTGTCTAAAGGGACGTTCCACTCTGTCAGTTGAATGCACACAACACAAAGTATTTACTGAGAATTCTTCCGTCTAGCATTCAATGAAGAAATCCCGTTTCCAACGAAGGCCTCAAACAGGTCCATATATCCAATTGCAGACTTTACAAACAGTGTGTTTCCAAACTCCTCTATGAAAAGAAAGGTTAAACTCTGTGAGTTGAACGCACACATCACATAGCACTTTCTGAGAATGATTCTGTCTGGTTGTTATACGAAGATATTTCCTTTTCTGCAATTGTCCTCAAATCGCTTGAAATCTCCACCTGAAAATGCCACAGCAAGAGTGTTTCAAATCTGCTCTCTCTAAAGCAAGGTTCAGCTCTGCGAGTTGAATACACACAACACAAAAAAGTTACTGAGAACTCTTCTTAGTCTAGCATGAAAGGAAGAAACCCCGTTTGCAACGAAGGCCTCAAAGAGGTCCAAATATCCACTTGCAGACATAACAAGCAGAGTGTTTCTAAACTGCTCTAAGAAAAGAAAGGTTAAACTCTGTGAGTTGAAGGCACACATCACAAAGTAGTTTCTGAGAATGATTCTGTCTAGTTTTTATTTGAAGATATTTCCTTTTCTACTGTTGGCATCAAATCGCTTGAAATCTCCACTTGCAAATTCCACAAAAAGAGTGTTTCAAATCTGCTCTGTGCAAAGGGACGTTCCACTCTGTGAGTTGAATACACACAGCACAAAGAAGTTACTGAGAATTCTTCTGTCTAGCATGAAATGAAGAAATCCCGTTTCCAACGAAGGCCTCAATGCGGTCCATATATCCACTTGCAGACTTTACAAACAGAGTGTTTCCAAACTGCTCTATGAAAAGAAAGGTTAAACTATGTGAGTTGAACGCACACATCACAAAGAATTTTCTGAGAATGATTCTGTCTGGTTTTTATTTGAAGATATTTCCCTTTCTACTGTTGGCATCAAATGGCTAGAAATCTCCACTTGCAAATTCCGCAAAAAGAGTGTTTCAAATCTGCTCTGTCTAAAGGGACGTTCCACTCTGTGAGTTGAATGCACACAACACAAAGAATTTACTGAGAATTCTTCCGTCTAGCATTCAATGAAGAAATCCCGTTTCCAACGAAGGCCTCAAACAGGTCCATATATCCAATTGCAGACTTTACAAACAGTGTGTTTCCAAACTCCTCTATGAAAAGAAAGGTTAAACTCTGTGAGTTGAACGCACACATCACAAAGCACTTTCTGAGAATGATTCTGTCTAGTTTTTATTTGAAGATATTTCCCTTTGTACTGTTGGCATCAAATGGCTAGAAATCTCCACTTGCAACTTCCGCAAAAAGAGTGTTTCAAATCTGCTCTGTCTAAAGGGACGTTCCACTCTGTGAGTTGAATGCACACAACACAAAAAAGTTACTGAGAACTCTTCTTAGTCTAGCATGAAAGGAAGAAACCCCGTTTGCAACGAAGGCCTCAAAGAGGTCCAAATATCCACTTGCAGACATAACAAGCAGAGTGTTTCTAAACTGCTCTAAGAAAAGAAAGGTTAAACTCTGTGAGTTGAAGGCACACATCACAAAGTAGTTTCTGAGAATGATTCTGTCTAGTTTTTATTTGAAGATATTTCCTTTTCTACTGTTGGCATCAAATCGCTTGAAATCTCCACTTGCAAACTCCACAAAAAGAGTGTTTCAAATCTGCTCTGTGTAAAGGGACGTTCCACTCTGTGAGTTGAATACACACAGCACAAAGAAGTTACTGAGAATTCTTCTGTCTAGCATGAAATGAAGAAATCCCGTTTCCAACGAAGGCCTCAATGCGGTCCATATATCCACTTGCAGACTTTACAAACAGAGTGTTTCCAAACTGCTCTATGAAAAGAAAGGTTAAACTATGTGAGTTGAACGCACACATCACAAAGAATTTTCTGAGAATGATTCTGTCTGGTTTTTATTTGAAGATATTTCCCTTTCTACTGTTGGCATCAAATGGCTAGAAATCTCCACTTGCAAATTCCGCAAAAAGAGTGTTTCAAATCTGCTCTGTCTAAAGGGACGTTCCACTCTGTGAGTTGAATGCACACAACACAAAGAATTTACTGAGAATTCTTCCGTCTAGCATTCAATGAAGAAATCCCGTTTCCAACGAAGGCCTCAAACAGGTCCATATATCCAATTGCAGACTTTACAAACAGTGTGTTTCCAAACTCCTCTATGGAAAGAAAGGTTAAACTCTGTGAGTTGAACGCGCACATCACAAAGCACTTTCTGAGAATGATTCTGTCTGGTTATTATACGAAGATATTTCCTTTTCTGCAATTGTCCTCAAATCGCTTGAAATCTCCACCTGAAAATGCCACAGCAAGAGTGTTTCAAATCTGCTCTCTCTAAAGCAAGGTTCAACTCTGTGAGTTGAATACACACAACACAAAAAAGTTACTGAGAACTCTTCTTAGTCTAGCATGAAAGGAAGAAACCCCGTTTGCAACGAAGGCCTCAAAGAGGTCCAAATATCCACTTGCAGACATAACAAGCAGAGTGTTTCTAAACTGCTCTAAGAAAAGAAAGGTTAAACTCTGTGAGTTGAAGGCACACATCACAAAGTAGTTTCTGAGAATGATTCTGTCTAGTTTTTATTTGAAGATATTTCCTTTTCTACTGTTGGCATCAAATCGCTTGAAATCTCCACTTGCAAACTCCACAAAAAGAGTGTTTCAAATCTGCTCTGTGTAAAGGGACGTTCCACTCTGTGAGTTGAATACACACAGCACAAAGAAGTTACTGAGAATTCTTCTGTCTAGCATGAAATGAAGAAATCCCGTTTCCAACGAAGGCCTCAATGCGGTCCATATATCCACTTGCAGACTTTACAAACAGAGTGTTTCCAAACTGCTCTATGAAAAGAAAGGTTAAACTATGTGAGTTGAACGCACACATCACAAAGAATTTTCTGAGAATGATTCTGTCTGGTTTTTATTTGAAGATATTTCCCTTTCTACTGTTGGCATCAAATGGCTAGAAATCTCCACTTGCAAATTCCGCAAAAAGAGTGTTTCAAATCTGCTCTGTCTAAAGGGACGTTCCACTCTGTGAGTTGAATGCACACAACACAAAGAATTTACTGAGAATTCTTCTGTCTAGCAGTCAATGAAGAAATCCCGTTTCCAACGAAGGCCTCAAACAGGTCCATATATCCAATTGCAGACTTTACAAACAGTGTGTTTCCAAACTCCTCTATGAAAAGAAAGGTTAAACTCTGTGAGTTGAACCCACACATCACAAAGCACTTTCTGAGAATGATTCTGTCTGGTTGTTATACGAAGATATTTCCTTTTCTGCAATTGTCCTCAAATCGCTTGAAATCTCCACCTGAAAATGCCACAGCAAGAGTGTTTCAAATCTGCTCTCTCTAAAGCATGGTTCAACTCTGTGAGTTGAATACACACAACACAAAAAAGTTACTGAGAACTCTTCTTAGTCTAGCATGAAAGGAAGAAACCCCGTTTGCAACGAAGGCCTCAAAGAGGTCCAAATATCCACTTGCAGACATAACAAGCAGAGTGTTTCTAAACTGCTCTAAGAAAAGAAAGGTTAAACTATGTGAGTTGAACGCACACATCACAAAGAATTTTCTGAGAATGATTCTGTCTGGTTTTTATTTGAAGATATTTCCCTTTCTACTGTTGGCATCAAATGGCTAGAAATCTCCACTTGCAAATTCCGCAAAAAGAGTGTTTCAAATCTGCTCTGTCTAAAGGGACGTTCCACTCTGTGAGTTGAATGCACACCACACAAAGAATTTACTGAGAATTCTTCCGTCTAGCATTCAATGAAGAAATCCCGTTTCCAACGAAGGCCTCAAACAGGTCCATATATCCACTTGCAGACTTTACAAACAGTGTGTTTCCAAACTCCTCTATGAAAAGAAAGGTTAAACTCTGTGAGTGGAACGCACACATCACAAAGCACTTTCTGAGAATGATTCTGTCTGGTTGTTATACGAAGATATTTCCTTTTCTGCAATTGTCCTCAAATCGCTTGAAATCTCCACCTGAAAATGTCACAGCAAGAGTGTTTCAAATCTGCTCTCTCTAAAGCAAGGTTCAACTCTGTGAGTTGAATACACACAACACAAAAAAGTTACTGAGAACTCTTCTTAGTCTAGCATGAACGGAAGAAACCCCGTTTGCAACGAAGGCCTCAAAGAGGTCCAAATATCCACTTGCAGACATAACAAGCAGAGTGTTTCTAAACTGCTCTAAGAAAAGAAAGGTTAAACTCTGTGAGTTGAAGGCACACATCACAAAGTAGTTTCTGAGAATGATTCTGTCTAGTTTTTATTTGAAGATATTTCCTTTTCTACTGTTGGCATCAAATCGCTTGAAATCTCCACTTGCAAACTCCACAAAAAGAGTGTTTCAAATCTTCTCTGTGTAAAGGGACGTTCCACTCTGTGAGTTGAATACACACAGCACAAAGAAGTTACTGAGAATTCTTCTGTCTAGCATGAAATGAAGAAATCCCGTTTCCAACGAAGGCCTCAATGCGGTCCATATATCCACTTGCAGACTTTACAAACAGAGTGTTTCCAAACTGCTCTATGAAAAGAAAGGTTATACTATGTGAGTTGAACGCACACATCACAAAGAATTTTCTGAGAATGATTCTGTCTGGTTTTTATTTGAAGATATTTCCCTTTCTACTGTTGGCATCAAATGGCTAGAAATCTCCACTTGCAAATTCCGCAAAAAGAGTGTTTCAAATCTGCTCTGTCTAAAGGGACGTTCCACTCTGTGAGTTGAATGCACACAACACAAAGAATTTACTGAGAATTCTTCCGTCTAGCATTCAATGAAGAAATCCCGTTTCCAACGAAGGCCTCAAAGAGGTCCATATATCCACTTGCAGACTTTACAAACAGTGTGTTTCCAAACTCCTCTATGAAAAGAAAGGTTAAACTCTGTGAGTGGAACGCACACATCACAAAGCACTTTCTGAGAATGATTCTGTCTGGTTATTATACGAAGTAGTTCCTTTTCTGCAATTGTCCTCAAATCGCTTGAAATCTCCACCTGAAAATGCCACAGCAAGAGTGTTTCAAATCTGCTCTCTCTAAAGCAAGGTTCAACTCTGTGAGTTGAATACACACAACACAAAAAAGTTACTGAGAACTCTTCTTAGTCTAGCATGAAAGGAAGAAACCCCGTTTGCAACGAAGGCCTCAAAGAGGTCCAAATATCCACTTGCAGACATAACAAGCAGAGTGTTTCTAAAGTGCTCTAAGAAAAGAAAGGTTAAACTCTGTGAGTTGAAGGCACACATCACAAAGTAGTTTCTGAGAATGATTCTGTCTAGTTTTTATTTGAAGATATTTCCTTTTCTACTGTTGGCATCAAATTGCTTGAAATCTCCACTTGCAAACTCCACAAAAAGAGTGTTTAAAATCTGCTCTGTGCAAAGGGACGTTCCACTCTGTGAGTTGAATACACACAGCACAAAGAAGTTACTGAGAATTCTTCTGTCTAGCATGAAATGAAGAAATCCCGTTTCCAACGAAGGCCTCAATGCGGTCCATATATCCACTTGCAGACTTTACAAACAGAGTGTTTCCAAACCGCTCTATGAAAAGAAAGGTTAAACTATGTGAGTTGAACGCACACATCACAAAGAATTTTCTGAGAATGATTCTGTCTGGTTTTTATTTGAAGATATTTCCCTTTCTACTGTTGGCATCAAATGGCTAGAAATCTCCACTTGCAAATTCCGCAAAAAGAGTGTTTCAAATCTGCTCTGTCTAAAGGGACGTTCCACTCTGTCAGTTGAATGCACACAACACAAAGAATTTACTGAGAATTCTTCCGTCTAGCATTCAATGAAGAAATCCCGTTTCCAACGAAGGCCTCAAACAGGTCCATATATCCAATTGCAGACTTTACAAACAGTGTGTTTCCAAACTCCTCTATGAAAAGAAAGGTTAAACTCTGTGAGTTGAACGCACACATCACAAAGCACTTTCTGAGAATGATTCTGTCTGGTTATTATACGAAGATATTTCCTTTTCTGCAATTGTCCTCAAATCGCTTGAAATCTCCACCTGAAAATGCCACAGCAAGAGTGTTTCAAATCTGCTCTCTCTAAAGCAAGGTTCAACTCTGTGAGTTGAATACACACAACACAAAAAAGTTACTGAGAACTCTTCTTAGTCTAGCATGAAAGGAAGAAACCCCGTTTGCAACGAAGGCCTCAAAGAGGTCCAAATATCCACTTGCAGACATAACAAGCAGAGTGTTTCTAAACTGCTCTAAGAAAAGAAAGGTTAAACTCTGTGAGTTGAAGGCACACATCACAAAGTAGTTTCTGAGAATGATTCTGTCTAGTTTTTATTTGAAGATATTTCCTTTTCTACTGTTGGCGTCAAATCGCTTGAAATCTCCACTTGCAAATTCCACAAAAAGAGTGTTTCAAATCTGCTCTGTGCAAAGGGACGTTCCACTCTGTGAGTTGAATACACACAGCACAAAGAAGTTACTGAGAATTCTTCTGTCTAGCATGAAATGAAGAAATCCCGTTTCCAACGAAGGCCTCAATGCGGTCCATATATCCACTTGCAGACTTTACAAACAGAGTGTTTCCAAACTGCTCTATGAAAAGAAAGGTTAAACTATGTGAGTTGAACGCACACATCACAAAGAATTTTCTGAGAATGATTCTGTCTGGTTTTTATTTGAAGATGTTTCCCTTTCTACTGTTGGCATCAAATGGCTAGAAATCTCCACTTGCAAATTCCGCAAAAAGAGTGTTTCAAATCTGCTCTGTCTAAAGGGACGTTCCACTCTGTGAGTTGAATGCACACAACACAAAGAATTTACTGAGAATTCTTCCGTCTAGCATTCAATGAAGAAATCCCGTTTCCAACGAAGGCCTCAAACAGGTCCATATATCCAATTGCAGACTTTACAAACAGTGTGTTTCCAAACTCCTCTATGAAAAGAAAGGTTAAACTCTGTGAGTTGAACCGCACACATCACAAAGCACTTTCTGAGAATGATTCTGTCTGGTTATTATACGAAGTAGTTCCTTTTCTGCAATTGTCCTCAAATCGCTTGAAATCTCCACCTGAAAATGCCACAGCAAGAGTGTTTCAAATCTGCTCTCTCTAAAGCAAGGTTCAACTCTGTGAGTTGAATACACACAACACAAAAAAGTTACTGAGAACTCTTCTTAGTCTAGCATGAAAGGAAGAAACCCCGTTTGCAACGAAGGCCTCAAAGAGGTCCAAATATCCACTTGCAGACATAACAAGCAGAGTGTTTCTAAACTGCTCTAAGAAAAGAAAGGTTAAACTCTGTGAGTTGAAGGCACACATCACAAAGTAGTTTCTGAGAATGATTCTGTCTAGTTTTTATTTGAAGATATTTCCTTTTCTACTGTTGGCATCAAATCGCTTGAAATCTCCACTTGCAAATTCCACAAAAAGAGTGTTTCAAATCTGCTCTGTGTAAAGGGACGTTCCACTCTGTGAGTTGAATACACACAGCACAAAGAAGTTACTGAGAATTCTTCTGTCTAGCATGAAATGAAGAAATCCCGTTTCCAACGAAGGCCTCAATGCGGTCCATATATCCACTTGCAGACTTTACAAACAGAGTGTTTCCAAACTGCTCTATGAAAAGAAAGGTTAAACTATGTGAGTTGAACGCACACATCACAAAGAATTTTCTGAGAATGATTCTGTCTGGTTTTTATTTGAAGATATTTCCCTTTCTACTGTTGGCATCAAATGGCTAAAAATCTCCACTTGCAAATTCCGCCAAAAAGTGTTTCAAATCTGCTCTGTCTAAAGGGACGTTCCACTCTGTGAGTTGAATGCACACAACACAAAGAATTTACTGAGAATTCTTCCGTCTAGCATTCAATGAAGAAATCCCGTTTCCAACGAAGGCCTCAAACAGGTCCATATATCCAATTGCAGACATTACAAACAGTGTGTTTCCAAACTCCTCTATGAAAAGAAAGGTTAAACTCTGTGAGTTGAACGCACACATCACAAAGCACTTTCTGAGAATGATTCTGTCTGGTTATTATACGAAGATATTTCCTTTTCTGCAATTGTCCTCAAATCGCTTGAAATCTCCACCTGAAAATTCCACAGCGAGAGTGTTTCAAATCTGCTCTCTCTAAAGCAAGGTTCAACTCTGTGAGTTGAATACACACAACACAAAAAAGTTACTGAGAACTCTTCTTAGTCTAGCATTAAAGGAAGAAACCCCGTTTGCAACGAAGGCCTCAAAGAGGTCCAAATATCCACTTGCAGACATAACAAGCAGAGTGTTTCTAAACTGCTCTAAGAAAAGAAAGGTTAAACTCTGTGAGTTGAAGGCACACATCACAAAGTAGTTTCTGAGAATGATTCTGTCTAGTTTTTATTTGAAGATATTTCCTTTTCTACTGTTGGCATCAAATCGCTTGAAATCTCCACTTGCAAACTCCACAAAAAGAGTGTTTCAAATCTGCTCTGTGTAAAGGGACGTTCCACTCTGTGAGTTGAATACACACAGCACAAAGAAGTTACTGAGAATTCTTCTGTCTAGCATGAAATGAAGAAATCCCGTTTCCAACGAAGGCCTCAATGCGGTCCATATATCCACTTGCAGACTTTACAAACAGAGTGTTTCCAAACTGCTCTATGAAAAGAAAGGTTAAACTATGTGAGTTGAATGCACACATCAGAAAGAATTTTCTGAGAATGATTCTGTCTGGTTTTTATTTGAAGATATTTCCCTTTCTACTGTTGGCATCAAATGGCTAGAAATCTCCACTTGCAAATTCCGCAAAAAGAGTGTTTCAAATCTGCTCTGTCTAAAGGGACGTTCCACTCTGTGAGTTGAATGCACACAACACAAAGAATTTACTGAGAATTCTTCCGTCTAGCATTCAATGAAGAAAACCCGTTTCCAACGAAGGCCTCAAACAGGTCCATATATCCAATTGCAGACTTTACAAACAGTGTGTTTCCAAACTCCTCTATGAAAAGAAAGGTTAAACTTCTGTGAGTTGAACGCACACATCACAAAGCACTTTCTGAGAATGATTCTGTCTGGTTATTATACGAAGATATTTCCTTTTCTGCAATTGTCCTCAAATCGCTTGAAATCTCCACCTGAAAATGCCACAGCAAGAGTGTTTCAAATCTGCTCTCTCTAAAGCAAGGTTCAACTCTGTGAGTTGAATACACACAACACAAAAAAGTTACTGAGAACTCTTCTTAGTCTAGCATGAAAGGAAGAAACCCCGTTTGCAACGAAGGCCTCAAAGAGGTCCAAATATCCACTTGCAGACATAACAAGCAGAGTGTTTCTAAACTGCTCTAAGAAAAGAAAGGTTAAACTCTGTGAGTTGAAGGCACACATCACAAAGTAGTTTCTGAGAATGATTCTGTCTAGTTTTTATTTGAAGATATTTCCTTTTCTACTGTTGGCATCAAATCGCTTGAAATCTCCACATGCAAACTCCACAAAAAGAGTGTTTCAAATCTGCTCTGTGTAAAGGGACGTTCCACTCTGTGAGTTGAATACACACAGCACAAAGAAGTTACTGAGAATTCTTCTGTCTAGCATGAAATGAAGAAATCCCGTTTCCAACGAAGGCCTCAATGCGGTCCATATATCCACTTGCAGACTTTACAAACAGAGTGTTTCCAAACTGCTCTATGAAAAGAAAGGTTAAACTATGTGAGTTGAACGCACACATCACAAAGAATTTTCTGAGAATGATTCTGTCTGGTTTTTATTTGAAGATATTTCCCTTTCTACTGTTGGCATCAAATGGCTAGAAATCTCCACTTGCAAATTCCGCAAAAAGAGTGTTTCAAATCTGCTCTGTCTAAAGGGACGTTCCACTCTGTCAGTTGAATGCACACAACACAAAGAATTTACTGAGAATTCTTCCGTCTAGCATTCAATGAAGAAATCCCGTTTCCAACGAAGGCCTCAAACAGGTCCATATATCCAATTGCAGACTTTACAAACAGTGTGTTTCCAAACTCCTCTATGAAAAGAAAGGTTAAACTCTGTGAGTGGAACGTACACATCACAAAGCACTTTCTGAGAATGATTCTGTCTGGTTGTTATACGAAGATATTTCCTTTTCTGCAATTGTCCTCAAATCGCTTGAAATCTCCACCTGAAAATGTCACAGCAAGAGTGTTTCAAATCTGCTCTCTCTAAAGCAAGGTTCAACTCTGTGAGTTGAATACACACAACACAGAAAAGTTACTGAGAACTCTTCTTAGTCTAGCATGAAAGGAAGAAACCCCGTTTGCAACGAAGTCCTCAAAGAGGTCCAAATATCCACTTGCAGACATAACAAGCAGAGTGTTTCTAAACTGCTCTAAGAAAAGAAAGGTTAAACTCTGTGAGTTGAAGGCACACATCACAAAGTAGTTTCTGAGAATGATTCTGTCTAGTTTTTATTTGAAGATATTTCCTTTTCTACTGTTGGCATCAAATCGCTTGAAATCTCCACTTGCAAATTCCACAAAAAGAGTGTTTCAAATCTGCTCTGTGTAAAGGGACGTTCCACTCTGTGAGTTGAATACACACAGCACAAAGAAGTTACTGAGAATTCTTCTGTCTAGCATGAAATGAAGAAATCCCGTTTCCAACGAAGGCCTCAATGCGGTCCATATATCCACTTGCAGACTTTACAAACAGAGTGTTTCCAAACTGCTCTATGAAAAGAAAGGTTAAACTATGTGAGTTGAACGCACACATCACAAAGAATTTTCGGAGAATGATTCTGTCTGGTTTTTATTTGAAGATATTTCCCTTTCTACTGTTGGCATCAAATGGCTAGAAATCTCCACTTGCAAATTCCGCAAAAAGAGTGTTTCAAATCTGCTCTGTCTAAAGGGACGTTCCACTCTGTGAGTTGAATGCACACAACACAAAGAATTTACTGAGAATTCTTCCGTCTAGCATTCAATGAAGAAATCCCGTTTCCAACGGAGGCCTCAAACAGGTCCATATATCCAATTGCAGACTTTACAAACAGTGTGTTTCCAAACTCCTCTATGAAAAGAAAGGTTAAACTCTGTGAGTTGAACGCACACATCACAAAGCACTTTCTGAGAATGATTCTGTCTGGTTATTATACGAAGATATTTCCTTTTCTGCAATTGTCCTCAAATCGCTTGAAATCTCCTCCTGAAAATTCCACAGCGAGAGTGTTTCAAATCTGCTCTCTCTAAAGCAAGGTTCAACTCTGTGAGTTGAATACACACAACACAAAAAAGTTACTGAGAACTCTTCTTAGTCTAGCATGAAAGGAAGAAACCCCGTTTGCAACGAAGGCCTCAAAGAGGTCCAAATATCCACTTGCAGACATAACAAGCAGAGTGTTTCTAAACTGCTCTAAGAAAAGAAAGGTTAAACTCTGTGAGTTAAAGGCACACATCACAAAGTAGTTTCTGAGAATGATTCTGTCTAGTTTTTATTTGAAGATATTTCCTTTTCTACTGTTGGCATCAAATCGCTTGAAATCTCCACTTGCAAACTCCACAAAAAGAGTGTTTCAAATCTGCTCTGTGCAAAGGGACGTTCCACTCTGTGAGTTGAATACACACAGCACAAAGAAGTTACTGAGAATTCTTCTGTCTAGTATGAAATGAAGAAATCCCGTTTCCAACGAAGGCCTCAATGCGGTCCATATATCCACTTGCAGACTTTACAAACAGAGTGTTTCCAAACTGCTCTATGAAAAGAAAGGTTAAACTATGTGAGTTGAACGCACACATCACAAAGAATTTTCTGAGAATGATTCTGTCTGGTTTTTATTTGAAGATATTTCCCTTTCTACTGTTGGCATCAAATGGCTAGAAATCTCCACTTGCAAATTCCGCAAAAAGAGTGTTTCAAATCTGCTCTGTCTAAAGGGACGTTCCACTCTGTGAGTTGAATGCACACAACACAAAGAATTTACTGAGAATCCTTCCGTCTAGCATTCAATGAAGAAATCCCGTTTCCAACGAAGGCCTCAAACAGGTCCATATATCCAATTGCAGACTTTACAAACAGTGTGTTTCCAAACTCCTCTATGAAAAGAAAGGTTAAACTCTGTGAGTTGAACGCACACATCACAAAGCACTTTCTGAGAATGATTCTGTCTGGTTATTATACGAAGATATTTCCTTTTCTGCAATTGTCCTCAAATCGCTTGAAATCTCCACCTGAAAATGCCACAGCAAGAGTGTTTCAAATCTGCTCTCTCTAAAGCAAGGTTCAACTCTGTGAGTTGAATACACACAACACAAAAAAGTTACTGAGAACTCTTCTTAGTCTAGCATGAAAGGAAGAAACCCCGTTTGCAACGAAGGCCTCAAAGAGGTCCAAATATCCACTTGCAGACATAACAAGCAGAGTGTTTCTAAACTGCTCTAAGAAAAGAAAGGTTAAACTCTGTGAGTTGAAGGCACACATCACAAAGTAGTTTCTGAGAATGATTCTGTCTAGTTTTTATTTGAAGATATTTCCTTTTCTACTGTTGGCATCAAATCGCTTGAAATCTCCACTTGCAAACTCCACAAAAAGAGTGTTTCAAATCTGCTCTGTGCAAAGGGACGTTCCACTCTGTGAGTTGAATACACACAGCACAAAGAAGTTACTGAGAATTCTTCTGTCTAGCATGAAATGAAGAAATCCCGTTTCCAACGAAGGCCTCAATGCGGTCCATATATCCACTTGCAGACTTTACAAACAGAGTGTTTCCAAACTGCTCTATGAAAAGAAAGGTTAAACTATGTGAGTTGAACGCACACATCACAAAGAATTTTCTGAGAATGATTCTGTCTGGTTTTTATTTGAAGATATTTCCCTTTCTACTGTTGGCATCAAATGGCTAGAAATCTCCACTTGCAAATTCCGCAAAAAGAGTGTTTCAAATCTGCTCTGTCTAAAGGGACGTTCCACTCTGTGAGTTGAATGCACACAACACAAAGAATTTACTGAGAATTCTTCCGTCTAGCATTCAATGAAGAAATCCCGTTTCCAACGAAGGCCTCAAACAGGTCCATATATCCACTTGCAGACTTTACAAACAGAGTGTTTCCAAACTCCTCTCTGAAAAGAAAGGTTAAACTCTGTGAGTTGAACGCACACATCACAAAGCACTTTCTGAGAATGATTCTGTCTGGTTATTATACGAAGATATTTCCTTTTCTGCAATTGTCCTCAAATCGCTTGAAATCTCCACCTGAAAATGCCACAGCAAGAGTGTTTCAAATCTGCTCTCTCTAAAGCAAGGTTCAACTCTGTGAGTTGAATACACACAACACAAAAAAGTTACTGAGAACTCTTCTTAGTCTAGCATGAAAGGAAGAAACCCCGTTTGCAACGAAGGCCTCAAAGAGGTCCAAATATCCACTTGCAGACATAACAAGCAGAGTGTTTCTAAACTGCTCTAAGAAAAGAAAGGTTGAACTCTGTGAGTTGAAGGCACACATCACAAAGTAGTTTCTGAGAATGATTCTGTCTAGTTTTTATTTGAAGATATTTCCTTTTCTACTGTTGGCATCAAATCGCTTGAAATCTCCACTTGCAAATTCCACAAAAAGAGTGTTTCAAATCTGCTCTGTGCAAAGGGACGTTCCACTCTGTGAGTTGAATACACACAGCACAAAGAAGTTACTGAGAATTCTTCTGTCTAGCATGAAATGGAGAAATCCCGTTTCCAACGAAGGCCTCAATGCGGTCCATATATCCACTTGCAGACTTTACAAACAGAGTGTTTCCAAACTGCTCTATGAAAAGAAAGGTTAAACTATGTGATTTGAACGCACACATCACAAAGAATTTTCTGAGAATGATTCTGTCTGGTTTTTATTTGAAGATATTTCCCTTTCTACTGTTGGCATCAAATGGCTAGAAATCTTCACTTGCAAATTCCGCAAAAAGAGTGTTTCAAATCTGCTCTGTCTAAAGGGACGTTCCACTCTGTGAGTTGAATGCACACAACACAAAGAATTTACTGAGAATTCTTCCGTCTAGCATTCAATGAAGAAATCCCGTTTCCAACGAAGGCCTCAAACAGGTCCATATATCCACTTGCAGACTTTACAAACAGTGTGTTTCCAAACTCCTCTATGAAAAGAAAGGTTAAACTCTGTGAGTTGAACGCACACATCACAAAGCACTTTCTGAGAATGATTCTGTCTGGTTATTATACGAAGATATTTCCTTTTCTGCAATTGTCCTCAAATCGCTTGAAATCTCCACCTGAAAATGCCACAGCAAGAGTGTTTCAAATCTGCTCTCTCTAAAGCAAGGTTCAACTCTGTGAGTTGAATACACACAACACAAAAAAGTTACTGAGAACTCTTCTTAGTCTAGCATGAAAGGAAGAAACCCCATTTGCAACGAAGGCCTCAAAGAGGTCCAAATATCCACTTGCAGACATAACAAGCAGAGTGTTTCTAAACTGCTCTAAGAAAAGAAAGGTTAAACTCTGTGAGTTGAAGGCACACATCACAAAGTAGTTTCTGAGAATGATTCTGTCTAGTTTTTATTTGAAGATATTTCCTTTTCTACTGTTGGCATCAAATCGCTTGAAATCTCCACTTGCAAACTCCACAAAAAGAGTGTTTCAAATCTGCTCTGTGCAAAGGGACGTTCCACTCTGTGAGTTGAATACACACAGCACAAAGAAGTTACTGAGAATTCTTCTGTCTAGCATGAAATGAAGAAATCCCGTTTCCAACGAAGGCCTCAATGCGGTCCATATATCCACTTGCAGACTTTACAAACAGTGTGTTTCCAAACTCCTCTATGAAAAGAAAGGTTAAACTCTGTGAGTTGAACGCACACATCACAAAGCACTTTCTGAGAATGATTCTGTCTGGTTTTTATTTGAAGATATTTCCCTTTCTACTGTTGGCATCAAATGGCTAGAAATCTCCACTTGCAAATTCCGCAAAAAGAGTGTTTCAAATCTGCTCTGTCTAAAGGGACGTTCCACTCTGTCAGTTGAATGCACACAACACAAAGTATTTACTGAGAATTCTTCCGTCTAGCATTCAATGAAGAAATCCCGTTTCCAACGAAGGCCTCAAACAGGTCCATATATCCAATTGCAGACTTTACAAACAGTGTGTTTCCAAACTCCTCTATGAAAAGAAAGGTTAAACTCTGTGAGTTGAACGCACACATCACATAGCACTTTCTGAGAATGATTCTGTCTGGTTGTTATACGAAGATATTTCCTTTTCTGCAATTGTCCTCAAATCGCTTGAAATCTCCACCTGAAAATGCCACAGCAAGAGTGTTTCAAATCTGCTCTCTCTAAAGCAAGGTTCAACTCTGTGAGTTGAATACACACAACACAAAAAAGTTACTGAGAACTCTTTCTTAGTCTAGCATGAAAGGAAGAAACCCCGTTTGCAACGAAGGCCTCAAAGAGGTCCAAATATCCACTTGCAGACATAACAAGCAGAGTGTTTCTAAACTGCTCTAAGAAAAGAAAGGTTAAACTCTGTGAGTTGAAGGCACACATCACAAAGTAGTTTCTGAGAATGATTCTGTCTAGTTTTTATTTGAAGATATTTCCTTTTCTACTGTTGGCATCAAATCGCTTGAAATCTCCACTTGCAAATTCCACAAAAAGAGTGTTTCTAATCTGCTCTGTGCAAAGGGACGTTCCACTCTGTGAGTTGAATACACACAGCACAAAGAAGTTACTGAGAATTCTTCTGTCTAGCATGAAATGAAGAAATCCCGTTTCCAACGAAGGCCTCAATGCGGTCCATATATCCACTTGCAGACTTTACAAACAGAGTGTTTCCAAACTGCTCTATGAAAAGAAAGGTTAAACTATGTGAGTTGAACGCACACATCACAAAGAATTTTCTGAGAATGATTCTGTCTGGTTTTTATTTGAAGATATTTCCCTTTCTACTGTTGGCATCAAATGGCTAGAAATCTCCACTTGCAAATTCCGCAAAAAGAGTGTTTCAAATCTGCTCTGTCTAAAGGGACGTTCCACTCTGTGAGTTGAATGCACACAACACAAAGAATTTACTGAGAATTCTTCCGTCTAGCATTCAATGAAGAAATCCCGTTTCCAACGAAGGCCTCAAACAGGTCCATATATCCACTTGCAGACTTTACAAACAGTGTGTTTCCAAACTCCTCTATGAAAAGAAAGGTTAAACTCTGTGAGTGGAACGCACACATCACAAAGCACTTTCTGAGAATGATTCTGTCTGGTTGTTATACGAAGATATTTCCTTTTCTGCAATTGTCCTCAAATCGCTTGAAATCTCCACCTGAAAATGTCACAGCAAGAGTGTTTCAAATCTGCTCTCTCTAAAGCAAGGTTCAACTCTGTGAGTTGAATACACACAACACAGAAAAGTTACTGAGAACTCTTCTTAGTCTAGCATGAACGGAAGAAACCCCGTTTGCAACGAAGGCCTCAAAGAGGTCCAAATATCCACTTGCAGACATAACAAGCAGAGTGTTTCTAAACTGCTCTAAGAAAAGAAAGGTTAAACTGCTGTGAGTTGAAGGCACACATCACAAAGTAGTTTCTGAGAATGATTCTGTCTAGTTTTATTTGAAGATATTCCTTTTCTACTGTTGGCATCAAATCGCTTGAAATCTCCACTTGCAAACTCCACAAAAAGAGTGTTTCAAATCTGCTCTGTGCAAAGGGACGTTCCACTCTGTGAGTTGAATACACACAGCACAAAGAAGTTACTGAGAATTCTTCTGTCTAGCATGAAATGAAGAAATCCCGTTTCCAACGAAGGCCTCAATGCGGTCCATATATCCACTTGCAGACTTTACAAACAGAGTGTTTCCAAACTGCTCTATGAAAAGAAAGGTTAAACTATGTGAGTTGAACGCACACATCACAAAGAATTTTCTGAGAATGATTCTGTCTGGTTTTTATTTGAAGATATTTCCCTTTCTACTGTTGGCATCAAATGGCTAGAAATCTCCACTTGCAAATTCCGCAAAAAGAGTGTTTCAAATCTGCTCTGTCTAAAGGGACGTTCCACTCTGTGAGTTGAATGCACACCACACAAAGAATTTACTGAGAATTCTTCCGTCTAGCATTCAATGAAGAAATCCCGTTTCCAACGAAGGCCTCAAACAGGTCCATATATCCACTTGCAGAGTTTACAAACAGTGTGTTTCCAAACTCCTCTATGAAAAGAAAGGTTAAACTCTGTGAGTGGAACGCACACATCACAAAGCACTTTCTGAGAATGATTCTGTCTGGTTGTTATACGAAGATATTTCCTTTTCTGCAATTGTCCTCAAATCGCTTGAAATCTCCACCTGAAAATGCCACAGCAAGAGTGTTTCAAATCTGCTCTCTCTAAAGCAAGGTTCAGCTCTGTGAGTTGAATACACACAACACAAAAAAGTTACTGAGAACTCTTCTTAGTCTAGCATGAAAGGAAGAAACCCCGTTTGCAACGAAGGCCTCAAAGAGGTCCAAATATCCACTTGCAGACATAACAAGCAGAGTGTTTCTAAACTGCTCTAAGAAAAGAAAGGTTAAACTCTGTGAGTTGAAGGCACACATCACAAAGTAGTTTCTGAGAATGATTCTGTCTAGTTTTTATTTGAAGATATTTCCTTTTCTACTGTTGGCATCAAATCGCTTGAAATCTCCACTTGCAAACTCCACAAAAAGAGTGTTTCAAATCTGCTCTGTGCAAAGGGACGTTCCACTCTGTGAGTTGAATACACACAGCACAAAGAAGTTACTGAGAATTCTTCTGTCTAGCATGAAATGAAGAAATCCCGTTTCCAACGAAGGCCTCAATGCGGTCCATATATCCACTTGCAGACTTTACAAACAGAGTGTTTCCAAACTGCTCTATGAAAAGAAAGGTTAAACTATGTGAGTTGAACGCACACATCACAAAGAATTTTCTGAGAATGATTCTGTCTGGTTTTTATTTGAAGATATTTCCCTTTCTACTGTTGGCATCAAATGGCTAGAAATCTCCACTTGCAAATTCCGCAAAAAGAGTGTTTCAAATCTGCTCTGTCTAAAGGGACGTTCCACTCTGTGAGTTGAATGCACACCACACAAAGAATTTACTGAGAATTCTTCCGTCTAGCATTCAATGAAGAAATCCCGTTTCCAACGAAGGCCTCAAACAGGTCCATATATCCAATTGCAGACTTTACAAACAGTGTGTTTCCAAACTCCTCTATGAAAAGAAAGGTTAAACTCTGTGAGTTGAACGCACACATCACAAAGCACTTTCTGAGAATGATTCTGTCTGGTTGTTATACGAAGATATTTCCTTTTCTGCAATTGTCCTCAAATCGCTTGAAATCTCCACCTGAAAATGCCACAGCAAGAGTGTTTCAAATCTGCTCTCTCTAAAGCAAGGTTCAACTCTGTGAGTTGAATACACACAACACAAAAATGTTACTGAGAACTCTTCTTAGTCTAGCATGAAAGGAAGAAACCCCGTTTGCAACGAAGGCCTCAAAGAGGTCCAAATATCCACTTGCAGACATAACAAGCAGAGTGTTTCTAAACTGCTCTAAGAAAAGAAAGGTTAAACTCTGTGAGTTGAAGGCACACATCACAAAGTAGTTTCTGAGAATGATTCTGTCTAGTTTTTATTTGAAGATATTTCCTTTTCTACTGTTGGCATCAAATCGCTTGAAATCTCCACTTGCAAATTCCACAAAAAGAGTGTTTCAAATCTGCTCTGTGCAAAGGGACGTTCCACTCTGTGAGTTGAATGCACACAGCACAAAGAAGTTACTGAGAATTCTTCTGTCTAGCATGAAATGAAGAAATCCCGTTTCCAACGAAGGCCTCAATGCGGTCCATATATCCACTTGCAGACTTTACAAACAGAGTGTTTCCAAACTGCTCTATGAAAAGAAAGGTTAAACTATGTGAGTTGAACGCACACATCACAAAGAATTTTCTGAGAATGATTCTGTCTGGTTTTTATTTGAAGATATTTCCCTTTCTACTGTTGGCATCAAACGGCTAGAAATCTCCACTTGCAAATTCCGCAAAAAGAGTGTTTCAAATCTGCTCTGTCTAAAGGGACGTTCCACTCTGTGAGTTGAATGCACACAACACAAAGAATTTACTGAGAATTCTTCCGTCTAGCATTCAATGAAGAAATCCCGTTTCCAACGAAGGCCTCAAAGAGGTCCATATATCCACTTGCAGACTTTACAAACAGTGTGTTTCCAAACTCCTCTATGAAAAGAAAGGTTAAACTCTGTGAGTGGAACGCACACATCACAAAGCACTTTCTGAGAATGATTCTGTCTGGTTATTATACGAAGATATTTCCTTTTCTGCAATTGTCCTCAAATCGCTTGAAATCTCCACCTGAAAATGCCACAGCAAGAGTGTTTCAAATCTGCTCTCTCTAAAGCAAGGTTCAACTCTGTGAGTTGAATACACACAACACAAAAAAGTTACTGAGAACTCTTCTTAGTCTAGCATGAAAGGAAGAAACCCCGTTTGCAACGAAGGCCTCAAAGAGGTCCAAATATCCACTTGCAGACATAACAAGCAGAGTGTTTCTAAACTGCTCTAAGAAAAGAAAGGTTAAACTATATGAGTTGAACGCACACATCACAAAGAATTTTCTGAGAATGATTCTGTCTGGTTTTTATTTGAAGATATTTCCCTTTCTACTGTTGGCAGCAAATGGCTAGAAATCTCCACTTGCAAATTCCGCAAAAAGAGTGTTTCAAATCTGCTCAGTCTAAAGGGACGTTCCACTCTGTGAGTTGAATGCACACAACACAAAGAATTTACTGAGAATTCTTCCGTCTAGCATTCAATGAAGAAATCCCGTTTCCAACGAAGGCCTCAAACAGGTCCATATATCCACTTGCAGACTTTACAAACAGTGTGTTTCCAAACTCCTCTATGAAAAGAAAGGTTAAACTCTGTGAGTGGAACGCACACATCACAAAGCACTTTCTGAGAATGATTCTGTCTGGTTATTATACGAAGATATTTCCTTTTCTGCAATTGTCCTCAAAACGCTTGAAATCTCCACCTGAAAATGCCACAGCAAGAGTGTTTCAAATCTGCTCTCTCTAAAGCAAGGTTCAACTCTGTGAGTTGAATACACACAACACAAAAAAGTTACTGAGAACTCTTCTTAGTCTAGCATGAAAGGAAGAAACCCCGTTTGCAACGAAGGCCTCAAAGAGGTCCAAATATCCACTTGCAGACATAACAAGCAGAGTGTTTCTAAACTGCTCTAAGAAAAGAAAGGTTAAACTCTGTGAGTTGAAGGCACACATCACAAAGTAGTTTTTGAGAATGATTCTGTCTAGTTTTTATTTGAAGATATTTCCTTTTCTACTGTTGGCATCAAATCGCTTGAAATCTTCACTTGCAAACTCCACAAAAAGAGTGTTTCAAATCCGCTCTGTGCAAAGGGACGTTCCACTCTGTGAGTTGAATACACACAGCACAAAGAAGTTACTGAGAATTCTTCTGTCTAGCATGAAATGAAGAAATCCCGTTTCCAACGAAGGCCTCAATGCGGTCCATATATCCACTTGCAGACTTTACAAACAGAGTGTTTCCAAACTGCTCTATGAAAAGAAAGGTTAAACTATGTGAGTTGAACGCACACATCACAAAGAATTTTCTGAGAATGATTCTGTCTGGTTTTTATTTGAAGATATTTCCCTTTCTACTGTTGGCATCAAATGGCTAGAAATCTCCACTTGCAAATTCCGCAAAAAGAGTGTTTCAAATCTGCTCTGTCTAAAGGGACGTTCCACTCTGTGAGTTGAATGCACACAACACAAAGAATTTACTGAGAATTCTTCCGTCTAGCATTCAATGAAGAAATCCCGTTTCCAACGAAGGCCTCAAACAGGTCCATATATCCACTTGCAGACTTTACAAACAGTGTGTTTCCAAACTCCTCTATGAAAAGAAAGGTTAAACTCTGTGAGTTGAACGCACACATCACAAAGCACTTTCTGAGAATGATTCTGTCTGGTTATTATACGAAGATATTTCCTTTTCTGCAATTGTCCTCAAATCGCTTGAAATCTCCACCTGAAAATGCCACAGCAAGAGTGTTTCAAATCTGCTCTCTCTAAAGCAAGGTTCAACTCTGTGAGTTGAATACACACAACACAAAAAAGTTACTGAGAACTCTTCTTAGTCTAGCATGAAAGGAAGAAACCCCGTTTGCAACGAAGGCCTCAAAGAGGTCCAAATATCCACTTGCAGACATAACAAGCAGAGTGTTTCTAAACTGCTCTAAGAAAAGAAAGGTTAAACTCTGTGAGTTGAAGGCACACATCACAAAGTAGTTTCTGAGAATGATTCTGTCTAGTTTTTATTTGAAGATATTTCCTTTTCTACTGTTGGCATCAAATCGCTTGAAATCTCCACTTGCAAATTCCACAAAAAGAGTGTTTCAAATCTGCTCTGTGTAAAGGAACTTTCCACTCTGTGAGTTGAATACACACAGCACAAAGAAGTTACTGAGAATTCTTCTGTCTAGCATGAAATGAAGAAATCCCGTTTCCAACGAAGGCCTCAATGCGGTCCATATATCCACTTGCAGACTTTACAAACAGAGTGTTTCCAAACTGCTCTATGAAAAGAAAGGTTAAACTATGTGAGTTGAACGCACACATCACAAAGAATTTTCTGAGAATGATTCTGTCTGGTTTTTATTTGAAGATATTTCCCTTTCTACTGTTGGCATCAAATGGCTAGAAATCTCCACTTGCAAATTCCGCAAAAAGAGTGTTTCAAATCTGCTCTGTCTAAAGGGACGTTCCACTCTGTCAGTTGAATGCACACCACACAAAGAATTTACTGAGAATTCTTCCGTCTAGCATTCAATGAAGAAATCCCGTTTCCAACGAAGGCCTCAAACAGGTCCATATATCCAATTGCAGACTTTACAAACAGTGTGTTTCCAAACTCCTCTATGAAAAGAAAGGTTAAACTCTGTGAGTTGAACGCACACATCACAAAGCACTTTCTGAGAATGATTCTGTCTGGTTGTTATACGAAGATATTTCCTTTTCTGCAATTGTCCTCAAATCGCTTGAAATCTCCACCTGAAAATGCCACAGCAAGAGTGTTTCAAATCTGCTCTCTCTAAAGCAAGGTTCAACTCTGTGAGTTGAATACACACAACACAAAAATGTTACTGAGAACTCTTCTTAGTCTAGCATGAAAGGAAGAAACCCCGTTTGCAACGAAGGCCTCAAAGAGGTCCAAATATCCACTTGCAGACATAACAAGCAGAGTGTTTCTAAACTGCTCTAAGAAAAGAAAGGTTAAACTCTGTGAGTTGAAGGCACACATCACAAAGTAGTTTCTGAGAATGATTCTGTCTAGTTTTTATTTGAAGATATTTCCTTTTCTACTGCTGGCATCAAATCGCTTGAAATCTCCACTTGCAAACTCCACAAAAAGAGTGTTTCAAATCTGCTCTGTGTAAAGGGACGTTCCACTCTGTGAGTTGAATACACACAGCACAAAGAAGTTACTGAGAATTCTTCTGTCTAGCACGAAATGAAGAAATCCCGTTTCCAACGAAGGCCTCAATGCGGTCTATATATCCACTTGCAGACTTTACAAACAGAGTGTTTCCAAACTGCTCTATGAAAAGAAAGGTTAAACTATGTGAGTTGAACGCACACATCACAAAGAATTTTCTGAGAATGATTCTGTCTGGTTTTTATTTGAAGATATTTCCCTTTCTACTGTTGGCATCAAATGGCTAGAAATCTCCACTTGCAAATTCCGCAAAAAGAGTGTTTCAAATCTGCTCTGTCTAAAGGGACGTTCCACTCTGTGAGTTGAATGCACACAACACAAAGAATTTACTGAGAATTCTTCCGTCTAGCATTCAATGAAGAAATCTCGTTTCCAACGAAGGCCTCAAACAGGTCCATATATCCAATTGCAGACTTTACAAACAGTGTGTTTCCAAACTCCTCTATGAAAAGAAAGGTTAAACTCTGTGAGTTGAACGCACACATCACAAAGCACTTTCTGAGAATGATTCTGTCTGGTTGTTATACGAAGATATTTCCTTTTCTGCAATTGTCCTCAAATCGCTTGAAATCTCCACCTGAAAATGCCACAGCAAGAGTGTTTCAAATCTGCTCTCTCTAAAGCAAGGTTCAACTCTGTGAGTTGAATACACACAACACAAAAAAGTTACTGAGAACTCTTCTTAGTCTAGCATTAAAGGAAGAAACCCCTGTTTGCAACGAAGGCCTCAAAGAGGTCCAAATATCCACTTGCAGACATAACAAGCAGAGTGTTTCTAAACTGCTCTAAGAAAAGAAAGGTTAAACTCTGTGAGTTGAAGGCACACATCACAAAGTAGTTTCTGAGAATGATTCTGTCTAGTTTTTATTTGAAGATATTTCCTTTTCTACTGTTGGCATCAAATCGCTTGAAATCTCCACTTGCAAACTCCACAAAAAGAGTGTTTCAAATCTGCTCTGTGCAAAGGGACGTTCCACTCTGTGAGTTGAATACACACAGCACAAAGAAGTTACTGAGAATTCTTCTGTCTAGCATGAAATGAAGAAATCCCGTTTCCAACGAAGGCCTCAATGCGGTCCATATATCCACTTGCAGACTTTACAAACAGAGTGTTTCCAAACTGCTCTATGAAAAGAAAGGTTAAACTATGTGAGTTGAACGCACACATCACAAAGAATTTTCTGAGAATGATTCTGTCTGGTTTTTATTTGAAGATATTTCCCTTTCTACTGTTGGCATCAAATGGCTAGAAATCTCCACTTGCAAATTCCGCAAAAAGAGTGTTTCAAATCTGCTCTGTCTAAAGGGACGTTCCACTCTGTGAGTTGAATGCACACAACACAAAGAATTTACTGAGAATTCTTCCGTCTAGCATTCAATGAAGAAATCCCGTTTCCAACGAAGGCCTCAAACAGGTCCATATATCCAATTGCAGACTTTACAAACAGTGTGTTTCCATACTCCTCTATGAAAAGAAAGGTTAAACTCTGTGAGTTGAACGCACACATCACAAAGCACTTTCTGAGAATGATTCTGTCTGGTTATTATACGAAGATATTTCCTTTTCTGCAATTGTCCTCAAATCGCTTGAAATCTCCACCTGAAAATGCCACAGCAAGAGTGTTTCAAATCTGCTCTCTCTAAAGCAAGGTTCAACTCTGTGAGTTGAATACACACAACACAAAAAAGTTACTGAGAACTCTTCTTAGTCTAGCATGAAAGGAAGAAACCCCGTTTGCAACGAAGGCCTCAAAGAGGTCCAAATATCCACTTGCAGACATAACAAGCAGAGTGTTTCTAAACTGCTCTAAGAAAAGAAAGGTTAAACTCTGTGAGTTGAAGGCACACATCACAAAGTAGTTTCTGAGAATGATTCTGTCTAGTTTTTATTTGAAGATATTTCCTTTTCTACTGTTGGCATCAAATCGCTTGAAATCTCCACTTGCAAACTCCACAAAAAGAGTGTTTCAAATCTGCTCTGTGCAAAGGGACGTTCCACTCTGTGAGTTGAATACACACAGCACAAAGAAGTTACTGAGAATTCTTCTGTCTAGCATGAAATGGAGAAATCCCGTTTCCAACGAAGGCCTCAATGCGGTCCATATATCCACTTGCAGACTTTACAAACAGAGTGTTTCCAAACTGCTCTATGAAAAGAAAGGTTAAACTATGTGATTTGAACGCACACATCACAAAGAATTTTCTGAGAATGATTCTGTCTGGTTTTTATTTGAAGATATTTCCCTTTCTACTGTTGGCCATCAAATGGCTAGAAATCTCCACTTGCAAATTCCGCAAAAAGAGTGTTTCAAATCTGCTCTGTCTAAAGGGACGTTCCACTCTGTGAGTTGAATGCACACAACACAAAGAATTTACTGAGAATTCTTCCGTCTAGCATTCAATGAAGAAATCCCGTTTCCAACGAAGGCCTCAAACAGGTCCATATATCCAATTGCAGACATTACAAACAGTGTGTTTCCAAACTCCTCTATGAAAAGAAAGGTTAAACTCTGTGAGTTGAACGCACACATCACAAAGCACTTTCTGAGAATGATTCTGTCTGGTTATTATACGAAGATATTTCCTTTTCTGCAATTGTCCTCAAATCGCTTGAAATCTCCACCTAAAAATGCCACAGCAAGAGTGTTTCAAATCTGCTCTCTCTAAAGCAAGGTTGAACTCTGTGAGTTGAATACACACAACACAAAAAAGTTACTGAGAACTCTTCTTAGTCTAGCATGAAAGGAAGAAACCCCGTTTGCAACGAAGGCCTCAAAGAGGTCCAAATATCCACTTGCAGACATAACAAGCAGAGTGTTTCTAAACTGCTCTAAGAAAAGAAAGGTTAAACTCTGTGAGTTGAAGGCACACATCACAAAGTAGTTTCTGAGAATGATTCTGTCTAGTTTTTATTTGAAGATATTTCCTTTTCTACTGTTGGCATCAAATCGCTTGAAATCTCCACTTGCAAACTCCACAAAAAGAGTGTTTCAAATCTGCTCTGTGTAAAGGGACGTTCCACTCTGTGAGTTGAATACACACAGCACAAAGAAGTTACTCAGAATTCTTCTGTCTAGCATGAAATGAAGAAATCCCGTTTCCAACGAAGGCCTCAATGCGGTCCATATATCCACTTGCAGACTTTACAAACAGAGTGTTTCCAAACTGCTCTATGAAAAGAAAGGTTAAACTATGTGAGTTGAACGCACACATCACAAAGAATTTTCTGAGAATGATTCTGTCTGGTTTTTATTTGAAGATATTTCCCTTTCTACTGTTGGCATCAAATGGCTAGAAATCTCCACTTGCAAATTCCGCAAAAAGAGTGTTTCAAATCTGCTCTGTCTAAAGGGACGTTCCACTCTGTGAGTTGAATGCACACAACACAAAGAATTTACTGAGAATTCTTCCGTCTAGCATTCAATGAAGAAATCCCGTTTCCAACGAAGGCCTCAAACAGGTCCATATATCCAATTGCAGACTTTACAAACAGTGTGTTTCCAAACTCCTCTATGAAAAGAAAGGTTAAACTCTGTGAGTTGAACGCACACAACACAAAGCACTTTCTGAGAATGATTCTGTCTGGTTATTATACGAAGATATTTCCTTTTCTGCAATTGTCCTCAAATCGCTTGAAATCTCCACCTGAAAATTCCACAGCGAGAGTGTTTCAAATCTGCTCTCTCTAAAGCAAGGTTCAACTCTGTGAGTTGAATACACACAACACAAAAAAGTTACTGAGAACTCTTCTTAGTCTAGCATGAAAGGAAGAAACCCCGTTTGCAACGAAGGCCTCAAAGAGGTCCAAATATCCACTTGCAGACATAACAAGCAGAGTGTTTCTAAACTGCTCTAAGAAAAGAAAGGTTAAACTCTGTGAGTTGAAGGCACACATCACAAAGTAGTTTCTGAGAATGATTCTGTCTAGTTTTTATTTGAAGCATATTTCCTTTTCTACTGTTGGCATCAAATCGCTTGAAATCTCCACTTGCAAACTCCACAAAAAGAGTGTTTCAAATCTGCTCTGTGTAAAGGGACGTTCCACTCTGTGAGTTGAATACACACAGCACAAAGAAGTTACTGAGAATTCTTCTGTCTAGCATGAAATGAAGAAATCCCGTTTCCAACGAAGGCCTCAATGCGGTCCATATATCCACTTGCAGACTTTACAAACAGAGTGTTTCCAAACTGCTCTATGAAAAGAAAGGTTAAACTATGTGAGTTGAACGCACACATCACAAAGAATTTTCTGAGAATGATTCTGTCTGGTTTTTATTTGAAGATATTTCCCTTTCTACAGTTGGCATCAAATGGCTAGAAATCTCCACTTGCAAATTCCGCAAAAAGAGTGTTTCAAATCTGCTCTGTCTAAAGGGACGTTCCACTCTGTGAGTTGAATGCACACAACACAAAGAATTTACTGAGAATTCTTCCGTCTAGCATTCAATGAAGAAATCCCGTTTCCAACGAAGGCCTCAAACAGGTCCATATATCCACTTGCAGACTTTACAAACAGTGTGTTTCCAAACTCCTCTATGAAAAGAAAGGTTAAACTCTGTGAGTGGAACGCACACATCACAAAGCACTTTCTGAGAATGATTCTGTCTGGTTATTATTTGAAGATATTTCCTTTTCTGCAATTGTCCTCAAATCGCTTGAAATCTCCACCTGAAAATGCCACAGCAAGAGTGTTTCAAATCTGCTCTCTCTAAAGCAAGGTTCAACTCTGTGAGTTGAATACACACAGCACAAAGAAGTTACTGAGAATTCTTCTTAGTCTAGCATTAAAGGAAGAAACCCCGTTTGCAACGAAGGCCTCAAAGAGGTCCAAATATCCACTTGCAGACATAACAAGCAGAGTGTTTCTAAACTGCTCTAAGAAAAGAAAGGTTAAACTCTGTGAGTTGAAGGCACACATCACAAAGTAGTTTCCTGAGAATGATTATCTGTCTAGTTTTTAGTTTTTATTTGAAGATATTTCCTTTTCTACTGTTGGCATCAAATCGCTTGAAATCTCCACTTGCAAACTCCACAAAAAGAGTGTTTCAAATCTGCTCTGTGTAAAGGGACGTTCCACTCTGTGAGTTGAATACACACAGCACAAAGAAGTTACTGAGAATTCTTCTGTCTAGCATGAAATGAAGAAATCCCGTTTCCAACGAAGGCCTCAATGCGGTCCATATATCCACTTGCAGACTTTACAAACAGAGTGTTTCCAAACTGCTCTATGAAAAGAAAGGTTAAACTATGTGAGTTGAACGCACACATCACAAAGAATTTTCTGAGAATGATTCTGTCTGGTTTTTATTTGAAGATATTTCCCTTTCTACTGTTGGCATCAAATGGCTAGAAATCTCCACTTGCAAATTCCGCAAAAAGAGTGTTTCAAATCTGCTCTGTCTAAAGGGACGTTCCACTCTGTGAGTTGAATGCACACAACACAAAGAATTTACTGAGAATTCTTCCGTCTAGCATTCAATGAAGAAATCCCGTTTCCAACGAAGGCCTCAAACAGGTCCATATATCCACTTGCAGAGTTTACAAACAGTGTGTTTCCAAACTCCTCTATGAAAAGAAAGGTTAAACTCTGTGAGTGGAACGCACACATCACAAAGCACTTTCTGAGAATGATTCTGTCTGGTTATTATACGAAGATATTTCCTTTTCTGCAATTGTCCTCAAATCGCTTGAAATCTCCACCTGAAAATGCCACAGCAAGAGTGTTTTAAATCTGCTCTCTCTAAAGCAAGGTTCAACTCTGTGAGTTGAATACACACAACACAAAAAAGTTACTGAGAACTCTTCTTAGTCTAGCATGAAAGGAAGAAACCCCGTTTGCAACGAAGGCCTCAAAGAGGTCCAAATATCCACTTGCAGACATAACAAGCATAGTGTTTCTAAACTGCTCTAAGAACAGAAAGGTTAAACTCTGTGATTTGAAGGCACACATCACAAAGTAGTTTCTGAGAATGATTCTGTCTAGTTTTTATTTGAAGATATTTCCTTTTCTACTGTTGGCATCAAATCGCTTGAAATCTCCACTTGCAAACTCCACAAAAAGAGTGTTTCAAATCTGCTCTGTGCAAAGGGACGTTCCACTCTGTGAGTTGAATACACACAGCACAAAGAAGTTACTGAGAATTCTTCTGTCTAGCATGAAATGAAGAAATCCCGTTTCCAACGAAGGCCTCAATGCGGTCCATATATCCACTTGCAGACTTTACAAACAGAGTGTTTCCAAACTGCTCTATGAAAAGAAAGGTTAAACTATGTGAGTTGAACGCACACATCACAAAGAATTTTCTGAGAATGATTCTGTCTGGTTTTTATTTGAAGATATTTCCCTTTCTACTGTTGGCATCAAATGGCTAGAAATCTCCACTTGCAAATTCCGCAAAAAGAGTGTTTCAAATCTGCTCTGTCTAAAGGGACGTTCCACTCTGTGAGTTGAATGCACACAACACAAAGAATTTACTGAGAATTCTTCCGTCTAGCATTCAATGAAGAAATCCCGTTTCCAACGAAGGCCTCAAACAGGTCCATATATCCAATTGCAGACTTTACAAACAGTGTGTTTCCAAACTCCTTTATGAAAAGAAAGGTTAACTCTGTGAGTTGAATGCACACATCACAAAGCACTTTCTGATAATGATTCTGTCTAGTTTTTGTTTGCAGATATTTCCTTTTCTACTGTTGGCATCAAATCGCTTGAAATCTCCACTTGCAAATTACACAAAAAGAGTGTTTCAAATCTGCTCTGTGTAAAGGGACGTTCCAATCTGTGAGTTGAATACACACAACACAAAGAAGTTACTGAGAATTCTTCTGTCAAGCATGAAATGAAGAAATCCCGTTTCCAACGAAGGCCTCAAAGCGGTCCATATATCCACTTGCAGACATTACCAACAGAGTGTTCCCAAACTGCTCTATGAAAAGAAAGGTTAAACTATGTGAGTTGAACGCACACATCACAAAGAATTTTCTGAGAATGATCTGTCTGGTTTTTATTTGAAGATATTTCCCTTTCTACTGTTGGCATCAAATGGCTAGAAATCTCCACTTGCAAATTCCGCAAAAAGAGTGTTTCAAATCTGCTCTGTCTAAAGGGACGTTCCACTCTGTGAGTTGAATGCACACAACACAAAGAATTTACTGAGAATTCTTCCGTCTAGCATTCAATGAAGAAATCCCGTTTCCAAAGAAGGCCTCAAACAGGTCCATATATCCAATTGCAGACTTTACAAACAGTGTGTTTCCAAACTCCTCTATGAAAAGAAAGGTTAAACTCTGTGAGTTGAACGCACACATCACAAAGCACTTTCTGAGAATGATTCTGTCTGGTTATTATACGAAGATATTTCCTTTTCTGCAATTGTCCTCAAATCGCTTGAAATCTCCACCTGAAAATGCCACAGCAAGAGTGTTTCAAATCTGCTCTCTCTAAAGCAAGGTTCAACTCTGTGAGTTGAATACACACAACACAAAAAAGTTACTGAGAACTCTTCTTAGTCTAGCATGAAAGGAAGAAACCCCGTTTGCAACGAAGGCCTCAAAGAGGTCCAAATATCCACTTGCAGACATAACAAGCAGAGTGTTTCTAAACTGCTCTAAGAAAAGAAAGGTTAAACTCTGTGAGTTGAAGGCACACATCACAAAGTAGTTTTTGAGAATGATTCTGTCTAGTTTTTATTTGAAGATATTTCCTTTTCTACTGTTGGCATCAAATCGCTTGAAATCTCCACTTGCAAACTCCACAAAAAGAGTGTTTCAAATCCGCTCTGTGCAAAGGGACGTTCCACTCTGTGAGTTGAATACACACAGCACAAAGAAGTTACTGAGAATTCTTCTGTCTAGCATGAAATGAAGAAATCCCGTTTCCAACGAAGGCCTCAATGCGGTCCATATATCCACTTGCAGACTTTACAAACAGAGTGTTTCCAAACTGCTCTATGAAAAGAAAGGTTAAACTATGTGAGTTGAACGCACACATCACAAAGAATTTTCTGAGAATGATTCTGTCTGGTTTTTATTTGAAGATATTTCCCTTTCTACTGTTGGCATCAAATGGCTAGAAATCTCCACTTGCAAATTCCGCAAAAAGAGTGTTTCAAATCTGCTCTGTCTAAAGGGACGTTCCACTCTGTGAGTTGAATGCACACAACACAAAGAATTTACTGAGAATTCTTCCGTCTAGCATTCAATGAAGAAATCCCGTTTCCAACGAAGGCCTCAAACAGGTCCATATATCCACTTGCAGACTTTACAAACAGTGTGTTTCCAAACTCCTCTATGAAAAGAAAGGTTAAACTCTGTGAGTGGAACGCACACATCACAAAGCACTTTCTGAGAATGATTCTGTCTGGTTATTATACGAAGATATTCCCTTTTCTGCAATTTTCCTCAAATCGCTTGAAATCTCCACCTGAAAATGCCACAGCAAGAGTGTTTCAAATCTGCTCTCTCTAAAGCAAGGTTCAACTCTGTGATTTGAATACACACAGCACAAAGAAGTTACTGAGAATTCTTCTGTCTAGCATGAAATGAAGAAATCCCGTTTCCAACGAAGGCCTCAATGCGGTCCATATATCCACTTGCAGACTTTACAAACAGAGTGTTTCCAAACTGCTCTATGAAAAGAAAGGTTAAACTATGTGAGTTGAACGCACACATCACAAAGAATTTTCTGAGAATGATTCTGTCTGGTTTTTATTTGAAGATATTTCCCTTTCTACTGTTGGCATCAAAGGGCTAAAAATCTCCACTTGCAAATTCCGCCAAAAAGTGTTTCAAATCTGCTCTGTCTAAAGGGACGTTCCACTCTGTGAGTTCAATGCACACAACACAAAGAATTTACTGAGAATTCTTCCGTCTAGCATTCAATGAAGAAATCCCGTTTCCAACGGAGGCCTCAAACAGGTCCATATATCCAATTGCAGACATTACAAACAGTGTGTTTCCAAGCTCCTCTATGAAAAGAAAGGTTAAACTCTGTGAGTTGAACGCACACATCACAACGCACTTTCTGAGAATGATTCTGTCTGGTTATTATACGAAGATATTTCCTTTTCTGCAATTGTCCTCAAATCGCTTGAAATCTCCACCTGAAAATGCCACAGCAAGAGTGTTTCAAATCTGCTCTCTCTAAAGCAAGGTTCAACTCTGTGAGTTGAATACACACAACACAAAAAAGTTACTGAGAACTCTTCTTAGTCTAGCATTAAACGAAGAAACCCCGTTTGCAACGAAGGCCTCAAAGAGGTCCCAATATCCACTTGCAGACATAACAAGCAGAGTGTTTCTAAACTGCTCTAAGAAAAGAAAGGTTAAACTCTGTGAGTTGAAGGCACACATCACAAAGTAGTTTCTGAGAATGATTCTGTCTAGTTTTTATTTGAAGATATTTCCTTTTCTACTGTTGGCATCAAATCGCTTGAAATCTCCACTTGCAAAATCCACAAAAAGAGTGTTTCAAATCTGCTCTGTGCAAAGGGACGTTCCACTCTGTGAGTTGAATACACACAGCACAAAGAAGTTACTGAGAATTCTTCTGTCTAGCATGAAATGAAGAAATCCCGTTTCCAACGAAGGCCTCAATGCGGTCCATATATCCACTTGCAGACTTTACAAACAGAGTGTTTCCAAACTGCTCTATGAAAAGAAAGGTTAAACTATGTGAGTTGAACGCACACATCACAAAGAATTTTCTGAGAATGATTCTGTCTGGTTTTTATTTGAAGATATTTCCCTTTCTACTGTTGGCATCAAATGGCAAGAAATCTCCACTTGCAAATTCCGCAAAAAGGGTGTTTCAAATCTGCTCTGTCTGAAGGGACGTTCCACTCTGTGAGTTGAATGCACACAACACAAAGAATTTACTGAGAATTCTTCCGTCTAGCATTCAATGAAGAAATCCCGTTTCCAACGAAGGCCTCAAACAGGTCCATATATCCAATTGCAGACTTTACAAACAGTGTGTTTCCAAACTCCTCTATGAAAAGAAAGGTTAAACTCTGTGAGTTGAAGGCACACATCACGAAGCACTTTCTGAGAATGATTCTGTCTGGTTATTATACGAAGATATTTCCTTTTCTGCAATTGTCCTCAAATCGCTTGAAATCTCCACCTGAAAATGCCACAGCAAGAGTGTTTCAAATCTGCTCTCTCTAAAGCAAGGTTCAACTCTGTGAGTTGAATACACACAACACAAAAAAGTTACTGAGAACTCTTCTTAGTCTAGCATGAAAGGAAGAAACCCCGTTTGCAACGAAGGCCTCAAAGAGGTCCAAATATCCACTTGCAGACATAACAAGCAGAGTGTTTCTAAACTGCTCTAAGAAAAGAAAGGTTAAACTCTGTGAGTTGAAGGCACACATCACAAAGTAGTTTCTGAGAATGATTCTGTCTAGTTTTTATTTGAAGATATTTCCTTTTCTACTGTTGGCATCAAATCGCTTGAAATCTCCACTTGCAAACTCCACAAAAAGAGTGTTTCAAATCTGCTCTGTGTAAAGGGACGTTCCACTCTGTGAGTTGAATACACACAGCACAAAGAAGTTACTGAGAATTCTTCTGTCTAGCATGAAATGAAGAAATCCCGTTTCCAACGAAGGCCTCAATGCGGTCCATATATCCACTTGCAGACTTTACAAACAGAGTGTTTCCAAACTGCTCTATGAAAAGAAAGGTTAAACTATGTGAGTTGAACGCACACATCACAAAGAATTTTCTGAGAATGATTCTGTCTGGTTTTTATTTGAAGATATTTCCCTTTCTACTGTTGGCATCAAATGGCTAGAAATCTCCACTTGCAAATTCCGCAAAAAGAGTGTTTCAAATCTGCTCTGTCTAAAGGGACGTTCCACTCTGTCAGTTGAATGCACACAACACAAAGAATTTACTGAGAATTCTTCCGTCTAGCATTCAATGAAGAAATCCCGTTTCCAACGAAGGCCTCAAACAGGTCCATATATCCAATTGCAGACTTTACAAACAGTGTGTTTCCAAACTCCTCTATGAAAAGAAAGGTTAAACTCTGTGAGTGGAACGCACACATCACAAAGCACTTTCTGAGAATGATTCTGTCTGGTTGTTATACGAAGATATTTCCTTTTCTGCAATTGTCCTCAAATCGCTTGAAATCTCCACCTGAAAATGCCACAGCAAGAGTGTTTCAAATCTGCTCTCTCTAAAGCAACGTTCAACTCTGTGAGTTGAATACACACAACACAAAAAAGTTACTGAGAACTCTTCTTAGTCTAGCATGAAAGGAAGAAACCCCGTTTGCAACGAAGGCCTCAAAGAGGTCCAAATATCCACTTGCAGACATAACAAGCAGAGTGTTTCTAAACTGCTCTAAGAAAAGAAAGGTTAAACTCTGTGAGTTGAAGGCACACATCACAAAGTAGTTTCTGAGAATGATTCTGTCTAGTTTTTATTTGAAGATATTTCCTTTTCTACTGTTGGCATCAAATCGCTTGAAATCTCCACTTGCAAACTCCACAAAAAGAGTGTTTCAAATCTGCTCTGTGTAAAGGGACGTTCCACTCTGTGAGTTGAATACACACAGCACAAAGAAGTTACTGAGAATTCTTCTGTCTAGCATGAAATGAAGAAATCCCGTTTCCAACGAAGGCCTCAATGCGGTCCATATATCCACTTGCAGACTTTACAAACAGAGTGTTTCCAAACTGCTCTATGAAAAGAAAGGTTAAACTATGTGAGTTGAACGCACACATCACAAAGAATTTTCTGAGAATGATTCTGTCTGGTTTTTATTTGAAGATATTTCCCTTTCTACTGTTGGCATCAAATGGCTAGAAATCTCCACTTGCAAATTCCGCAAAAAGAGTGTTTCAAATCTGCTCTGTCTAAAGGGACGTTCCACTCTGTCAGTTGAATGCACACAACACAAAGAATTTACTGAGAATTCTTCCGTCTAGCATTCAATGAAGAAATCCCGTTTCCAACGAAGGCCTCAAACAGGTCCATATATCCAATTGCAGACTTTACAAACAGTGTGTTTCCAAACTCCTCTATGAAAAGAAAGGTTAAACTCTGTGAGTTGAACGCACACATCACAAAGCACTTTCTGAGAATGATTCTGTCTGGTTATTATACGAAGATATTTCCTTTTCTGCAATTGTCCTCAAAACGCTTGAAATCTCCACCTGAAAATGCCACAGCAAGAGTGTTTCAAATCTGCTCTCTCTAAAGCAAGGTTCAACTCTGTGAGTTGAATACACACAACACAAAAAAGTTACTGAGAACTCTTCTTAGTCTAGCATGAAAGGAAGAAACCCCGTTTGCAACGAAGGCCTCAAAGAGGTCCAAATATCCACTTGCAGACATAACAAGCAGAGTGTTTCTAAACTGCTCTAAGAAAAGAAAGGTTGAACTCTGTGAGTTGAAGGCACACATCACAAAGTAGTTTCTGAGAATGATTCTGTCTAGTTTTTATTTGAAGATATTTCCTTTTCTACTGTTGGCATCAAATCGCTTGAAATCTCCACTTGCAAATTCCACAAAAAGAGTGTTTCAAATCTGCTCTGTGCAAAGGGACGTTCCACTCTGTGAGTTGAATACACACAGCACAAAGAAGTTACTGAGAATTCTTCTGTCTAGCATGAAATGAAGAAATCCCGTTTCCAACGAAGGCCTCAATGCGGTCCATATATCCACTTGCAGACTTTACAAACAGAGTGTTTCCAAACTGCTCTATGAAAAGAAAGGTTAAACTATGTGAGTTGAACGCACACATCACAAAGAATTTTCTGAGAATGATTCTGTCTGGTTTTTATTTGAAGATATTTCCCTTTCTACTGTTGGCATCAAATGGCTAGAAATCTCCACTTGCAAATTCCGCAAAAAGAGTGTTTCAAATCTGCTCTGTCTAAAGGGACGTTCCACTCTGTGAGTTGAATGCACACAACACAAAGAATTTACTGAGAATTCTTCCGTCTAGCATTCAATGAAGAAATCCCGTTTCCAACGGAGGCCTCAAACAGGTCCATATATCCAATTGCAGACTTTACAAACAGTGTGTTTCCAAGCTCCTCTATGAAAAGAAAGGTTAAACTCTGTGAGTTGAACGCACACATCACAAAGCACTTTCTGAGAATGATTCTGTCTGGTTATTATACGAAGATATTTCCTTTTCTGCAATTGTCCTCAAATCGCTTGAAATCTCCACCTGAAAATGCCACAGCAAGAGTGTTTCAAATCTGCTCTCTCTGAAGCAAGGTTCAACTCTGTGAGTTGAATACACACAACACAAAAAAGTTACTGAGAACTCTTCTTAGTCTAGCATGAAAGGAAGAAACCCCGTTTGCAACGAAGGCCTCAAAGAGGTCCAAATATCCACTTGCAGACATAACAAGCAGAGTGTTTCTAAACTGCTCTAAGAAAAGAAAGGTTAAACTCTGTGAGTTGAAGGCACACATCACAAAGTAGTTTCTGAGAATGATTCTGTCTAGTTTTTATTTGAAGATATTTCCTTTTCTACTGTTGGCATCAAATCGCTTGAAATCTCCACTTGCAAACTCCACAAAAAGAGTGTTTCAAATCTGCTCTGTGCAAAGGGACGTTCCACTCTGTGAGTTGAATACACACAGCACAAAGAAGTTACTGAGAATTCTTCTGTCTAGCATGAAATGAAGAAATCCCGTTTCCAACGAAGGCCTCAATGCGGTCCATATATCCACTTGCAGACTTTACAAACAGAGTGTTTCCAAACTGCTCTATGAAAAGAAAGGTTAAACTATGTGAGTTGAACGCACACATCACAAAGAATTTTCTGAGAATGATTCTGTCTGGTTTTTATTTGAAGATATTTCCCTTTCTACTGTTGGCATCAAATGGCTAGAAATCTCCACTTGCAAATTCCGCAAAAAGAGTGTTTCAAATCTGCTCTGTCTAAAGGGACGTTCCACTCTGTGAGTTGAATGCACACAACACAAAGAATTTACTGAGAATTCTTCCGTCTAGCATTCAATGAAGAAATCCCGTTTCCAACGAAGGCCTCAAACAGGTCCATATATCCAATTGCAGACTTTACAAACAGTGTGTTTCCAAACTCCTCTATGAAAAGAAAGGTTAAACTCTGTGAGTTGAACGCACACATCACAAAGCACTTTCTGTGAATGATTTCTGTCTGGTTTTTATTTGAAGATATTTCCTTTTCTGCAATTGTCCTCAAATCGCTTGAAATCTCCACCTGAAAATGCCACAGCAAGAGTGTTTCAAATCTGCTCTCTCTAAAGCAAGGTTCAACTCTGTGAGTTGAATACACACAACACAAAAAAGTTACTGAGAACTCTTCTTAGTCTAGCATGAAAGGAAGAAACCCCGTTTGCAACGAAGGCCTCAAAGAGGTCCAAATATCCACTTGCAGACATAACAAGCAGAGTGTTTCTAAACTGCTCTAAGAAAAGAAAGGTTAAACTCTGTGAGTTGAAGGCACACATCACAAAGTAGTTTCTGAGAATGATTCTGTCTAGTTTTTATTTGAAGATATTTCCTTTTCTACTGTTGGCATCAAATCGCTTGAAATCTCCACTTGCAAACTCCACAAAAAGAGTGTTTCAAATCTGCTCTGTGTAAAGGGACGTTCCACTCTGTGAGTTGAATACACACAGCACAAAGAAGTTACTGAGAATTCTTCTGTCTAACATGAAATGAAGAAATCCCGTTTCCAACGAAGGCCTCAATGCGGTCCATATATCCACTTGCAGACTTTACAAACAGAGTGTTTCCAAACTGCTCTATGAAAAGAAAGGTTAAACTATGTGAGTTGAACGCACACATCACAAAGAATTTTCTGAGAATGATTCTGTCTGGTTTTTATTTGAAGATATTTCCCTTTCTACTGTTGGCATCAAATGGCTAGAAATCTCCACTTGCAAATTCCGCAAAAAGAGTGTTTCAAATCTGCTCTGTCTAAAGGGACGTTCCACTCTGTGAGTTGAATGCACACAACACAAAGAATTTACTGAGAATTCTTCCGTCTAGCATTCAATGAAGAAATCCCGTTTCCAACGAAGGCCTCAAAGAGGTCCATATATCCACTTGCAGACTTTACAAACAGAGTGTTTCCAAACTGCTCTATGAAAAGAAAGGTTAAACTATGTGAGTTGAACGCACACATCACAAAGAATTTTCTGAGAATGATTCTGTCTAGTTTTTATTTGAAGATATTTCTCTTTTTACTGTTGGCATCAAATGGCTTGAAATCTCCACTTCCAAATTTCGCAAAAAGAGTGTTTCAAATCTGCTCTGCCTAAAGGGACGTTCCACTCGGTGAGTTGAATGCACACAACACAAAGAATTTACTGAGAATTCTTCTGTCTAGCATGAAATGAAGAAATCCCGTTTCCAACGAATGCCTCAAAGCGGTCAATATATCCACTTGCAGATTTTACAAACAGTGGGTTTCGAAACTGCTCTATGAAAAGAAAGGTTAAACTATGTGAGCTGAATGCACACATCACAAAGAATTTTCTGAGAATGATTCTGTCTAGTTTTTATTTGAAGATATTTCCTTTTCAACTGTTGGCAACAAATCGCTTGAAATCTCCACTTGCAAATTCCACAAAAAGAGTGTTTCAAATCTGCTCTGTGTAAAGGGACGTTCCAATCTGTGAGTTGAATACACACAACACAAAGAAGTTACTGAGAATTCTTCTGTCTAGCATGAAATGAAGAAATCCCGTTTCCAACGAAGGCCTCAAAGCGGTCCATATATCCACTTGCAGACATTACCAACAGAGTGTTCCCAAACTGCTCTATGAAAAGAAAGGTTAAACTATGTGAGTTGAACGCACACATCACAAAGAATTTTCTGAGAATGATTCTGTCTGGTTTTTATTTGAAGATATTTCCCTTTCTACTGTTGGCATCAAATGGCTAGAAATCTCCACTTGCAAATTCCGCAAAAAGAGTGTTTCAAATCTGCTCTGTCTAAAGGGACGTTCCACTCTGTGAGTTGAATGCACACAACACAAAGAATTTACTGAGAATTCTTCCGTCTAGCATTCAATGAAGAAATCCCGTTTCCAACGAAGGCCTCAAACAGGTCCATATATCCACTTGCAGACTTTACGAACAGTGTGTTTCCAAACTCCTCTATGAAAAGAAAGGTTAAACTCTGTGAGTGGAACGCACACATCACAAAGCACTTTCTGAGAATGATTCTGTCTGGTTATTATACGAAGATATTTCCTTTTCTGCAATTGTCCTCAAATCGCTTGAAATCTCCACCTGAAAATGCCACAGCAAGAGTGTTTCAAATCTGCTCTCTCTAAAGCAAGGTTCAACTCTGTGAGTTGAATACACACAACACAAAAAAGTTACTGAGAACTCTTCTTAGTCTAGCATGAAAGGAAGAAACCCCGTTTGCAACGAAGGCCTCAAAGAGGTCCAAATATCCACTTGCAGACATAACAAGCAGAGTGTTTCTAAACTGCTCTAAGAAAAGAAAGGTTAAACTCTGTGAGTTGAAGGCACACATCACAAAGTAGTTTCTGAGAATGATTCTGTCTAGTTTTTATTTGAAGATATTTCCTTTTCTACTGTTGGCATCAAATCGCTTGAAATCTCCACTTGCAAATTCCACAAAAAGAGTGTTTCAAATCTGCTCTGTGCAAAGGGACGTTCCACTCTGTGAGTTGAATACACACAGCACAAAGAAGTTACTGAGAATTCTTCTGGCTAGCATGAAATGAAGAAATCCCGTTTCCAACGAAGGCCTCAATGAGGTCCATATATCCACTTGCAGACTTTACAAACAGAGTGTTTCCAAACTGCTCTATGAAAAGAAAGGTTAAATTATGTGAGTTGAACGCACACATCACAAAGAATTTTCTGAGAATGATTATCTGTCTGGTTTTTATTTGAAGATATTTCCCTTTCTACTGTTGGCATCAAATGGCTAGAAATCTCCACTTGCAAATTCCGCAAAAAGAGTGTTTCAAATCTGCTCTGTCTAAAGGGACGTTCCACTCTGTGAGTTGAATGCACACAACACAAAGAATTTACTGAGAATTCTTCCGTCTAGCATTCAATGAAGAAATCCCGTTTCCAAAGAAGGCCTCAAACAGGTCCATATATCCAATTGCAGACTTTACAAACAGTGTGTTTCCAAACTCCTCTATGAAAAGAAAGGTTAAACTCTGTGAGTTGAACGCACACATCACAAAGCACTTTCTGAGAATGATTCTGTCTGGTTATTATACGAAGATATTTCCTTTTCTGCAATTGTCCTCAAATCGCTTGAAATCTCCACCTGAAAATGCCACAGCAAGAGTGTTTCAAATCTGCTCTCTCTAAAGCAAGGTTCAACTCTGTGAGTTGAATACACACAACACAAAAAAGTTACTGAGAACTCTTCTTAGTCTAGCATGAAAGGAAGAAACCCCGTTTGCAACGAAGGCCTCAAAGAGGTCCAAATATCCACTTGCAGACATAACAAGCAGAGTGTTTCTAAACTGCTCTAAGAAAAGAAAGGTTAAACTCTGTGAGTTGAAGGCACACATCACAAAGTAGTTTCTGAGAATGATTCTGTCTAGTTTTTATTTGAAGATATTTCCTTTTCTACTGTTGGCATCAAATCGCTTGAAATCTCCACTTGCAAACTCCACAAAAAGAGTGTTTCAAATCTGCTCTGTGTAAAGGGACGTTCCACTCTGTGAGTTGAATACACACAGCACAAAGAAGGTACTGAGAATTCTTCTGTCTAGCATGAAATGAAGAAATCCCGTTTCCAACGAAGGCCTCAATGCGGTCCATATATCCACTTGCAGACTTTACAAACAGAGTGTTTCCAAACTGCTCTATGAAAAGAAAGGTTAAACTATGTGAGTTGAACGCACACATCACAAAGAATTTTCTGAGAATGATTCTGTCTGGTTTTTATTTGAAGATATTTCCCTTTCTACTGTTGGCATCAAATGGCTAGAAATCTCCACTTGCAAATTCCGCAAAAAGAGTGTTTCAAATCTGCTCTGTCTAAAGGGACGTTCCACTCTGTGAGTTGAATGCACACAACACAAAGAATTTACTGAGAATTCTTCCGTCTAGCATTCAATGAAGAAATCCCGTTTCCAACGAAGGCCTCAAACAGGTCCATATATCCACTTGCAGACTTTACAAACAGTGTGTTTCCAAACTCCTCTATGAAAAGAAAGGTTAAACTCTGTGAGTGGAACGCACACATCACAAAGCACTTTCTGAGAATGATTCTGTCTGGTTGTTATACGAAGATATTTCCTTTTCTGCAATTGTCCTCAAATCGCTTGAAATCTCCACCTGAAAATGTCACAGCAAGAGTGTTTCAAATCTGCTCTCTCTAAAGCAAGGTTCAACTCTGTGAGTTGAATACACACAACACAAAAAAGTTACTGAGAACTCTTCTTAGTCTAGCATGAAAGGAAGAAACCCCGTTTGCAACGAAGGCCTCAAAGAGGTCCAAATATCCACTTGCAGACATAACAAGCAGAGTGTTTCTAAACTGCTCTAAGAAAAGAAAGGTTAAACTCTGTGAGTTGAAGGCACACATCACAAAGTAGTTTCTGAGAATGATTCTGTCTAGTTTTTATTTGAAGATATTTCCTTTTCTACTGTTGGCATCAAATCGCTTGAAATCTCCACTTGCAAACTCCACAAAAAGAGTGTTTCAAATCTGCTCTGTGCAAAGGGACGTTCCACTCTGTGAGTTGAATACACACAGCACAAAGAAGTTACTGAGAATTCTTCTGTCTAGCATGAAATGAAGAAATCCCGTTTCCAACGAAGGCCTCAATGCGGTCCATATATCCACTTGCAGACTTTACAAACAGAGTGTTTCCAAACTGCTCTATGAAAAGAAAGGTTAAACTATGTGAGTTGAACGCACACATCACAAAGAATTTTCTGAGAATGATTCTGTCTGGTTTTTATTTGAAGATATTTCCCTTTCTACTGTTGGCATCAAATGGCTAGAAATCTCCACTTGCAAATTCCGCAAAAAGAGTGTTTCAAATCTGCTCTGTCTAAAGGGACGTTCCACTCTGTGAGTTGAATGCACACAACACAAAGAATTTACTGAGAATTCTTCCGTCTAGCATGTCAAATGAAGAAATCCCGTTTCCAACGAAGGCCTCAAACAGGTCCATATATCCAATTGCAGACTTTACAAACAGTGTGTTTCCAAAATCCTCTATGAAAAGAAAGGTTAAACTCTGTGAGTTGAACGCACACATCACAAAGCACTTTCTGAGAATGATTCTGTCTGGTTGTTATACGAAGATATTTCCTTTTCTGCAATTGTCCTCAAATCGCTTGAAATCTCCACCTGAAAATGCCACAGCAAGAGTGTTTCAAATCTGCTCTCTCTAAAGCAAGGTTCAACTCTGTGAGTTGAATACACACAACACAAAAAAGTTACTGAGAACTCTTCTTAGTCTAGCATGAAAGGAAGAAACCCCGTTTGCAACGAAGGCCTCAAAGAGGTCCAAATATCCACTTGCAGACATAACAAGCAGAGTGTTTCTAAACTGCTCTAAGAAAAGAAAGGTTAAACTATGTGAGTTGAACGCACACATCACAAAGAATTTTCTGAGAATGATTCTGTCTAGTTTTTATTTGAAGATATTTCCTTTTCTACTGTTGGCATCAAATCGCTTGAAATCTCCACTTGCAAACTCCACAAAAAGAGTGTTTAAAATCTGCTCTGTGCAAAGGGACGTTCCACTCTGTGAGTTGAATACACACAGCACAAAGAAGTTACTGAGAATTCTTCTGTCTAGCATGAAATGAAGAAATCCCGTTTCCAACGAAGACCTCAATGCGGTCCATATATCCACTTGCAGACTTTACAAACAGAGTGTTTCCAAACTGCTCTATGAAAAGAAAGGTTAAACTATGTGAGTTGAACGCACACATCACAAAGAATTTTCTGAGAATGATTCTGTCTGGTTTTTATTTGAAGATATTTCCCTTTCTACTGTTGGCATCAAATGGCTAGAAATCTCCACTTGCAAATTCCGCAAAAAGAGTGTTTCAAATCTGCTCTGTCTAAAGGGACGTTCCACTCTGTGAGTTGAATGCACACAACACAAAGAATTTACTGAGAATTCTTCCGTCTAGCATTCAATGAAGAAATCCCGTTTCCAAAGAAGGCCTCAAACAGGTCCATATATCCAATTGCAGACTTTACAAACAGTGTGTTTCCAAACTCCTCTATGAAAAGAAAGGTTAAACTCTGTGAGTTGAACGCACACATCACAAAGCACTTTCTGAGAATGATTCTGTCTGGTTATTATACGAAGATATTTCCTTTTCTGCAATTGTCCTCAAATCGCTTGAAATCTCCACCTGAAAATGCCACAGCAAGAGTGTTTCAAATCTGCTCTCTCTAAAGCAAGGTTCAACTCTGTGAGTTGAATACACACAACACAAAAAAGTTACTGAGAACTCTTCTTAGTCTAGCATTAAAGGAAGAAACCCTGTTTGCAACGAAGGCCTCAAAGAGGTCCAAATATCCACTTGCAGACATAACAAGCAGAGTGTTTCTAAACTGCTCTAAGAAAAGAAAGGTTAAACTCTGTGAGTTGAAGGCACACATCACAAAGTAGTTTCTGAGAATGATTCTGTCTAGTTTTTATTTGAAGATATTTCCTTTCCTACTGTTGGCATCAAATCGCTTGAAATCTCCACTTGCAAACTCCACAAAAAGAGTGTTTCAAATCTGCTCTGTGCAAAGGGACGTTCCACTCTGTGAGTTGAATACACACAGCACAAGGAAGTTACTGAGAATTCTTCTGTCTAGCATGAAATGAAGAAATCCCGTTTCCAACGAAGGCCTCAATGCGGTCCATATATCCACTTGCAGACTTTACAAACAGAGTGTTTCCAAACTGCTCTATGAAAAGAAAGGTTAAACTATGTGAGTTGAACGCACACATCACAAAGAATTTTCTGAGAATGATTCTGTCTGGTTTTTATTTGAAGATATTTCCCTTTCTACTGTTGGCATCAAATGGCTAGAAATCTCCACTTGCAAATTCCGCAAAAAGAGTGTTTCAAATCTGCTCTGTCTAAAGGGACGTTCCACTCTGTGAGTTGAATGCACACAACACAAAGAATTTACTGAGAATTCTTCCGTCTAGCATTCAATGAAGAAATCCCGTTTCCAACGAAGGCCTCAAACAGGTCCATATATCCACTTGCAGACTTTACAAACAGTGTGTTTCCAAACTCCTCTATGAAAAGAAAGGTTAAACTCTGTGAGTGGAACGCACACATCACAAAGCACTTTCTGAGAATGATTCTGTCTGGTTATTATACGAAGATATTTCCTTTTCTGCAATTGTCCTCAAATCGCTTGAAATCTCCACCTGAAAATGCCACAGCAAGAGTGTTTCAAATCTGCTCTCTCTAAAGCAAGGTTCAACTCTGTGAGTTGAATACACACAACACAAAAAAGTTACTGAGAACTCTTCTTAGTCTAGCATGAAAGGAAGAAACCCCGTTTGCAACGAAGGCCTCAAAGAGGTCCAAATATCCACTTGCAGACATAACAAGCAGAGTATTTCTAAACTGCTCTAAGAAAAGAAAGGTTAAACTCTGTGAGTTGAAGGCACACATCACAAAGTAGTTTCTGAGAATGATTCTGTCTAGTTTTTATTTGAAGATATTTCCTTTTCTACTGTTGGCATCAAATCGCTTGAAATCTCCACTTGCAAACTCCACAAAAAGAGTGTTTCAAATCTGCTCTGTGCAAAGGGACGTTCCACTCTGTGAGTTGAATACACACAGCACAAAGAAGTTACTGAGAATTCTTCTGTCTAGCATGAAATGAAGAAATCCCGTTTCCAACGAAGGCCTCAATGCGGTCCATATATCCACTTGCAGACTTTACAAACAGAGTGTTTCCAAACTGCTCTATGAAAAGAAAGGTTAAACTATGTGAGTTGAACGCACACATCACAAAGAATTTTCTGAGAATGATTCTGTCTGGTTTTTATTTGAAGATATTTCCCTTTCTACTGTTGGCATCAAATGGCTAGAAATCTCCACTTGCAAATTCCGCAAAAAGAGTGTTTCAAATCTGCTCTGTCTAAAGGGACGTTCCACTCTGTGAGTTGAATGCACACAACACAAAGAATTTACTGAGAATTCTTCCGTCTAGCATTCAATGAAGAAATCCCGTTTCCAACGAAGGCCTCAAACAGGTCCATATATCCAATTGCAGACTTTACAAACAGTGTGTTTCCAAACTCCTCTATGAAAAGAAAGGTTAAACTCTGTGAGTTGAACGCACACATCAGAAAGCACTCTCTGAGAATGATTCTGTCTGGTTGTTATACGAAGATATTTCCTTTTCTGCAATTGTCCTCAAATCGCTTGAAATCTCCACCTGAAAATGCCACAGCAAGAGTGTTTCAAATCTGCTCTCTCTAAAGCAAGGTTCAACTCTGTGAGTTGAATACACACAACACAAAAAAGTTACTGAGAACTCTTCTTAGTCTAGCATGAAAGGAAGAAACCCCGTTTGCAACGAAGGCCTCAAAGAGGTCCAAATATCCACTTGCAGACATAACAAGCAGAGTGTTTCTAAACTGCTCTAAGAAAAGAAAGGTTAAACTCTGTGAGTTGAAGGCACACATCACAAAGTAGTTTCTGAGAATGATTCTGTCTAGTTTTTATTTGAAGATATTTCCTTTTCTACTGTTGGCATCAAATCGCTTGAAATCTCCACTTGCAAACTCCACAAAAAGAGTGTTTCAAATCTGCTCTGTGTAAAGGGACGTTCCACTCTGTGAGTTGAATACACACAGCACAAAGAAGTTACTGAGAATTCTTCTGTCTAGCATGAAATGAAGAAATCCCGTTTCCAACGAAGGCCTCAATGCGGTCCATATATCCACTTGCAGACTTTACAAACAGAGTGTTTCCAAACTGCTCTATGAAAAGAAAGGTTAAACTATGTGAGTTGAACGCACACATCACAAAGAATTTTCTGAGAATGATTCTGTCTGGTTTTTATTTGAAGATATTTCCCTTTCTACTGTTGGCATCAAATGGCTTGAAATCTCCACTTGCAAATTCCGCCAAAAAGTGTTTCAAATCTGCTCTGTCTAAAGGGACGTTCCACTCTGTGAGTTGAATGCACACAACACAAAGAATTTACTGAGAATTCTTCCGTCTAGCATTCAATGAAGAAATCCCGTTTCCAACGAAGGCCTCAAACAGGTCCATATATCCAATTGCAGACATTACAAACAGTGTGTTTCCAAACTCCTCTATGAAAAGAAAGGTTAAACTCTGTGAGTTGAACGCACACATCACAAAGCACTTTCTGAGAATGATTCTGTCTGGTTATTATACGAAGATATTTCCTTTTCTGCAATTGTCCTCAAATCGCTTGAAATCTCCACCTGAAAATTCCACAGCGAGTGTGTTTCAAATCTGCTCTCTCTAAAGCAAGGTTCAACTCTGTGAGTTGAATACACACAACACAAAAAAGTTACTGAGAACTCTTCTTAGTCTAGCATGAAAGGAAGAAACCCCATTTGCAACGAAGGCCTCAAAGAGGTCCAAATATCCACTTGCAGACATAACAAGCAGAGTGTTTCTAAACTGCTCTAAGAAAAGAAAGGTTAAACTCTGTGAGTTGAAGGCACACATCACAAAGTAGTTTCTGAGAATGATTCTGTCTAGTTTTTATTTGAAGATATTTCCTTTTCTACTGTTGGCATCAAATCGCTTGAAATCTCCACTTGCAAATTCCACAAAAAGAGTGTTTCAAATCTGCTCTGTGCAAAGGGACGTTCCACTCTGTGAGTTGAATACACACAGCACAAAGAAGTTACTGAGAATTCTTCTGTCTAGCATGAAATGAAGAAATCCCGTTTCCAACGAAGGCCTCAATGCGGTCCATATATCCACTTGCAGACTTTACAAACAGAGTGTTTCCAAACTGCTCTATGAAAAGAAAGGTTAAACTATGTGAGATGAACGCACACATCACAAAGAATTTTCTGAGAATGATTCTGTCTGGTTTTTATTTGAATGATATTTCCCTTTCTACTGTTGGCATCAAATGGCTAGAAATCTCCACTTGCAAATTCCGCAAAAAGAGTGTTTCAAATCTGCTCTGTCTAAAGGGACGTTCCACTCTGTCAGTTGAATGCACACAACACAAAGAATTTACTGAGAATTCTTCCGTCTAGCATTCAATGAAGAAATCCCGTTTCCAACGAAGGCCTCAAACAGGTCCATATATCCACTTGCAGAGTTTACAAACAGTGTGTTTCCAAACTCCTCTATGAAAAGAAAGGTTAAACTCTGTGAGTGGAACGCACACATCACAAAGCACTTTCTGAGAATGATTCTGTCTGGTTATTATACGAAGATATTTCCTTTTCTGCAATTGTCCTCAAATCGCTTGAAATCTCCACCTGAAAATGCCACAGCAAGAGTGTTTCAAATCTGCTCTCTCTAAAGCAAGGTTCAACTCTGTGAGTTGAATACACACAACACAAAAAAGTTACTGAGAACTCTTCTTAGTCTAGCATGAAAGGAAGAAACCCCGTTTGCAACGAAGGCCTCAAAGAGGTCCAAATATCCACTTGCAGACATAACAAGCAGAGTGTTTCTAAACTGCTCTAAGAAAAGAAAGGTTAAACTCTGTGAGTTGAAGGCACACATCACAAAGTAGTTTCTGAGAATGATTCTGTCTAGTTTTTATTTGAAGATATTTCCTTTTCTACTGTTGGCATCAAATCGCTTGCAATATCCACTTGCAAACTCCACAAAAAGAGTGTTTCAAATCTGCTCTGTGCAAAGGGACGTTCCACTCTGTGAGTTGAATACACACAGCACAAAGAAGTTACTGAGAATTCTTCTGTCTAGCATGAAATGAAGAAATCCCGTTTCCAACGAAGGCCTCAATGCGGTCTATATATCCACTTGCAGACATCACAAACAGAGTGTTTCCAAACTGCTCTATGAAAAGAAAGGTTAAACTATGTGAGTTGAACGCACACATCACAAAGAATTTTCTGAGAATGATTCTGTCTGGTTTTTATTTGAAGATATTTCCCTTTCTACTGTTGGCATCAAATGGCTAGAAATCTCCACTTGCAAATTCCGCAAAAAGAGTGTTTCAAATCTGCTCTGTCTAAAGGGACGTTCCACTCTGTGAGTTGAATGCACACAACACAAAGAATTTACTGAGAATTCCTCCGCCTAGCATTCAATGAAGAAATCCCGTTTCCAACGAAGGCCTCAAACAGGTCCATATATCCACTTGCAGACTTTACAAACAGTGTGTTTCCAAACTCCTCTATGAAAAGAAAGGTTAAACTCTGTGAGTGGAACGCACACATCACAAAGCACTTTCTGAGAATGATTCTGTCTGGTTGTTATACGAAGATATTTCCTTTTCTGCAATTGTCCTCAAATCGCTTGAAATCTCCACCTGAAAATGCCACAGCAAGAGTGTTTCAAATCTGCTCTCTCTAAAGCAAGGTTCAACTCTGTGAGTTGAATACACACAACACAAAAAAGTTACTGAGAACTCTTCTTAGTCTAGCATGAAAGGAAGAAACCCCGTTTGCAACGAAGGCCTCAAAGAGGTCCAAATATCCACTTGCAGACATAACAAGCAGAGTGTTTCTAAACTGCTCTAAGAAAAGAAAGGTTAAACTGTGTGAGTTGAACGCACACATCACAAAGAATTTTCTGAGAATGATTCTGTCTAGTTTTTATTTGAAGATATTTCCTTTTCTACTGTTGGCATCAAATCGCTTGAAATCTCCACTTGCAAATTCCACAAAAAGAGTGTTTCAAATCTGCTCTGTGCAAAGAGACGTTCCACTCTGTGAGTTGAATACACACAGCACAAAGAAGTTACTGAGAATTCTTCTGTCTAGCATGAAATGAAGAAATCCCGTTTCCAACGAAGGCCTCAATGCGGTCCATATATCCACTTGCAGACTTTACAAACAGAGTGTTTCCAAACTGCTCTATGAAAAGAAAGGTTAAACTATGTGAGTTGAACGCACACATCACAAAGAATTTTCTGAGAATGATTCTGTCTGGTTTTTATTTGAAGATGTTTCCCTTTCTACTGTTGGCATCAAATGGCTAGAAATCTCCACTTGCAAATTCCGCAAAAAGAGTGTTTCAAATCTGCTCTGTCTAAAGGGACGTTCCACTCTGTCAGTTGAATGCACACAACACAAAGAATTTACTGAGAATTCTTCCGTCTAGCATGCAATGAAGAAATCCCGTTTCCAACGAAGGCCTCAAACAGGTCCATATATCCAATTGCAGACTTTACAAACAGTGTGTTTCCAAACTCCTCTATGAAAAGAAAGGTTAAACTCTGTGAGTTGAACGCACACATCACAAAGCACTTTCTGAGAATGATTCTGTCTGGTTATTATACGAAGATATTTCCTTTTCTGCAATTGTCCTCAAATCGCTTGAAATCTCCACCTGAAAATGCCACAGCAAGAGTGTTTCAAATCTGCTCTCTCTAAAGCAAGGTTCAACTCTGTGAGTTGAATACACACAACACAAAAAAGTTACTGAGAACTCTTCTTAGTCTAGCATGAAAGGAAGAAACCCCGTTTGCAACGAAGGCCTCAAAGAGGTCCAAATATCCACTTGCAGACATAACAAGCAGAGTGTTTCTAAACTGCTCTAAGAAAAGAAAGGTTAAACTCTGTGAGTTGAAGGCACACATCACAAAGTAGTTTCTGAGAATGATTCTGTCTAGTTTTTATTTGAAGATACTTCCTTTTCTACTGTTGGCATCAAATCGCTTGAAATCTCCACTTGCAAACTCCACAAAAAGAGTGTTTCAAATCTGCTCTGTGCAAAGGGACGTTCCACTCTGTGAGTTGAATACACACAGCACAAAGAAGTTACTGAGAATTCTTCTGTCTAGCATGAAATGAAGAAATCCCGTTTCCAACGAAGGCCTCAATGCGGTCCATATATCCACTTGCAGACTTTACAAACAGAGTGTTTCCAAACTGCTCTATGAAAAGAAAGGTTAAACTATGTGAGTTGAACGCACACATCACAAAGAATTTTCTGAGAATGATTCTGTCTGGTTTTTATTTGAAGATATTTCCCTTTCTACTGTTGGCATCAAATGGCTAGAAATCTCCACTTGCAAATTCCGCAAAAAGAGTGTTTCAAATCTGCTCTGTCTAAAGGGACGTTCCACTCTGTGAGTTGAATGCACACAACACAAAGAATTTACTGAGAATTCTTCCGTCTAGCATTCAATGAAGAAATCCCGTTTCCAACGAAGGCCTCAAACAGGTCCATATATCCACTTGCAGACTTTACAAACAGTGTGTTTCCAAACTCCTCTATGAAAAGAAAGGTTAAACTCTGTGAGTGGAACGCACACATCACAAAGCACTTTCTGAGAATGATTCTGTCTGGTTATTATACGAAGATATTTCCTTTTCTGCAATTGTCCTCAAATCGCTTGAAATCTCCACCTGAAAATGCCACAGCAAGAGTGTTTCAAATCTGCTCTCTCTAAAGCAAGGTTCAACTCTGTGAGTTGAATACACACAACACAAAAAGTTACTGAGAACTCTTCTTAGTCTAGCATGAAAGGAAGAAACCCCGTTTGCAACGAAGGCCTCAAAGAGGTCCAAATATCCACTTGCAGACATAACAAGCAGAGTGTTTCTAAAGTGCTCTAAGAAAAGAAAGGTTAAACTCTGTGAGTTGAAGGCACACATCACAAAGTAGTTTCTGAGAATGATTCTGTCTAGTTTTTATTTGAAGATATTTCCTTTTCTACTGTTGGCATCAAATCGCTTGAAATCTCCACTTGCAAACTCCACAAAAAGAGTGTTTCAAATCTGCTCTGTGTAAAGGGACGTTCCACTCTGTGAGTTGAATACACACAGCACAAAGAAGTTACTGAGAATTCTTCTGTCTAGCATGAAATGAAGAAATCCCGTTTCCAACGAAGGCCTCAATGCGGTCCATATATCCACTTGCAGACTTTACAAACACAGTGTTTCCAAACTGCTCTATGAAAAGAAAGGTTAAACTATGTGAGTTGAACGCACACATCACAAAGAATTTTCTGAGAATGATTCTGTCTGGTTTTTATTTGAAGATATTTCCCTTTCTACTGTTGGCATCAAATGGCTAGAAATCTCCACTTGCAAATTCCGCAAAAAGAGTGTTTCAATTCTGCTCTGTCTAAAGGGACGTTCCACTTTGTGAGTTGAATGCACACAACACAAAGAATTTACTGAGAATTCTTCCGTCTAGCATTCAATGAAGAAATCCCGTTTCCAACGAAGGCCTCAAACAGGTCCATATATCCAATTGCAGACTTTACAAACAGTGTGTTTCCAAACTCCTCTATGAAAAGAAAGGTTAAACTCTGTGAGTGGAACGCACACATCACAAAGCACTTTCTGAGAATGATTCTGTCTGGTTATTATACGAAGATATTTCCTTTTCTGCAATTGTCCTCAAATCGCTTGAAATCTCCACCTGAAAATGCCACAGCAAGAGTGTTTCAAATCTGCTCTCTCTAAAGCAAGGTTCAACTCTGTGAGTTGAATACACACAACACAAAAAAGTTACTGAGAACTCTTCTTAGTCTAGCATGAAAGGAAGAAACCCCGTTTGCAACGAAGGCCTCAAAGAGGTCCAAATATCCACTTGCAGACATAACAAGTAGAGTGTTTCTAAACTGCTCTAAGAAAAGAAAGGTTAAACTCTGTGAGTTGAAGGCACACATCACAAAGTAGTTTCTGAGAATGATTCTGTCTAGTTTTAATTTGAAGATATTTCCTTTTCTACTGTTGGCATCAAATCGCTTGAAATCTCCACTTGCAAACTCCACAAAAAGAGTGTTTCAAATCTGCTCTGTGCAAAGGGACGTTCCACTCTGTGAGTTGAATACACACAGCACAAAGAAGTTACTGAGAATTCTTCTGTCTAGCATGAAATGAAGAAATCCCGTTTCCAACGAAGGCCTCAATGCGGTCCATATATCCACTTGCAGACTTTACAAACAGAGTGTTTCCAAACTGCTCTATGAAAAGAAAGGTTAAACTATGTGAGTTGAACGCACACATCACAAAGAATTTTCTGAGAATGATTCTGTCTGGTTTTTATTTGAAGATATTTCCCTTTCTACTGTTGGCATCAAATGGCTAGAAATCTCCACTTGCAAATTCCGCAAAAAGAGTGTTTCAAATCTGCTCTGTCTAAAGGGACGTTCCACTCTGTGAGTTGAATGCACACAACACAAAGAATTTACTGAGAATTCTTCCGTCTAGCATTCAATGAAGAAATCCCGTTTCCAACGAAGGCCTCAAACAGGTCCATATATCCACTTGCAGACTTTACAAACAGTGTGTTTCCAAACTCCTCTATGAAAAGAAAGGTTAAACTCTGTGAGTTGAACGCACACATCACAAAGCACTTTCTGAGAATGATTCTGTCTGGTTATTATACGAAGATATTTCCTTTTCTGCAATTGTCCTCAAATCGCTTGAAATCTCCACCTGAAAATGCCACAGCGAGAGTGTTTCAAATCTGCTCTCTCTAAAGCAAGGTTCAACTCTGTGAGGTGAATACACACAACACAAAAAAGTTAATGAGAACTCTTCTTAGTCTAGCATGAAAGGAAGAAACCCCGTTTGCAACGAAGGCCTCAAAGAGGTCCAAATATCCACTTGCAGACATAACAAGCAGAGTGTTTCTAAACTGCTCTAAGAAAAGAAAGGTTAAACTCTGTGAGTTGAAGGCACACATCACAAAGTAGTTTCTGAGAATGATTCTGTCTAGTTTTTATTTGAAGATATTTCCTTTTCTACTGTTGGCATCAAATCGCTTGAAATCTCCACTTGCAAATTCCACAAAAAGAGTGTTTCAAATCTGCTCTGTGCAAACGGACGTTCCAGTCTGTGAGTTGAATACACACAGCACAGAGAAGTTACTGAGAATTCTTCTGTCTAGCATGAAATGAAGAAATCCCGTTTCCAACGAAGGCCTCAATGCGGTCCATAGATCCACTTGCAGACTTTACAAACAGAGTGTTTCCAAACTGCTCTATGAAAAGAAAGGTTAAACTATGTGAGTTGAACGCACACATCACAAAGAATTTTCTGAGAATGATTCTGTCTGGTTTTTATTTGAAGATATTTCCCTTTCTACTGTTGGCATCAAATGGCTAGAAATCTCCACTTGCAAATTCCGCAAAAAGAGTGTTTCAAATCTGCTCTGTCTAAAGGGACGTTCCACTCTGTGAGTTGAATGCACACAACACAAAGAATTTACTGAGAATTCTTCCGTCTAGCATTCAATGAAGAAATCCCGTTTCCAACGAAGGCCTCAAACAGGTCCATATATCCACTTGCAGACTTTACAAACAGTGTGTTTCCAAACTCCTCTATGAAAAGAAAGGTTAAACTCTGTGAGTTGAACGCACACATCACAAAGCACTTTCTGAGAATGATTCTGTCTGGTTGTTATACGAAGATATTTCCTTTTCTGCAATTGTCCTCAAATCGCTTGAAATCTCCACCTGAAAATGCCACAGCAAGAGTGTTTCAAATCTGCTCTCTCTAAAGCAAGGTTCAACTCTTGTGAGTTGAATACACACAACACAAAAATGTTACTGAGAACTCTTCTTAGTCTAGCATGAAAGGAAGAAACCCCGTTTGCAACGAAGGCCTCAAAGAGGTCCAAATATCCACTTGCAGACATAACAAGCAGAGTGTTTCTAAACTGCTCTAAGAAAAGAAAGGTTAAACTCTGTGAGTTGAAGGCACACATCACAAAGTAGTTTCTGAGAATGATTCTGTCTAGTTTTTATTTGAAGATATTTCCTTTTCTACTGTTGGCATCAAATCGCTTGAAATCTCCACTTGCAAACTCCACAAAAAGAGTGTTTCAAATCTGCTCTGTGTAAAGGGACGTTCCACTCTGTGAGTTGAATACACACAGCACAAAGAAGTTACTGAGAATTCTTCTGTCTAGCATGAAATGAAGAAATCCCGTTTCCAACGAAGGCCTCAATGCGGTCTATATATCCACTTGCAGACTTTACAAACAGAGTGTTTCCAAACTGCTCTATGAAAAGAAAGGTTAAACTATGTGAGTTGAACGCACACATCACAAAGAATTTTCTGAGAATGATTCTGTCTGGTTTTTATTTGAAGATATTTCCCTTTCTACTGTTGGCATCAAATGGCTAGAAATCTCCACTTGCAAATTCCACAAAAAGAGTGTTTCAAATCTGCTCTGTCTAAAGGGACGTTCCACTCTGTCAGTTGAATGCACACAACACAAAGTATTTACTGAGAATTCTTCCGCCTAGCATTCAATGAAGAAATCCCGTTTCCAACGAAGGCCTTAAACAGGTCCATATATCCAATTGCAGACTTTACAAACAGTGTGTTTCCAAACTCCTCTATGAAAAGAAAGGTTAAACTCTGTGAGTTGAACGCACACATCACAAAGCACTTTCTGAGAATTATTCTGTCTGGTTGTTATACGAAGATATTTCCTTTTCTGCAATTGTCCTCAAATCGCTTGAAATCTCCACCTGAAAATGCCACAGCAAGAGTGTTTCAAATCTGCTCTCTCTAAAGCAAGGTTCAGCTCTGTGAGTTGAATACACACAACACAAAAAAGTTACTGAGAACTCTTCTTAGTCTAGCATTAAAGGAAGAAACCCCGTTTGCAACGAAGGCCTCAAAGAGGTCCAAATATCCACTTGCAGACATAACAAGCAGAGTGTTTCTAAACTGCTCTAAGAAAAGAAAGGTTAAACTCTGTGAGTTGAAGGCACACATCACAAAGTAGTTTCTGAGAATGATTCTGTCTAGTTTTTATTTGAAGATATTTCCTTTTCTACTGTTGGCATCAAATCGCTTGAAATCTCCACTTGCAAATTCCACAAAAAGAGTGTTTCAAATCTGCTCTGTGCAAAGGGACGTTCCACTCTGTGAGTTGAATACACACAGCACAAAGAAGTTACTGAGAATTCTTCTGTCTAGCATGAAATGAAGAAATCCCGTTTCCAACGAAGGCCTCAATGCGGTCCATATATCCACTTGCAGACTTTACAAACAGAGTGTTTCCAAACTGCTCTATGAAAAGAAAGGTTAAACTATGTGAGTTGAACGCACACATCACAAAGAATTTTCTGAGAATGATTCTGTCTGGTTTTTATTTGAAGATGTTTCCCTTTCTACTGTTGGCATCAAATGGCTAGAAATCTCCACTTGCAAATTCCGCAAAAAGAGTGTTTCAAATCTGCTCTGTCTAAAGGGACGTTCCACTCTGTGAGTTGAATGCACACAACACAAAGAATTTACTGAGAATTCTTCCATCTAGCATTCAATGAAGAAATCCCGTTTCCAACGAAGGCCTCAAACAGGTCCATATATCCAATTGCAGACTTTACAAACAGTGTGTTTCCAAACTCCTCTATGGAAAGAAAGGTTGAACTCTGTGAGTTGAACGCACACATCACAAAGCACTTTCTGAGAATGATTCTGTCTGGTTATTATACGAAGATATTTCCTTTTCTGCAATTGTCCTCAAATCGCTTGAAATCTCCACCTGAAAATGCCACAGCAAGAGTGTTTCAAATCTGCTCTCTCTAAAGCAAGGTTCAACTCTGTGAGTTGAATACACACAACACAAAAAAGTTACTGAGAACTCTTCTTAGTCTAGCATGAAAGGAAGAAACCCCGTTTGCAACGAAGGCCTCAAAGAGGTCCAAATATCAACTTGCAGACATAACAAGCAGAGTGTTTCTAAGCTGCTCTCAGAAAAGAAAGGTTAAACTCTGTGAGTTGAAGGCACACATCACAAAGTAGTTTCTGAGAATGATTCTGTCTAGTTTTTATTTGAAGATATTTCCTTTTCTACTGTTGGCATCAAATCGCTTGAAATCTCCACTTGCAAACTCCACAAAAAGAGTGTTTCAAATCTGCTCTGTGTAAAGGGACGTTCCACTCTGTGAGTTGAATACACACAGCACAAAGAAGTTACTGAGAATTCTTCTGTCTAGCATGAAATGAAGAAATCCCGTTTCCAACGAAGGCCTCAATGCGGTCCATAGATCCACTTGCAGACTTTACAAACAGAGTGTTTCCAAACTGCTCTATGAAAAGAAAGGTTAAACTATGTGAGTTGAACGCACACATCACAAAGAATTTTCTGAGAATGATTCTGTCTGGTTTTTATTTGAAGATATTTCCCTTTCTACTGTTGGCATCAAATGGCTAGAAATCTCCACTTGCAAATTCCGCAAAAAGAGTGTTTCAAATCTGCTCTGTCTAAAGGGACGTTCCACTCTGTGAGTTGAATGCACACAACACAAAGAATTTACTGAGAATTCTTCCGTCGAGCATTCAATGAAGAAATCCCGTTTCCAACGAAGGCCTCAAACAGGTCCATATATCCACTTGCAGACTTTACAAACAGTGTGTTTCCAAACTCCTCTATGAAAAGAAAGGTTAAACTCTGTGAGTTGAACGCACACATCACAAAGCACTTTCTGAGAATGATTCTGTCTGGTTATTATACGAAGATATTTCCTTTTCTGCAATTGTCCTCAAAACGCTTGAAATCTCCACCTGAAAATGCCACAGCAAGAGTGTTTCAAATCTGCTCTCTCTAAAGCAAGGTTCAACTCTGTGAGTTGAATACACACAACACAAAAAAGTTACTGAGAACTCTTCTTAGTCTAGCATGAAAGGAAGAAACCCCGTTTGCAACGAAGGCCTCAAAGAGGTCCAAATATCCACTTGCAGACATAACAAGCAGAGTGTTTCTAAACTGCTCTAAGAAAAGAAAGGTTAAACTATGTGAGATGAACGCACACATCACAAAGAATTTTCTGAGAATGATTCTGTCTGGTTTTTATTTGAAGATATTTCCCTTTCTACAGTTGGCATCAAATGGCTAGAAATCTCCACTTGCAAATTCCGCAAAAAGAGTGTTTCAAATCTGCTCTGTCTAAAGGGACGTTCCACTCTGTGAGTTGAATGCACACAACACAAAGAATTTACTGAGAATTCTTCCGTCTAGCATTCAATGAAGAAATCCCGTTTCCAACGAAGGCCTCAAACAGGTCCATATATCCAATTGCAGACTTTACAAACAGTGTGTTTCCAAACTCCTCTATGAAAAGAAAGGTTAAACTCTGTGAGTTGAACGCACACATCACAAAGCACTTTCTGAGAATGATTCTGTCTGGTTATTATACGAAGATATTTCCTTTTCTGCAATTGTCCTCAAATCGCTTGAAATCTCCACCTGAAAATGCCACAGCAAGAGTGTTTCAAATCTGCTCTCTCTAAAGCAAGGTTCAACTCTGTGAGTTGAATACACACAACACAAAAAAGTTACTGAGAACTCTTCTTAGTCTAGCATTAAAGGAAGAAACCCCGTTTGCAACGAAGGCCTCAAAGAGGTCCAAATATCAACTTGCAGACATAACAAGCAGAGTGTTTCTAAGCTGCTCTCAGAAAAGAAAGGTTAAACTCGGTGAGTTGAAGGCACACATCACAAAGTAGTTTCTGAGAATGATTCTGTCTAGTTTTTATTTGAAGATACTTCCTTTTCTACTGTTGGCATCAAATCGCTTGAAATCTCCACTTGCAAACTCCACAAAAAGAGTGTTTCAAATCTGCTCTGTGCAAAGGGACGTTCCACTCTGTGAGTTGAATACACACAGCACAAAGAAGTTACTGAGAATTCTTCTGTCTAGCATGAAATGAAGAAATCCCGTTTCCAACGAAGGCCTCAATGCGGTCCATATATCCACTTGCAGACTTTACAAACAGAGTGTTTCCAAACTGCTCTATGAAAAGAAAGGTTAAACTATGTGAGTTGAACGCACACATCACAAAGAATTTTCTGAGAATGATTCTGTCTGGTTTTTATTTGAAGATATTTCCCTTTCTACTGTTGGCATCAAATGGTTAGAAATCTCCACTTGCAAATTCCGCAAAAAGAGTGTTTCAAATCTGCTCTGTCTAAAGGGACGTTCCACTCTGTGAGTTGAATGCACACAACACAAAGAATTTACTGAGAATTCTTCCGTCTAGCATTCAATGAAGAAATCCCGTTTCCAACGAAGGCCTCAAACAGGTCCATATATCCAATTGCAGACTTTACAAACAGTGTGTTTCCAAACTCCTCTATGAAAAGAAAGGTTAAACTCTGTGAGTTGAACGCACACAACACAAAGCACTTTCTGAGAATGATTCTGTCTGGTTATTATACGAAGATATTTCCTTTTCTGCAATTGTCCTCAAATCGCTTGAAATCTCCACCTGAAAATGCCACAGCAAGAGTGTTTCAAATCTGCTCTCTCTAAAGCAAGGTTCAACTCTGTGAGTTGAATACACACAACACAAAAAAGTTACTGAGAACTCTTCTTAGTCTAGCATGAAAGGAAGAAACCCCGTTTGCAACGAAGGCCTCAAAGAGGTCCAAATATCCACTTGCAGACATAACAAGCAGAGTGTTTCTAAACTGCTCTAAGAAAAGAAAGGTTAAACTCTGTGAGTTGAAGGCACACATCACAAAGCAGTTTCTGAGAATGATTCTGTCTAGTTTTTATTTGAAGATATTTCCTTTTCTACTGTTGGCATCAAATCGCTTGAATTCTCCACTTGCAAACTCCACAAAAAGAGTGTTTCAAATCTGCTCTGTGTAAAGGGACGTTCCACTCTGTGAGTTGAATACACACAGCACAAAGAAGTTACTGAGAATTCTTCTGTCTAGCATGAAATGAAGAAATCCCGTTTCCAACGAAGGCCTCAAAGCGGTCAATATATCCACTTGCAGACATTACCAACAGAGTGTTCCCAAACTGCTCTATGAAAAGAAAGGTTAAACTATGTGAGTTGAACGCACACATCACAAAGAATTTTCTGAGAATGATTCTGTCTGGTTTTTATTTGAAGATATTTCCCTTTCTACTGTTGGCATCAAATGGCTAGAAATCTCCACTTGCAAATTCCGCAAAAAGAGTGTTTCAAATCTGCTCTGTCTAAAGGGACGTTCCACTCTGTGAGTTGAATGCACACAACACAAAGAATTTACTGAGAATTCTTCCGTCTAGCATTCAATGAAGAAATCCCGTTTCCAACGAAGGCCTCAAACAGGTCCATATATCCAATTGCAGACTTTACAAACAGTGTGTTTCCAAACTCCTTTATGAAAAGAAAGGTTAACTCTGTGAGTTGAATGCACACATCACAAAGCACTTTCTGATAATGATTCTGTCTAGTTTTTGTTTGCAGATATTTCCTTTTCTACTGTTGGCATCAAATCGCTTGAAATCTCCACTTGCAAATTCCACAAAAAGAGTGTTTCAAATCTGCTCTGTGTAAAGGGACGTTCCAATCTGTGAGTTGAATACACACAACACAAAGAAGTTACTGAGAATTCTTCTGTCTAGCATGAAATGAAGAAATCCCGTTTCCAACGAAGGCCTCAAAGCGGTCCATATATCCACTTGCAGACATTACCAACAGAGTGTTCCCAAACTGCTCTATGAAAAGAAAGGTTAAACTATGTGAGTTGAACGCACACATCACAAAGAATTTTCTGAGAATGATTCTGTCTGGTTTTTATTTGAAGATATTTCCCTTTCTACTGTTGGCATCAAATGGCTAGAAATCTCCACTTGCAAATTCCGCAAAAAGAGTGTTTCAAATCTGCTGTGTCTAAAGGGACGTTCCACTCTGTGAGTTGAATGCACACAACACAAAGAATTTACTGAGAATTCTTCCGTCTAGCATTCAATGAAGAAATCCCGTTTCCAACGAAGGCCTCAAACAGGTCCATATATCCACTTGCAGACTTTACAAACAGTGTGTTTCCAAACTCCTCTATGAAAAGAAAGGTTAAACTCTGTGAGTGGAACGCACACATCACAAAGCACTTTCTGAGAATGATTCTGTCTGGTTATTATACGAAGATATTTCCTTTTCTGCAATTGTCCTCAAAACGCTTGAAATCTCCACCTGAAAATGCCACAGCAAGAGTGTTTCAAATCTGCTCTCTCTAAAGCAAGGTTCAACTCTGTGAGTTGAATACACACAACACAAAAAAGTTACTGAGAACTCTTCTTAGTCTAGCATGAAAGGAAGAAACCCCGTTTGCAACGAAGGCCTCAAAGAGGTCCAAATATCCACTTGCAGACATAACAAGCAGAGTGTTTCTAAACTGCTCTAAGAAAAGAAAGGTTAAACTCTGTGAGTTGAAGGCACACATCACAAAGTAGTTTCTGAGAATGATTCTGTCTAGTTTTTATTTGAAGATATTTCCTTTTCTACTGTTGGCATCAAATCGCTTGAAATCTCCACTTGCAAACTCCACAAAAAGAGTGTTTCAAATCTGCTCTGTGTAAAGGGACGTTCCACTCTGTGAGTTGAATACACACAGCACAAAGAAGTTACTGAGAATTCTTCTGTCTAACATGAAATGAAGAAATCCCGTTTCCAACGAAGGCCTCAATGCGGTCCATATATCCACTTGCAGACTTTACAAACAGAGTGTTTCCAAACTGCTCTATGAAAAGAAAGGTTAAACTATGTGAGTTGAACGCACACATCACAAAGAATTTTCTGAGAATGATTCTGTCTGGTTTTTATTTGAAGATATTTCCCTTTCTACTGTTGGCATCAAATGGCTAGAAATCTCCACTTGCAAATTCCGCAAAAAGAGTGTTTCAAATCTGCTCTGTCTAAAGGGACGTTCCACTCTGTGAGTTGAATGCACACAACACAAAGAATTTACTGAGAATTCTTCCGTCTAGCATGCAATGAAGAAATCCCGTTTCCAACGAAGGCCTCAAACAGGTCCATATATCCAATTGCAGACTTTACAAACAGTGTGTTTCCAAACTCCTCTATGAAAAGAAAGGTTAAACTCTGTGAGTTGAACGCACACATCACAAAGCACTTTCTGAGAATGATTCTGTCTGGTTATTATACGAAGATATTTCCTTTTCTGCAATTGTCCTCAAAACGCTTGAAATCTCCACCTGAAAATGCCACAGCAAGAGTGTTTCAAATCTGCTCTCTCTAAAGCAAGGTTCAACTCTGTGAGTTGAATACACACAACACAAAAAAGTTACTGAGAACTCTTCTTAGTCTAGCATGAAAGGAAGAAACCCCGTTTGCAACGAAGGCCTCAAAGAGGTCCAAATATCCACTTGCAGACATAACAAGCAGAGTGTTTCTAAACTGCTCTAAGAAAAGAAAGGTTAAACTCTGTGAGTTGAAGGCACACATCACAAAGTAGTTTCTGAGAATGATTCTGTCTAGTTTTTATTTGAAGATATTTCCTTTTCTACTGTTGGCATCAAATCGCTTGAAATCTCCACTTGCAAATTCCACAAAAAGAGTGTTTCAAATCTGCTCTGTGCAAAGAGACGTTCCACTCTGTGAGTTGAATACACACAGCACAAAGAAGTTACTGAGAATTCTTCTGTCTAGCATGAAATGAAGAAATCCCGTTTCCAACGAAGGCCTCAATACGGTCCATATATCCACTTGCAGACTTTACAAACAGAGTGTTTCCAAACTGCTCTATGAAAAGAAAGGTTAAACTATGTGAGTTGAACGCACACATCACAAAGAATTTTCTGAGAATGATTCTCTGTCTAGTTTTTATTTGAAGATATTTCCCTTTGTACTGTTGGCATCAAATGGCTAGAAATCTCCACTTGCAACTTCCGCAAAAAGAGTGTTTCAAATCTGCTCTGTCTAAAGGGACGTTCCACTCTGTGAGTTGAATGCACACA